>NW_018654717.1:2446975-2748556 GCF_000001405.40 Homo sapiens
TGAATGGGGCTTCTGTATCTGATCTTTGAGCTTAAGGGAGAAAATCACTGGGTAACCTTGATTTCAACCTGGAAGAATGTCGTGGGGGGAATTGTGCTCCATGGGAGGGTAAAGCTTTCCTAAGGAGGTCGTTGCCAGTGGGACAGCATTCGGCCTCCTGTTGCATTTACTTACATTTAGTTGTGAAATTTTGGGAGAAAAGACCAGCAAAAGAGGCCCCAGATGGACTGTGGAACTGATGCACGGGGAGTTGGGGGTTGGTGATGGGGGAAATCTTGCTTAAACGGAGATTGTATGACAGCACTCGAATAATGACTGGTTGTTCATGGGTGGATTTGGGGAGACTTCAGTAACAATGGATTGTGTTTCATTTGGTTTACTTGCAAATATCAAGTAGTCAGAGTTGGATATAAAATTGTTCTATGGCAATATGAGTATGACTTGGGATTAGGCACACTCAAACTCTGTGAATATTTGCCCGTTGTGGGAGGAAATGCAGGGAGTAAAGTGCAGAGGCCTTGGAAGCCTCAGAAAACCAGTAAGGGGAAGAGGCACCCCCAAAGCCCAAGTGATACCATGTTGAACCCAGAGGGCAACCAGAGAAGGACAGAGCTTCAAAAGTCAAGGCTTAAGAGCACATTGAGCAGCAGTCGGTTGGAAAAAGCAACAGGGATTGTGGAGAGGCCGAAAAGACCAGAGTGGGTGAGAGAGGAAGTCTGTGAAATGGGCGGGATATCCCAGTGTCCTGGATCTTGTTGGCCTTGGGTGGCAGGTCAGGGAGAAGCTAACTGGAAGAAGGTTCAGGAAAGGGCCTTTTGGGACTTTGAGTGAGGTGAGGAAAAGGCAGAAGCATGATTCCAGCACCTCAGAGGAGAACAGTGTGGAATTCAGGGCGGTGGGTAAACCCTTGGTCTTCACAATTGGCGATTCCTCCTGTGGGCTTCTCTGAGAGCACAGGCTGCTGGTGACAGCGACGCCAATGCCAGCCGCACATCTGTGTGCCACAAGAATCGCATGATTCCTTAAGGCGGAACCCACAAAGGGCTGCCCATGGCAGACGTGGCCCCACCTCTCAGCCCCCTAGCAAAACACACTGGCTCAGTATCACCCTTGAGCTACTGAGCTCCCAAAATGGCAAATGGGGTTGTTGAAACAAAAGCTCCATCTCCCAAGTTGTCAGCGTAGGGAGCAGCTGTGACCTCCAAGTTCGGTTCCTGATTCTGTGTTTCTTTCTCCCTCCTCCTTTAGATCGTGGTGTATGTGGGCGTCTCCTCAGCCGGCAGCTTCACTGTGCCCTGCGGTTGATGTCCAAGGTTTTGACTGTGTGGGTTTGTGTCTTTCCGGCAGGTGTCTCCTCTGTGACTTCCCTGATGTCCCTGGCTTGGGTGCTAGCCTCCTATCACAAGCTGCTGCGGGACTCCAGGGACGACAAGAAGAGCATGAGCTACAGAGGGGCCATCATCCAGGTCTTCTGGCGCCTCTTCACCATCTCATCCCGAGTGATCTCTTTTGCCCTCTTTGCTTCCATCTTCCAGCTCTATTTTGGGATCTTCGTGGTGGTTCACTGGTGCGCCATGGCCTTCTGGATCATCCATGGCGGAACAGACTTCTGCATGTCCAAGTGGGAGGAGATCCTCTTCAACATGGTGGTAGGGATCGTGTACATTTTCTGCTGGTTTAACGTCAAGGAAGGGCGGACTCGATATCGAATGTTTGCATATTATACGATAGTCTTGACCGAGAATGCTGCCTTGACGTTCCTTTGGTATTTTTACAGAGACCCGGAGACCACTGACTCCTATGCGGTGCCAGCACTGTGTTGTGTCTTTATTAGCTTTGTGGCTGGGATCGCAATGATGCTCTTATACTATGGCGTGCTGCATCCCACAGGACCACGAGCTAAGATCCTTGCCAGCTCCTGTTGTGCCGAGCTGCTCTGGGGCATCCCTTTGCCCCCCGATGTTGAGCCCATGGCGCCTGAGATCCCTGGGTACCGGGGGACCCAGGTTACGCCCACCAGAGCCGTAACGGAACAACAGGAGGATCTCACGGCTGACACTTGCTTGCCTGTTTTCCAAGTGAGACCCATGGGGCCCCCTACCCCGTTGGGGCGTCCTTACCTCCCAGAAGGGCCCCTCATTAAGATTGACATGCCAAGAAAGCGATACCCAGCTTGGGATGCTCATTTTGTAGACAGGAGGCTGAGAAGGACTATTAACATTCTACAATATGTCACCCCCACCGCAGTAGGCATTCGATATCGAGACGGACCACTCCTCTATGAGTTGCTACAGTATGAGTCTTCACTCTAAGAGCATCTTGACCAAGTTGAGAAGGGGACCTTAAGTTTGGTTTGCGGCAAACAGCACTTGCAAGAAATATAACCCTCCCTTCCCCCAATACACAGAACCACCGCCACCACCACCAACACCGCCACACCAACACCACCACTACAAAAAAAAAAGAATTAATAAGTCACAACCCCTTCAAATAAGCTTTCTTTCCAGTCGCTGTATGTATACAAAGATATTCTCTATGTTTTGTAAGTAAAAACAAAAAGAAAACCTTTCTTTTGTTTTTTACACATAAGAAACAGTATTGAAAAATCCCACGCTATGGTTCATAGGGTGGAGAAGGAGGAGTTATCTCCACTCCAAAAGAAAAAAAAAAAGTTTTTTACCTTACACCAAGTGTAGATCATTTATGGGATTGGTGCTGATTGAAAGAACAAAACAAAACAAAACAAACACAAACAAACAAAAAACCTTCAACTGCCTTATGCCCTTAGGTGCTGAGTTTCATTAAGTACTGTCACGTTTTCTCATGCAAAACTCTCTGGTGATTTTTGCACCAGAAGAGGGAAAATTAAACAATTAAATGAAACAAATCTAAAAGTGAAACAAAAACCAACCAACAAATACAACACAAAGCAATTATTCTTCCTATCTGATTATTTGTATTGAAGAAAACAAATTTACCAAAAGCAAAAGCATAAACCCCTCCCTCTTTTCAGTTTCTCCCCCTCCTCTCCTGACCTTCTCCCCACTTTGCAGAGCCTTCTAGGAGCTCAAGGGCTGTTTGAAACTCAAATGGCTGGAGAAGCTACTTGAAGGCTGATTATGTGCCATTTTAGCATTTGCCTAGCAAGAATCACATTCGTTTCCCAGTGAAAAGCAAACCAGAACAAAACAAAAAGCCACCGCAATAATTCGGTAAGGACAGGATATTCTAAAGCAAATTAAAGGAGATTTCTGTACACATAATCAGTAATAATAAAACTCAGCAT
Organism: Homo sapiens; assembly: GCF_000001405.40. Taxonomy (NCBI): domain Eukaryota; kingdom Metazoa; phylum Chordata; class Mammalia; order Primates; family Hominidae; genus Homo; species Homo sapiens. Next base: position 2,450,262 of record NW_018654717.1, read on the forward strand.
AGTAGCAAAAAGAACGACATCAGTTTAAAGGCACAATACTTAATCAGTGACTGGCAACAACGATTAGTTCCATCATTTTAAGGCTGTGAATGGTAGACATTTATCACATGTGATATTGTGTAAAGCCTCTTCTGTTTCCATTTGGTGGGAAGCCTTAAATTGATCTGGAAAGAATTCTTCATTTTTCATTTGTGCTTTTTTAAAAAAAAAATAACACAAAGAGGAAAACTAGAATATATATATATATATACATATATATAAAAAGTCAAAATTGTAATAACTGACCCATTTCAAAGACTGTTTGGTGCTTCTGTCTTTCACCATTGTGGTTGGCTGAAAATCATTCAGCTCACCTGGTGCATCTGGGTTGAATGGGAAATTTTGTGTGTGTAGTATGTGTGTGTTTGTGTGTGTATGTGTGTGTGTGCCCATAGCACACGTATATATGTGTGTGTCCCTGCTGCAAAGTCTTGCCAGAGATATACAAAACTGATGTAAGACGAACTTGGATCACGGCTTGGTTCAGCAGAGCATGGGGGCGGGGGCTCTGGAGTGGTGGGGAAGTGATGCTGCCTGCCCACGAGCCCTGGTTTGGGTGGCAAGACTCACACCAGCAGCGGACTGCAGGCCTTAGAGGCCATGCCATTTGGGTGAGGATTTGATTCCACTGTTTATTTTCTCATTGTATCAAGTTGAATTTCTGCAGGTGTTGCAAGTATGTTCAACGATTTAAATTTTTTTTTATTTTTCAAAGTATTGTTCCTTTAAAGAATATTTCTGTTCTAGGGCATCGTTTCAATCGCATCGTATCTCTACTTGGGCACAAAAAAAAAGGAAAAGAAAAAAAATCACAAAAAAGATATATAATAAGTATATATATATATATATATATATAAACACACACAATATTTTTAAGTAAATACTGTTAGTCTTTGCTGTGTGTAGCTGCGATTTTTTTTCCCAAATATATACCTGTTTAGGGTGCAAGACCTCACGTTGAACTATTCTCAACAGAAGTTCAATAACTGAGGGTTTTTTAAATGTTTGTGGAGTTTTGTTTTTTTTTAAATAAAAAACAATTATTATTCAGCGAGGCTTCTCCTTCCCACCACCTTCATTGTTTATCTAAAACCTTTTTTGTTTTAAGAACAAGTTTCAAATATCAGTTGTGAAACTCTATGCTCTCTTCTTTGTCTGGACTTCCTAGACTTCATGCGTCCTTACTAAGCATCGTGGTGCTGTCCTCTCCCCGTCCCTGACTCGGGGGTCCCCTCGGGCCTCACTGGTGGGCAGGTGGAGGAGGAGCCCCCAACTCTAGGAAGCAGGACGAACAGAGCACACGCAGGCAGCAGTGAAAACCAGCCAGGAGGGCTCGGCGCGCCCATTAAAGGGACCCGCCCGTGGGCCCCTGGAGAGTCACCTGGGAGTTGGAATCTAGTCAGAGGCACTTTTCTGAACCGCACCAGCGTGCTGCCTTGCAAGGGCTTCACGCCTGAGCTGCACAGTGTACTCTGCTAGGCTGGGAAGGTGAGGCCATTGGAGGGTGGGGCATCCGCTTTAGCTGGGGGGGTCCCACCTCTTGTCTGCTTCAGGTCTGGGGCTCTGTGCACCTGGAACTGGCCCATGTCTGTCCTTTGCGCATCTTCCTTGAAATGCCCTCATGCATCCCCTCGGGACTTCTGCCACTTTTGCTTGTGTGTCTGTTCTTGGATTTCTTTCTTTCTTCTTTCTTTTTGTTTCAGCGCAGTCACGGGTTTTAATTCACCACCTCTATTTCACTCTTGCACACTTAGTGTGTGTGTGTCCGTGTGTGTGCATCCTGCCACGTTTACATGCAACTTACAAAGAGAACGGTGGATGCTGAGCTGACCGGGAGCACCAGGAGTTGGGATGGCAACTTCCAAATCAGGGAGGGCCTCCAGGGTCTTAGCCACTAGGAACAAATGAGGAGATCACGGGACATTTCAGCAATCTTTAATTTCACACTTCTCACTTGAAAAGGCACCCTCGCCCCTCTCTGGAACCCCTCCATCATGCCAGTACTTTCTTCACAAAGAAAATGAAAATATGCATCTGTGAGCAGCAGCAGGGAAAGCTGGTTTTGCAGAGATGCAGGAAAAGGAAGAAAAGCAAGGAAAGAAGTAGAGAGCAAGGCAGGGAAGGGGCAGGGGAGACCTGATGGCAAGGACCAGGCCAGAGCTGTCCTCAGTGTCCTCTTGTCATCAGCCTCTAGCAGCTCCCCACACTCCCAGCCACCGTAAAACTCTCTGGCCTCATCTCCCCTGGGGTCTTCTCTTCCCCCCAGGCCCTTCCCCTTCCAGTGACTGGTCCTGGGCATCCAGGCAGGATTCCATACACACTCAGTGCTGAGACCACCTGGGGAATGTGTCTCCAGACCCAGATGACTTTGGTCCTGAAAGCCCGGATCCTTAAGGCCGCCCCGTGACAGGGTCACTCTTTGTCCCACATTGGACATTAAATGCCCAATGTCCCATATTTTTCATTTGCCTCAGTCCTTGACAACCCTCTAGGGCTGCTGCTTCAGTTGCTTCCCAGAGGAATGCCTGTGATGTTTTTAGGTTTTTTAAAAATTTTAAATCTCTGGGCCCATTTCTTTCCCAGGACCCCCTGATGAAAAATAATCCATTTCCAGTATTTAGGCCTGGTAAGCACGTTGGTGCCCAGAGATGGAGAATACAAAAACTATCTCCTTTTCATTCCCTAATGACCCCCCCATCAAGTATGCCCACTAAGACCCGTATTTTATTCCTCTAACCACGTAGAACATTTGGCTTTTACTTTTTCTTCCCAGAAATTTGGTAGTATCGCTAAACTATAACTAATGGTGTTAGAGTCGTTTCTGCAAACTCTGCTTCTCCCTTGCTCAGCAGGTCTGCCTCTTCTCCCAGCCTCTGTGTAAAAGGAAACTTCAGTCCCCTCAGATGACATTAGGATAATGTGCCCTGAGTTCACTGCCTGAAGCCTGTGACATCCGGAATGGGAGCTCCCTGTCTCTTAAGGCCATGATGAGGGGTGCTAGGGAGGCTTCAGTCCATCAGATCAACCCCCTCTGGCCTCACTCACCCTAAAGCTTCCCGTGTCTCTAACACTCTCCTGCACTCTGCCTCTGGAAGGTGTCACCTGGTTCTGCAGGGTCGGGCTTGTCCCAGCAACATGGGTACCAGGATACTGGTAGGACACTCACCCAAGCAGATCTGCGGCCAGAACGAAAGAGGCGCCATCTCCCTTGCCCAGACATGCCGCCGTCACAACACAGCCTTGGGCAGGGAAGACGACATTTCCCCATGGCCTGGGGATCCCCCACACCACACCTCCCCAGGCACAGAATCATTCAAGACCCGATGGTTCTCATGGCTCTAACCCAGTCCCTCCCCAGCCGTGGCCCCTCTGAGTCCCATGATCCTGTCTGGCCCGTGGTCATGAAGGTGATTCCCCTGGCTCGGGGGCATCTCATGCCACAGATGTCTGACCCTGTCCAGATATGAGCCTGATTCTCAGAAAGAATTTACAGGTTTTAGAAAAGCACCAAATTACATCATTTTCTCCATTCTTCTTCCAGTTTTATTCCCTCCCACTGCACAGTCATAGGGGCAGAAAAGAAGGTCTCTGATGTGGATCTGGTTTGAAGCTGCACTGGGTGGGCCACAGCCTTGCTTCTTCTTGCACATCTAAACCCCTTCGCAGTCTCCGCAAGCTAGATAGAGGAAACACCACCTTCCTTCTCCCATCTGGTCTGCTCCTTGCTCATGGGAGGGCTAGAACCAACCCCAAGCTTTGATGCCCCCAGACCTTAGCACAGGGTCCTCTCTCCATGATCCAGGGACAGAGCAAGAAGAGCAAGACAGTGTGCAGGCTCAGAGCCTTTGGCTTGGAGCAAAGGATATCAGCTCCCAGAAGAGAATGAGGCAGGCCATATTCTCATGCTCCTGGCTCGCTCGGATGAGCTGGGTTGGGGATGTCACCTAGCATTCGTTTGGCACAGATGGTAGCATTTTCTTTGCCAAGAAAAGTGGCTCCTTACTCAAAACGAGCCCTTCCAGGCCTTGTATGTGTGATGACAGCTGCTCTGGATGGTGGCTTCATGATTGAAGGAGGGGAATCTCCTTGTGTACCTTTAATTTGATTTTCTTACCAAGAAGATAAAATCTATTTTTTCTTTGCCAAACTGAAAAATATTAACACAATCAGATTTGGTTGGGGAGGTTGAGATTTAAATTTGGATACTGTAAAAAGAAGAGAGCTTATTGCAATTAATTTCACCAAAATCCATGTGATACTATCTTTGTTGACTAGGAAACCATCGGGGAAATCTGGAGGAGCTTAAAGGAGACCTGGGGAAGACCCTGCAGGAGTGAAATGGAAGGACCCAGAGGGGTGGGCTCACCCCAGGGGCTGGACCAGCCTTACAGGGAGCAGTTCTATTCATTTCTCTCTCAAATATTTATTCGTCACTAGACCCTGTTGGGCAGACCCGCTCATCAAGCACAACACAGTTACCCCTTAGGAAGTGAACATAAATCGATGTTGGTTCCTCTTATCAAGATCCGGCTGAGAACGAGATGAGCACAATGGGAAACTCTTTAAACTTCTGTCCCTTTCTCCTCAGCCCAAACTGCCCATTGTCGTAGAAGCAACATTCCATTCTCACCCACAGTTCAACCTCCAGAACATGGAAATGGCAGGGGCCAGCCAATCACAGGTTACAAACCCATGAGCTTGCAAGAGGACTTCCCCCGGCATCCTCAATCAATGTGCGTCTGTTCCAATTTCAAAACATGTAAAAAGGCAAAAAGGCAACTCTACCCTCCCAGAGATTTTTTTCTATCCCTCTTCACTGGGGAAAAAAAGGATGATGCTTGATCTGAATTCTTGCAGTGGCAACACAAGCCCCTTTCTCACCCATTCTTAGCTATTCTAAACATTTCACTTCTTGCTGAAACACTGCATCTTGTGCTGATGGCCAAATATCAGAAGACAAAGGTGCTGCCTTGATCCTGCTGCAGACTCCTTCCTTGGCTCGCCTGGTCCTGTCTGCCTTGTTCAGCTCTCCCTGGCACCATCTGCTCCTTACTCCTGTGGCTTTCCTTGCACTGGCTGGCAGGCCATGGCTGATATATCCTGGAGACAAAGGTCGTGAGTGCTATTAATGACAACTCCCGAGGGCAGCAGACGGACCACTGTGGGAGTTCCCCCTGCTCTTGGCCAACACCTTGTGTCAAGGGCTAAGAATAGACCACATCGGAAATGAGCAGGCAGGACCTAGGGACACCTGCCCCAGGCTGGCCCATCACATGCAGCACAGTGCGCAGGTCCCAGGAGGAGATGCTGCCCTTGTGAATCCCTAACACAAATCCTAGGACCCCAACTACTGCTAAAAATCATTCTCAAACCAATGAGGACAAAGAAATAATTTCCCTTTAGTATAGTGCCAATTGGTAACCCAGTGCACATCCCTCTATAAGCACATTTGGCCATCTGTCACGGCGGATACAGACAACCCATCATCTGTTAGATGAGCTCCCCTGGTCTGTTTGTCCATCTTCAACATAGCTCTGGGATCCTTGGGCTAGAGTGGGCCCGGGAGATTTGTTTTAGCTACAGACTTCCTAGGGGCTTTCCTTTAGACCCAGAAAGATCAGGAAATGTCACAGGCTGATTCACGGTCCCCACTGTGATCGTGGATAACTCACTTCACCTCTCGGTGCCTTGGTTTCTCCATCTGTAAAGTGGAGAGAAAGAAGGCCAACCTCTTTCTTCTCTCCTGCTCAGGGATGCTTGGAGGATTCGTCATTGTTGCCTATAGCAAAGCTGTCATATGAGAAAAAGTGGTGACCTCATTTCTTGGGAAATGGAACCACAGGAGGAGAGAGTGTTTTCCAGGGGCAGTGGCACCTGGAAGCCACAGGATGAACAGGGAGCACAGCGGGACAGGGAGGAGTCTCACATACCTGTAGTTCTTAGAGACTTCATAGCACTGTGAACCCAGGTCAGTGGTACCCTGGTCAGGTGACCCTTGGTCACCTATCTTGAGCTGGCCACTTGTAATTCTAACACCAAATCTCCTGATGTTAATTCTTCCTAAGGTATCAGAGAATATATGGAAGGATGCATTTGAACACTGATATTCATTGCGCTTTGGGCAGACAAGAGGAGTGAATGGAGAGTATTTAGAGACTGTTTTTAAGGTGGTTGCAAGCTCTTCAGGAAATCTCTCTCACCTTTGTTCTTCCTTACAATCTTTTTCAATCTTGATGCTCACCTCATCAAATGGACTCACCTCTTTCCCTCTCTGCAGAGTACAGAAAAAGAAAAACACCGAATCTTTTTCTTTTTAAACAATTGTTCCATCTGCCAAAATGTGGGTCCCAATGGTGGGTTTTCTTCCCTCCCTTGTGTGCTTTGAGCGGAACCTGCAGGCAAGGATTCAGAGACAAACAGGGCTGGAGAATAGCACTAATTTTTTTTTCTAAAACAAGGTATTTTTTTTCTTATAATTCGAATTGGAAATGTCACATTGAATTTCTTTTTCTTTCCTTTTTTTTTTCTTTTGACTATGGTTTGACTGTTATCAATTCAAATACCAAGATACACTCTGAGCAAGAACACAGACCTGTCCTGAGAGCCTCTGCTTTTCTTAGGACCTAACCTGGAGTGAGGGCAGGTGGGAGCCCAGGAGGCACTGGGGTTCCAGGGGGGCCAGCCGTGAGGCTGATTTTCTATCAGCTCCGAGAACCTTCTTGGAAAGAAAAATTCCAGAAGCTTCAACTGTTCTGCATCAGTCAACCTGGCTCTGGCCTTTTCCTTGGAGTTCAGGTGTATTTTGATATAGAAATTCTCACCAAGAAAAAAATGCCCCTCCTGGAACTGTCCCTAAATGAGATGGAGCTCGCATGAGCAGGTCTCGGTGGCTGCTGCCAACGCCTCCTGCTCATTCCTAGCGGAGCCCTGACCAGAACTCCTTTCCCTCCTGCTCTGACCCTGCTCTCTGAGGTTAATATTATTGTTTTGACAGCACAAGGGACGAGATCATAGTCTGGAATTCACGAATGACTTGTGCTTGACCGTGCATCTGACTGTTCTGTGGATAGGTCAAGTCCTGCTGGGATGGTTTATTTCCACAAGGTATTTCTGATAGTAACAAAAGGAGAGAATACATGAGACCTCATACCTGATTCTCCGTTCTCATCAGCACCCGCTTTTGACTGGGATGGATGGTGAATGAACTGTCCCAAATTTGAGAACAAGAACTTTGAAGATGGACACATGGAGCCACGGGGAACAACAGGACTCAGTAGATGGGTAGGAAGAATGGTGACGAAGAGGAAGGCTTCCAGAAGTATGCGGGAGGAGAACATTAGCGGCCATCTAGGCATTCCTTCCTATACTCTCTGGGGCAGAAATAGAAAAACGTATTCTTTTCAAACAGAGGAAATTGATTTTACGGAGTGACGTGCTTAAGCATTTTTTTTAAACAAAAGGCTCAGAGAAAATATCTAAAGAAAGAGAGGCACATTCTCAAGAACAGATCATGTTATTGGAAGTAAAAAATCCAGGACTATCCTTCTACAGACCTAAGTCAAGTCACTCTTAGGGCCAATTTCTCTTTCTGTAAAATGGGAAGAATATGGTTGACCTACCTCACAGGGGTGTTGTGAGGATTAAGTAATCATGGCTGGTAAAGCGCTTTGAAGATAAAAGTATTATGGTGATCAGGCTTGCTTCCTGTTTAAAAATCTAAACACCAATTGAGCATCTACTGTGTGCAAGGTGCAGTGGAGGAAGGGAATATGATCCAGTTCCTCCACTCTCTTTTGATTAATGGATATATTTTAAAAGATTCCAAGAGGACAGAATAACAGAGTTGTCTCAATGTGGGTCAAGAAAGGAGTTCTCTTTCTGCCCCAGAAAAGCTACTCTCCTTTCCTTCTCAAATATTTAGACAAGAAGGAAGGGCTTTAAATTCTTTGGCTTCCATCAGAGAATGCTCCTGTGGGAAGCAAACAAATACTGGTTGTTCTGCTTCCTTTGTGGGAAAATGAAGGCAAATAGCAGTGAAAGTTCCTTGTGACCAGCACATATGGTTCTATTATTTCAGTTATTCCTTCTAGGCTCAGCTTCAGTTTTGCCATAGCCTTTTTCCTCTGTCTTCAGACCCAGAGAACAATTCACTTATGCTGTCCTGGAATAGCTGGGGATTTGGGGTTGATTGGTTTCCTTGGAGAGTCTGGTATACTGTTGTTTGCTGGAAAGTCTTGGCTTCCAAAGACAAGGGTCTTTACTCGAAAACAAATCAAAACATGCGACTGCCATTTTTTTTTTTATTTTTTTGGTGGGAGGAGTTTTCAATTTCTTAGCTGCCTCACATAAAGCAAAGCCTTTTAAAATGTCTCATTCATTTTTCCATGTGCAAAAAGTTCTTCCCTTCCCAAACATACTGAGTGAACCAAGTCTGGATTCTAAACTGTAGCACACGTCAAAGGATTCAGATGATGTGTACAGTGCCGTGCTGGAGGTTCACAAATTTCTACAAAGAGCCAAACTACCTACTGCACTAAGCAGGTTGGAATTCCAGCCCCAAATCGAAGCTTTCTGGAAATGCTCCCAGAGCCTTTTAGCTTTAGGAATGCCCTTTCAGTATTCCTAGGGCAGTCCCCCTGAATCCTCAGAAATCTTTCTGCCACAGAAGAACATCCTCAGAAGCCAGTGGGGGCTTCCTCTGTGTATTAGAACCAGAGAGAAGCCACTTGTTATTTTGAAAATCATTGTATGATGCCAGCCTTTAAGGAAAGAAGAGAGTTATTTTCTTTTCCTTTCAGAGGGAAGAAAGGACTGAGAGAAAGGGAAGGTGATTTGATTTGCTGTTTGGTTGCTAGAAGAGACGTGAGACTCAGAGGTCCATGGTGGCCTGTACCTTGGACATGGGACTGCGGAGGCCCGTGGTGAGTTTCCTTAGGCAGCTGAGGTAGTGCTGAGGTGCTACGCTCCTTTCTTTTCAACCAACCCTGGGCTCAAGGAAAGGGGGGCCTCAGTTTGGTGCTGCCAACTTGCCCAGATCATCCTCAGCGTCTCAGCCACGTCTCTGCCCCTCTCCAGCCTGTGTTCACGAGTGGCCCCCAACGTTGATTCCAAAAGGCCTGCCTTCTTCGAGGCCTATGCTTCCATGCACATTGCTTCAGGTCAGAGCTGTCTGTCCAAATGCAACCACTGCAGCCTTTTCACTTGCCTTGACACCACTGTTGCTGCATGCTTCCACCAAATATGCCCCCACCCCTGCAGGAGCTGTCATTTCACTCCCACTGAGAGGGCCTCCAGAATTGCCCTGGGCCTCCAGGATTGCCCTGGGCCTAGCCTGCCTAAAACCCAGGACAGGCTCTGCTTCTTCCTTTTTTTATATCCATGTGCCTTTAAAAGGCGTGGCCCTGGGTCCTAGTTGAGCCTTTACAGAAGTGGAGGGCTGGAGAGAACAGGTGATGTTACTTAGGCAGTTGGGACACTCACTGATAACCTGTGAAGCCAATGTGGGCCAGTAACTCAGAATGCTGTTTTCCCAGCGGCTGGGCTGTCTAGGGCATCCGCTCTTCAAAATAACAACAATCCCTGTGATGTGGTTGCTCACATCTCCCCCCTGCTAACCGCTAACCTCATGGCACCTGCTCATTATTGATGGCTTCGTTTGTGTTTGAAATTACATTGATTTTTTAAATGCCAGAGAGAGAGAGAGAGAGCTGAAAGCCACACGAACTCTGAGATGATCTGAGATTATGAAATTGCTGTGAGTTATGCAGAACAGAGGAGTGCATGACCATATAACTACATCCAAAGTTTATTGATCCATCGAGATACATAAATGTGCCGGTCTTGGGCATATTATTTGTATATATGCATATGTATCTTTTTCTTAAAGGGCTGAAACAGTTTGATGCAACAGAGTATTCTGATGTTTAGGGCTCTTGCCGGGCTTGAAATCGACCTAGTCTAGATGGCTTTTTCCTTTCTCCCAGGCACAGGGTCATAAAGAAACCCCTGAGCTGGTTTATGCCTTCATTTCCTCCGTAAGTGACAGAAAGCCAATAGCAGGGTTCTACGGGGTCTTGACAGATTCTCTAGTTGCTACCAGTATTCTCAGCAGATTCACAGAACAACCTGGGATCCCCAGGAAGCAGCTTTCTAAACAACTCCCCAGAAGTTCTGGAATTTGAATTACACTGAGTACATCTGATCCATTAGCGCAGCAGTCCCCCCGTAGGGAAAGAGAGGGGAATGTGCTGTGGACAAGTAAGCCTGGACGTTACCGCTCTGAGACCGGCCAGTGGTAGATGATCTTTGGCTGCCAGGATCTCTGGCCAGTGACAACCAAACCTGCTCTGTCCAGCTCCCCTGCACCACCAATCTCTGCAGGCGAGTTGGAGGCTGGCCCCTTGAAGCCATGAGGACTTGGGGAAAGAGTCTCCTCTGCCTAAATATGAAGTCCTTCTGGCATCTCTAGTAGACAGGGGACACTGCAGGGAGTCCTGCTTTGCGGGAGGCAGAACGCATTTTTCGGCAGCTCTGGGTACCTCCCCACAGGAGCGGCAGCGTTGACAACTCTGGAGTCCTCCAGACAGACTTCAGCAGAAACCCAGGTGCCCACAGCGTGCAAAGCCACCCAGAGCCCCTTCTGCCCTCGGACAGAATTGGCATGACCTGGAGCGACACGATACTTGGTTATGTGGGAAAAGAGCGTTTCAGGTGAGCTGGAGGAAGCAGGTGCTCATGCAGCGGGGCACGCTGAACCCTAAGTTTCTTTCTGGAGCAGAGTGTGGTTCTGAGCCTCTTCTTCTGGCTGGAAGAGCAAGGGAGGCCACCTGCAGTGTTGGGATCCATGGTCTCTGGATGTTTCCGATCCAGGCAGGGGCTTCGTAAGAGTCCACCTGGAAGACCTGGTATCAGGTGTGAGGCAATCACAGGGTCTGTCCAAGCCTGAAGAAACCCTTTCAAGCCCAGATCCCCAGAGGTAGCTTTGGATCCCCTCCTCTAAACTGTCACACATGCACAGCCTGTGTTTCCTGACACTCAGGGTGTGGCATGCGGCCAGTGGCTCCAGACGGTCATGCCAGCACCATCCGTCCCATCTCCTCCCCTCCATCTCTTCTCCCTTCCCCAGGCATGGTAGCCCCAGTAGTGAGGGCAGCAAATTGACTCTGCTTTCCCTACGATGGCCAAGTATATTCCAGCTTCCACAACCCCTTATCTCCAGCCCTGATCCCCGTTGTACACAGTTTTCATTATCTTTTTCCTTACATGGACTCATTTGTGACAAGACATGTTTTTAAGAAAAATTTTTGTCTTGTTTTTCTGGTGTAACAGAAAATTGGCTTTTTGGGGTAGGAAGAAAGAATTAGGAAAAAGACATGGGAAGAGGACAGTGCCATGCTGGAAGGGTTGATGATGCCACCCTGCCTTTGGCGTGGTGGTTTTCTTTTACTTTAAAAAAAAACACACATCTGTTGTAGAAAAAAAGTTGGGGGCTTGGGGAGTAGGGAAAGAAGGCAAGAAGGAAGCGAGGAAAGAGAGAGAGAAGGGGAAGAAAGAAAGGAGCCCCCTTGGGTGTCACTGTCATTTCCTGATGTCTGGGGCTGCCACGGTGGTTTGTTGTTTAAAGGAAATCCATTTTTCTCCCTGCAGCTGGGCTGAGCTTTCCAGCACTTTCCGGCTCTGTGTGTGCCTGAGAACGGGCCATGAGGTCCTGGCTCTGGCCTCACTGACTTCACCCCGCAGGGTCATTTTGGGCTTCTCTTGCGCCTGGTCACGGGCTCTCTCAACCCCTCCACCTGCCGCAGGGAGGCAGTCAGCAGAGGCTGGGAGACTGGAATCCAATCTCTCTTCTCATAACGACGGTGATTTTCATGGGCATTATTTTTGGGATTTGCTTAGCTTTTCTTGGATACTTTTCTCCCGAGAAGCTTTTCCATGTTCACTCCGTAAGGCTGAAGATGCTGCTAACTGATGCTCTCTAAAGCAAAACTAGTTGAACTTCTCAGGTAATTCAAAGCCTTGAGTACATACAATTTGTAATTTTCCCTAAAGGGCTAGCAAAATAGTCTCACTGCTCCTGTCCACCCTGAGCATTGGCTGTCTGACAAACATGTCTGTGTATGTATTTGCGGGTTTTCAGGAAGCAGAGTCATAAACATCATTACTTTTGAGATTCCAAATATTTCCCCCCACCACCATGCCGAAACTGTGCTTGAGCAAGCATCCATCTATACAAGGAAAGGTTGAGAACGTGGCATCTCCAAGCTAATGGCGGGTGCCCCTGTTCCTCTTCCACTTTCACTAGGACAGGAAGTTTGCTCACTGTGTGAAGTTTTAGTCACCATATGAAACTCACCTTTTCCAGCTGGGATTCCTTCCTTCTTACCTTTGCCTCCATGTATCTAATCCTCATGGTTAGTTCTTACATCCTGAGAAGAGCCGAGTGAGTAGAATACAGCTTCCAAAGCTCATACCATGTTTTCCTTTACTCTGGAGTTTGCTGGTGTTAAAAATCATCTGTAGTGAACTATAGGCTAAGGAGAAAGCCTGTGAGCTGGACCTTCCTAGATGCAGGTTCATGACCACCTCCTGTTAACCAAAGTCTCGACCTAAAAGAATAGAAATGACTTGATTTCTAGCCCCCATCTCTCTGGGGAAGATCTCTGTGGAAGTGACTTAGCCAAAGTTTTGGGGGAGGGCTAGAAAGTACCTTGCCCTTGATCACCCTCAAACTACACAGGTATTGCTTATTGACACCCTGTGTGACAGGTCAGGGAGAGCCCTTATGCGTGTGATTGATGACACGCTATGTAATTAATGCACCCTTTGGATGGGGGAAGAAGTCCTTATTCTTAATTAATTGAACTGAGCACCTCATATGTGCAAAACATCGTCTTTGCCCATAGATAAAGCTGAGAGGGGAGGAAAGTACTGAATGAAAATTCCCAAGGTGTAAAGGCTAAGAGCAAAATCTTCACTTCCCACTCCTAGCAGCTCAGAATGCACATTGCCATTTCGACTTCACCTAGTACAGTTGCTGGACTGGTTCTTGGAGCACTAAGAACCTTAGATCAATGGAAAGGCAGAGGCATGGAAGCCAGCAAAATGGGCAGAGACCACTGTCCTAGAACCACAGGAAAAGACTCCCAGACACTCCCGTCTGTTATTGTAGGTGTGTGGTGGAAAATAGTCTAAGAGGAGATCCAGGGAAAGGGAGATGGTGGTGAGGTGGCTTTTCTGTTCCCATGAAGGGGCTAGGGAAGCCTCCTTGCAAATGGAGAACTCTTCTGGCAGAAGTCTTTTGTTTGGCCCTGTTTTCCACACAGCAAAAGTAGACTTGGGTAAATAATTCAGATTGTTGGAAGGTGATAGGAATCATTTATTTTCCTTATACTGAACTTGGGAGCATCACTTTTGGTATAGACAAGCATCAGAATTTGAAAACCTATTTTAGCTAAAACCTCCAGCTCAAGGAAGTAAGTATATCACAGAGGCTATTGGGTGGGACCCCACCCCACCCAATAAGCAGCCTCTTGTCATTGAGAGAAGCATTGGTCCAGGTTTGGGAAGAAAGGTCCCAGCACAGGGAGCCATTTTGATCCTGGCCCCAGGTCTCCCTATCTTGTCACCATCAGCTTGGACAGTGGAAAGTAAGTCTTGGGAGCCTGAAGTTCACACCAGCATGGCCAGTTGACCTCCCTTGTACAGCCCAGACCTAAAGTCAGGAAGGACAATGGCTGGAGAGAACGCTGTGCCCCTGTATCCCCCACACCATGTTCAGATCTTCCTGCCACAGATACAGATTCCCCATTCCCACGTGGGACGTGGCTCCCTGCCTGGAAGGAGAAACCTAGGCAGGAGTATTTCAAGGCCGGCAAGTATGCTAATAAAAATTAAAATGCCATTTAATATCCACTCTGCAGTCCTTCACTGCCTCCTCTCCTTTTCTGGTTCGTCAGTGGCACATTTAACTCTTGGTGCTCCAGATGGCCAATGACTTCCATTTTCTTGGCCAGACTATGAGGATGGAGTAATGTTGACTCAAAGTCAACATCCATGGTTCTCAGCTATGTGGACAGATGTGGACATCTGTCTGTCCTCATTAATCTAGACCTGGTGCTATTTGTGGCAAACTGTGCCTATGGATGTAATTTCCTTCATTTTCTTTCTTTCTTTTTTTTTTTTTTCGTAATGCATTGCAACTGAGTAATTATGCTAGAAAGACAGATTTCCATGTAGGACTTTCCTTAGCACACGACTTTTGTCCTTCTTTTTTTTTTTTTTTTTTTTTTTTTTTTACTGTTTTAGGAGAGCTGGGTTTTCAGTGTCTGAGACCCCTTATTTTTAAAAGAAAAAAAAAAGAAACTGTTTTTTCTTTTCTATTAGCCAAAAAGAAAATCGCATTAAAAAGAACAATGTCATGCTCTTTCTTCCCTCTCTCCCTGCTGAGTTGGAAGGGACAGATGCACATGGGCTGGGAGCTTTTGAATCAATTGCTCAAAAGACTTTTCTGTTCCCCCACCGTGGCGAGGTCAGGGCAGTGACAACAAACAATTTAACTTCTCGAACCTTGTGGTGCCTTTTCTCGTGGTGCTTCTCTGTTGTGTAACTCCACTCAAGGCGACCACTTGCAGCAAACAGCAACGCCAGCAAATGGTATTCTGTGCCAGTGCAGTAACAGACTTTAATGTATAAATATATACTTAGATATAGATATATCACCATAGTTATATAACTATATAATTGAGGTTCTGATGCAGCTTTGGTGGGAGTTGATCATTCCTCTACAAAAATATATACTACTCAACTGGAACTAATGGCTCTCTTGAGGGTACTGACATTTGGGAAAGGCACAACAGATGAGATGGGTTACTCTCCTGTGACAAGTTTTCTTCTTCCTTCTTGTGAAAGTTGCTGTCTCCGTAACACAGAATATTTGATAAGGGAGCAAAGTGCAGCTTCTTTTGAACTTCCTTTGGTGCTGATATATATTTCTTTTAATTCTTTGTTTGTTTTGCTTCCCCATTAGTGGCCAATAAGCTGCTTTCCCCAAAATCTTGACTCACCTATCAAAGGTGGCAGGGGACAGTTTGGGAATAAGAGGCTGGAAGTTGGGCATCCCTCACTTCGTGTCCTGACTCAGTTTCCCCTGTGACCTGCATACGTCCCACACATGGGTTCTCCATCTACAATGAGTATCATAATATTTACCTCATGGGGAAGAGTAACTTAAAAGGATTAACTGATGATACTGAATCACTAGATCATTATTAATTTGGAGACAGCAACTTGACATGTTAAGATTTTGTTTATATGTTGCTAAGACTTAAATCTTGGGGTTTTGTTTTGTTCGCCTCTTGTTTCTCCATCTCTGCTATGTTTTCTGTCCTGCCTTTGGCAATACCTTAAATATTCTGTAACTGATGGAGATTCACCTAGGGCGTTGGGTAGTGCTAATTTCTCCCAAGGGAACAACATCACTAATACTGTATAAGGTGCTAGAATCAAACCTCATTTTATATACTTTGGTTCTTAGAGAAAAACAAAACATGCAGAATTCTTTCTGTGAAGCCTTACTATAGATTGCTATAGCCAATTGTTTATCCAAAAAGTGAGACAGAGAGAATAGAAAATGAAGATAAGATGCAGAGATTCTGTATAAAGTGTAACAAAAAGACCTTTGCTATTTCTTATATTAAGGTAAACTATCATATATATATATTTATATACATATATATATATATGTTTGAGGCAGATAGAATGGAAAAACGTACAGTGTGGTCATCTTTATTTTGTCAGTTAATTCACAACTTTTAGTATGTGTGCAAGAGAGGTTTAGAGTGGGGATGGGATAAGGGATGCCCAGTGTGATATGGGAAATCATTCATCTTTCTGTTCTGTTCCACATGTTAGTAGAAGGAGTAGGCTGAATGAGAGGAAAGGGGAATAAATCAAGACATAGATGTGCTTTTTAAATGTTCTGAGCATTGATGTTATGCTTTTGTGTTGTTTCTTCTTTATTCCAAGGTTTCTCTACAGTGCTGTAAAAATGTCCCCTGCCTAGGGCGCTAACCAATAACGTTTACCTCAAGAAAGCTTAAAAAAAAAAGCGGCAGTTTTTTTCCCATCTCTTAAAAAATAGTGTCCCTCTAACCAAAAGGTGAGGCATTTCCGCAGAAGTTCAGCAAGAGAAGAGAACCATTTCTGAGGCTTTCCTTCATGTCCCCATCCTTTTCTACCGCACCCCACCCCCTTTAGTTACTAATGAAAGAATCCAAGAGATTAGTTTTGACCAGAAGTGGGTTAGGATGTGATTAAAGTGTATTATTGGTGAATATAAACTTTGCCAGAACTAGCGGTGTGGGGTCCTTTCAAAGGATGGCTGTGTACTTCAGATGTTTCATGCTAGCATGTGTGTGTGTGTGTGTGTGTGTGTGTGTGTGTGTGTGTACTGTATATATGTTCCAGTGTGTGAAATGTCTGGTGGACAGAGAACAAAATACCGCAAGCAGACATGAACAGGAAAAGATATATATCAAATGCTATTTTATCAGATGATGCACTTGTTCACCTTGATGAGAAGCCACTGTTTCACAACTATGCAATCTTCCAGTTTTTCTCCCCACCCGTTCACCTTAGATTTCCAAACTGTTTTCCATAATCCTCACAGATTTTTTCCTTTGTACAAGAAACACAATATCCAATCCCTGGTTCAAGGTGAGCATGCTACAGTGATTCTTTTCCTAAATTTAAGAGCTAAAGAAAAAAGAATTTTCCTTTTCTTTAATTGGAAATGATTCAGTGTAACCTCGTTTGGTTCTGTAAGTGAACTGATGTGTATTTTCTGTTTCAGTTACATGTTTACAACTTGTTTTCATCCTCTTCTTGGTTCAAAATATTTATTTTCTTTACAGATTCTACTTTTTATATATGTTTTGGGGATGTGTTAACTTAAGGCAAGAAGAAAAATTTGGCTTAAGTGGAAAAATGAGCATGTGACCTCTGGGGCCGGGGGTGGGGAGATCATGTGTACCTGCAGCTGAATTAGTACTTACATCATGGTCCTGAGTCAAGACCATGGCAGGGAATCTGGTGGACTCTGGGGAGGACCTGACCTGGGTGTTTTTCTTTCCTTATTTGTGGTCATCTCTATGGAGTAACCTATACCCAGAGGATGGACTAGTATTTTCTGCCTTAGCTTTAGGCCAACTGTGCCCTTCCTAGCTACTCCACCCAGTGCCAAATCCCATGTCCCTTCTGTTGCACCACGGACTCCTAATACCTCTCCTCCCCTGCCAGCCACTGAGGGCAACTTGCCCAAGTGGGGTTAATGCATCTGCTTTCATTTCGAAAGTTAGATATAAAGGGAATCTTTGAGAGCCCAGTGT
Source organism: Homo sapiens (assembly GCF_000001405.40). Taxonomy (NCBI): domain Eukaryota; kingdom Metazoa; phylum Chordata; class Mammalia; order Primates; family Hominidae; genus Homo; species Homo sapiens. The sequence goes on from NW_018654717.1 coordinate 2,467,685, forward strand.
CAAAAGTGCTCAGGAAATTGGCCCTAGACTGTGTGCCATTTGGAAACATTTTGAAACATACTCATAGCTGCAGTGAGGGCAGCGGGTTCTAGCACATTTACAAACTACCATCAAGCCAGTTCGGCTGAGCAAGACTTTGAGAGGTTTTTAAAAAATAGTTGAGAGAAAGATGATAGGTCACATGGTTACACAAAGCACAAACTTGGCAGGGGAAGCCCTGTACGCAGAAGGCAGCTTTGCAACTTCTCTGGTTGTCTGCACAAGTCTGAGTTTTGCACATGGTTTACAAGTCTTGCACAAGGTGGCCGAGCCATCCAAGACAATTTTTAAAAGAGAAATCCAGACACTGCCTAACTGCTCCAGCACAACATGCTTCCACTCGGCGGCAGGTGGGAGCTTAGATGAAATTCCTTTGGAGTGAAGAAGGAAGTCGGTCCTTTGATGAAGTGCATTGTCTCTAGTGGCCTCATTCCTTGCCTTCCCCAATCCTGCACATTCTCTTAGCTACTCAGGGGATCTGAACAAAGAGCTATTCATTTACTTTTGTCTTGTTCCATAGATCACATCTGCTGAGAACCATCCTGGGAATTTCTCACCCATTCTTTGGTCTTCTTTCTTATATATAATAGGAATAAAGGGTTCCTCTTCTCCTTGAAGTGAGTAGTTTGGAGACTTTCAGAGCTGTCCTGGGACCTGGCCCTGCATAACCAGACCCCAAGAAGCTTCCCCAAAGCTGACTTGTCTTTAAGGCTCAGAAAGTCTACAGGGGATCTGTTCCAGGACACCATGAAATTTCCCAACTCCTGGCCCTCTCTAAAAATCAGCTGTACATTTGGAGGAGTCTCTTGGAGGTTGCCAAGGTCTGGACCTGTGACCCCAGTCCCCTCTAGCCTGCCCCATTGGCACTCAGGCCTCTGGGTCTTCACTCACCTTGGGCAGAATGAAGAGTGGCCAAAGGTTGAAAGTGGTGGAGATCCCTCACTCCTTGCTTTCCCAGGGCCAAATCAGAGTGTCCAATACCCATTTGGGGGCTGTGACAACCTGCCGTTCTGGGAAGGGTCATGCCCACCTCTGCAGTCTGTGGCATTGTTGAGTTTCTGCCCAAATCTAGACCCAGGAAACCTGCCTGTTCGGAAGCCTGACAATTCATTCCCAGTGTAAACAGAGCCTTTGCTGGAAAAATCTTCCCTATCAGAGTGGATGAGTCCGACCCTGTGCTATGTGGGCTCTTGCCATCCACTGGACCCTGAGATCCTGAGTGGCCCATGGATGTACAGTCCTGAATGCCAGGCCAGAGAGGTCAGGGGCGGCCAAGAGCCCTGCAGGGCTGGCTGCTTCTGAAGAAGGAATCTGGTCAGAGATGTTGTGCTTCCCCTGATGGGAGTAGGAGACAGTTCCTTAGAGGAAAGAAGCATTTAGAATTACTGGGGTCTCAGGAATGTCACGTGTCAGAACCAGTCCAGTGTGGTCTGAGCGGGTGACATCAGTGATGCAGAGCAGAGCCCTTCTGGGGAGGATGAGAGGACCCAGATACTGCTCACAGTAACCAAGGGCCACAGATGTGTCAGGCTCTGTGCCCAATGCCTCCATACAAATCATCTCCTCTAAATCCTGAGGATCACCTGGTGAGGTGAGAAATCCCCCCTTTTACAAATGGGGAAACTGAGGCTCAGGGAGTCCTCACATTTGCACAGGGTCCCATGGTCAGTCAGGGGTTCAGCTGGGGGCAGACCTCAGTATCTCGGTTCGGCTTCATCCCTAGTGATCCTGCTCCTCTTCCAGGTGGACTCCACCTCATCCCCCTCCTCATGGCTCACAAACACCAGGGAGCTCACAGTGCCTGGTGTGGAATGTTTGGGACTAAATCCAGGAAGCCTGAGCATTGTTGTTTGCATTCAGTTGGCCCAAGAAACTAGGATAAGAGTGGGGAAAATTCAGGGACGATTAATGAAATACAGCGTCACATGGAAAATGATGCCTGCTTTCCAGAGGTCACCCTGAGCCCTACCCCTTCAGTTATGTTCTGGAGGAGATCCGTGGAACTGGAGCCCTCCCAGGTGCACTATGAGTTGTCTGTTTGGGTTGTCCTGAGAACTTTAGTGTCTCCTATCTGTCTTGTTTTGTTTTTGTTCTCCATGACCTTGAGAGATGACTTTCAGATAAATGGATTATTTTCCTAAGGATATAGGGGGGATGAGAAGTCGGAGTTAGAACAAATTAAGAAATTTAAGCTTCACGGGGTCAGTTCTGAGGCAGTTTTTGCAGACAGTGACTGTGACTCAGCAGCGAGAAGGAGCAGTCCCGGAAGGACCCTGTGCTGGGCTAGGGAGAAGGCAGGCTGAGGTTGGGGGTGACCATGCCAGGGCCTGGGAACTGGCATCTGCTCCTGTCCTCACTGCTCTTGGGCTGGCCGTCGCCTCCCATGAGCCCCAATGTCCCAATCTCTAAAATGCAGGCATAAACTTGGTAACCTCTGTGATTGATCCAAGCCAGAAAGGTATGAAAAAAGTGAGCCAGGCAAATACATTTGATAAAGTGTCTTGAATGATGAATAGATACCTTCAGATTTGGGAACAGAAACCACTCTAGGACCCTAAGTCAACAAATGCAAATACCAACATCAAACTAGCAGGCTGAAGACGGTGATTTTCACTTCCATGTGAACCGGTTAAAAACAATAGAAATGAGAGAAGAGGCCGGGTGCAGTGGCTCACGCCTGTAATCCCAGCACTTTGGGATGCCAAGGCGGGAGGATCACCTGAGGTCAGAAGTTTGAGACCAGCCTGGTCAACATGGTGAAACCCTGTCTCTACTAAAAATACAAAAATTATCCAGGTGTGGTTACACCCACCTGTAATCCCAGCTACTCGGGAAGCTGAGGCAGGAGAATCGCTTGAACCTGGGAGGTGGAGGTTGCAGTGAGCAGAGATCGCACCACTGCACTCCAGCCTGGGTGACAGAGCAAGACTCCATCTCAAAAACAAAAACAAAAGAGAGAAATGAGAGAAGAGCATAAGGGAGAGGGTGATGGGGAGAAGAGCAGAAATGGACAGGAAGAAAGAGATTAGAGAGATTGGTGCGAGGGGAATGATAAGACTGCCATGTTCTTCCTCCACCAGCAGTCTCGTGTTTTATGTTTGTTTACAACAATTACATCAGCTTAATGGCTACCGAGCACCCTCTGAGTGAGGACATGCACACACACACACACACACACACACACACACACACACACACAAGTTATTCTAATCCTGCCAATGTCCAGTGGTTACCCATGGGGAAAATCCCTCAGTCCTTGAGCATAGCTGGGGCTTCTTCAGAGCACAAGGAACAGTGGAATCTCAGAGTTTGAAGGAGACTCAGACACCACCTAATTTTTGCTCATCCACGCAGTCACTGACAAAAGGCTATCATACTTATTGTCACAGGCCTCCAAGGACAGAAGCTCCTTGCCTCCATTCATGATTGAGTACCACGTAATTGGATAGTCTTCCCTTAGAAGTGGCCTACTGCTCCCTGTTGTGATCCAGACTGGTTTCTTTTGCTTTGGGCTTCCAAGGGGACAAAGCCCCTGCCTCTGGATGAATGATCTCTGGGACACTTGGAAGTGCCCTTGGCCTTGTCTTGCCCAGAAACTTCCGAAGGCAAGAGTAGAAATTGTACCTCACCTTGTCTTTGCATCCTGAAGTTCAATGCTTAAGACAGACAGCAATCCTCCCACCAACCTCACAGCCCATCCACGCTGGAAGCAGCTGCTCATCTTTATTGTGTCCTGTTATTATACAGACTCAGATGGACTGTTTCTCATTCCTTTCCATTCATCAGGTCCAATGTTTTATGTTCAAAATTCAAATGTAAGTCTTCACTTGAAATGGATCGAGGAAGGCAGGAGGAGGCCCCTGGGTATTGCCTCCAAGGGGAATATGTATTTATAGGGTCTTCAAAGCCCTCAGAGCACTGCTGATACCATCCCCTCTTCCCCAAACCAATCCTCTTTTTGCATTTCCCAAAAACCCAATTCAACCTGGATCATGGCCTCCATGCAGCAGGAGCTCTGCTCGACATTGGGAAGACAAAGAGGAAAGACCGTCTCTTAAGGCACTCACAGTCCAGCAGGGAGACAAAGCACAAACCTATGGGCACTACAGTCCGGCTTCTGGGAGGACAGGGTGGTCCTGCCCGGCAGAGCTGACTTAATGCCTCCCAAAGTTCACACGGCTTCTCATCAAGGGCCTCTCTCATCAGTTCCCTCTCCCAACCTACCATCATCCCCAAATGAACCAGGCATTACACTAGGACCCCCTCAGTCTTCCCCCTAACCTGGGCTGCAACTGTTCCCAGCTATTTCTCAACAGAGCAAATCCTGCCAAAAGTAGGATCATGTCCAGAGTAAAAATAACCACTAAACAATCCAATGAGCTTGATTCAGTTCAGCATTTAGCCCAACAGATGCCTCTGAGCCCTGTATCTTCCACATTTTCTCTAGAGTCTCTAGAGCCTTCTAGCCACGTCCAACAAACCCAAAAGTTACTCCTTGGTTTTCTTGCCCAAGTCCCTTAGGTCTCTTTTGGCCGCCTGTACTGATCTGAGCTGACCCTTCTTTGGTTGGTGGTTTCATGGCTCTGTTCTCCAAGTCACTGCCTCAGCAAACCAATGTCCATGTCTGCTTTCTTCTTACCCCATCTTCCTTCCATCCAGGACAGAAATATGAGGACAAAGAGGTCTCTGCAGTAGCTATCACTGCCTGACAGAGCATTTTATAGTAAAATTGCATTCACAGTTAAGATCAAGGCTGATGGAAGCCTTCTTGGTGGCCTGTTGAGCTCTCCATTGGAAGAGTTGTTCTTGGAAATGAGAAGGAGAAAGGGACCATCTCAATGTCCCCATCTGGTAGATCTTGCTTCAACCACTATGAGTGCAGATGACCCAAGAGAGGAAAAGCTGGGCCAGATCCATTACAGCTAAATTGATTTCCAGCCAGCAGGTGCCAAGGGCGCTCAAAGTGGTCCCTGACACAGTGGCTGTAGAAGTGAGTTCTAACTCTAGGGAAGATGAAGAAACCCTGACTCCCTTACTATCGATGTTGGGCTGCTGAGCTCACAAGGTGCTCCAACCCCACCTGGCAAGAATACATAGAACAACCCTATGGGATGGGTTACTCCTATTTAGATAAATTAAAATTACTTCTTTTTTTCCTGGGCACAAAAAGCAAAAACAAAGACTTTCTTAATTTCACCAGGGTTTGCAATTGAACACATCTGATTCCCTGACTTAAAGAAATATATATGTATATTTTTCATTTTTGAGCAGGTATTTTTTTAATGGGGCTTATTTTTGGATTTGAGATCACTGGGCTTCTTGCCTTGTGAATCAATGCTTGCTGCTGTATTGCAAATGCATACATTGGTGACCGCAGTATTAAGCCAAATTTAAAATCTTAGTCTCCTCCATCTGTAAGTGTTATGTATCTACCTCATTATGATTTTTTTGGTTTCCTGTGCTTTCGTGTTGTGTACAATGTCAGAGGTGAAATGTAGATAAAAATATATATATATATAAATATATATTTTTTGCTTTGCAATAAAGTTCAAAGCTATAACACAGACTATTCCTGAAATATCATAGCCTTTTATTGTGCTCTATCTCCTTAGTTGTGAATTGTCTCGGGAAACTTTTTGCCTATTCACGAGAGTCAATATTGTTGTGTTTGTCATTTGATGAATTATTCTAATTATTTTAACTGTACTTTTTTGACACATTGAATAAGACACTAGGATTCTTGAACAACTCTTGGTTTCAAAGGTGCTTTATTTCTGTGGACTCAAGTGATCAAATGGAAGGGAAGTATCTCTGCAGACTTGAATCTTTCAGAAAAAATTATGGATCTCAATGCCATTGGGCTTTGGGTTTAGAACAAAAGGTTCGTGCGTAGGGGGAAAAAGGAAACATTGGTTTGGCTTTGACTTCTTGACGCTTTTGGTATTTATTGATGTCCAACCTTATTTCTTTTTAATATTTCAATTTCTTGGCATGAAATTCGGTATTCATTGACTCCCTGGCATTCTTGTGTGATGTGGCTGCTTTTGACTTTTTGACTCCGCCATTTTCCCTAGGTTGATTTTATGTGTTGTGCTATTTGGTGGTGAACTATCCTGTGCCCAGCCCCCACCTCTTCTCTAAACGTTCTGGAACTCTGTTTCATACCACATGTTAAGAGGAACGGTGATTTGGAAACTTTTGTAGTCTACAAGCCAGCGATGCCATAAAGACTCAAGGTTTCCACAAGAATCTTGACCAGTTACAGTACAGATTCAAGGGATTGTGAATAGAAGGTGGATTGTTTGCAATGGATTCCCTTTATTTATGTGCTTGAACAGAATTGCTATCCTTTAGCTAAGCACATGTAGGTTGCGAACCCTAAATAATTTGTATGGTCCAACCACCCTTGTTTTTCTGTGTCTTTGGCCAAAATCTAAGGCTTTTCTTAAATTCCTTCAATATATTTTAAATGGTATAAAGAAAAGTCTATAAGTTAGAATAAAAGATCCTTAAAAATGATACTTCAACAAAACCCTTTAAGTATTTTATTATTCCCCAGTTCTAGGGCGCTACGGAAAAGTGATCATTGAAAGGGGGAATTATTTCCACAAATGGTGACATTGCCCATAAAATACATGCAATGCTATAGAAAAATGAATATTTCATAATATGTTTGTTTTTCTTTTTTGATTATCATAAATAATTGCTGGTATGTATTAGTAATGGACATTTTAACTTGTATTTGGGGAGGTTTGCTTTCTTTTTTAATGATGCTGAGTAAGCATTTAAAACAACCTGGCTAGGTTAGACTTTGCCTGTTCTTGACTATTTCTCTCTTTTTATGATATAAAGGTCTGTCTACGAATTGAAATGCAGATAAAACATGTACTGAAGGTAGAACACACTGATGTTGATTTGAAGGGAAAAATATAATGATAAATATATATATATTTATATATATACACACACATAAGTAGGTGAGTGGGAATATATGATATATTCACACACAGGCAAACACACACGTGGGCACAATGACAGTATGCTTCCAAAGTTGGTTTTCTGATTCTGAGGAATTTGCCACCTCACTGAGCTTCCCAAGATTCCAAAATTTCCTTTGAAATAATTACATGTTTAAGAAAGAAATGTTTTGCTTGTTTTCTGTAGGTACTAGAAAACACAATTCTTATGATTCCCTATTCTTTCATATCCATTGTGACATATCCATTGTGCACTCAGAGGAGCCTGTTTTTAGGGAGACTTTGGGAGGATCCTTTCTTGTATTACCACCTTTCACCCCACCCAATGCCTTGAGAAAATTAGCTGCAGAGCCACCTACACCTGCTCATCTTGACTCTTGTCTTTCTGTTCATCTCAGTTCCCCAGTTTTTCCACAGGGGAGGCCTTGTTTCCTGGAGACCCTTCTGAAGTTTGAATACTGGAGTGAACTCTCTTTCCATGCTGGTTCTGGGCCCTCTCCACACCTGGTGCCGCCCTCCCTGGAATCCCAGCCCCATTGCTCCCCAGGGCACAGATAACGGGAATTTCAGAGTTAGTAGAAGGAATTTTTTGCTGCATCTGTGATCGAGGCATTTTAGATATACATGTTGGTAGCCCTAAGCATGAGGTTTAATCTATTTCTTATAGAGGAAGGGTTCACAATGGACCAAACTCTAAGGGTAACCCAAGGAGATGGCATAACAGGACTTCTGACCCAGACCAGCCAGTTTTGTTCTCATAGTGACCTTCTGCTCACTCATGAGCAAAACTCCCTTAGTTGATAGGGAATCCCTGATATGTCAGAGCCAGTATGGGAATAGGGAAAAAGAATTGAACTTCAATTCACTGTAAAAAGCATTTTCTTCTTTACCTTTCCTTTTCTGTTTGTAGACCATATTTCTGCAGAGTGGGCTGGTCCTTGGGGCATGACCATTGTTGGGTTATTGTGGGGAGCTTTCTGCACTGCTGGGAGGAAGCTGTAGTTTTGTTTGCTTATTTTAAATCTCATCATTACACCTCTTTGTTGCCTGGAAAGGGAGAAGATGCTGTCCCCAGGATGTAATCATTCTAGATAGAGATGCTTTCAGTTCTGTTTATGGTTGCCAGTTGCTATTGAACTCCCAAGGAAATCTCCAGTTTGGAAACCATTTCTGACTGCCTATTTGGGTTCTTGGTTTTCTGCTTCTGGGCAAGAACAGCTTCTATGCTTTAGGAGCTTTGAAATCACTGGACCAGAGGAAGCAGATGTATTACAATGGGATGTGGCAGATTATGCAAGAATTTCTTTTACCCTAAACTCAAGGTGTCGTACAGCTCTGGTAGAGGATTTTTGACATTTCGTATGTTCTCAGGCCACTGGGTCTTCCCAGTGACCTTCCCTGCAAGGACAATGTGACAGATAATGAATCTATTTTACCCCAGTCGAGTTTCCTTGCCAGAACAGTATTCTCACTTCAAATTCAATTAATCATTTGATTATCAAATATTTATTGAACACTTACTCTACCAAGCAAAGGGCTAGTAACTTAGGGATATAAAGATGAAATAAACCTCAAGGCATGTAATACAAGATATGAGAAATGTACATTAAAAACCATACTGCAATGGAAAATGGAACCTAAGGAGAAGTGCAAGATGCTTTGGACATCCAGAACAGGAAGAGATACTTCCAAGTGAAGGTAGAAGGGAAGGCTTTGAAACGATGGCATTTGAGTTGAATTTTGAGGGATTCATAGCCTGCATGCAAATGAGTGAATCTGGCTGGCCATGCCCATAGTCATGATGAATCCTTCATTCGCTTACCATATTGATTTCTTTCTGATGAGAAAGCAACAGAATTTTCAGCAGCACATATTCAAGCCATGTGATGTCTTCCACTGTCTGTTAACATTCACCCAACCTTATTGAAAGAATAGCCCTTCAGCTGAAGCTAGGTTAAACCTTGGTTTCGAAATGTGATTCGGGGAATGGCTCTTCCTTGTGGATAACCACACTCCTTCTTCAAAGACTTCATGGACACCCCAAGAGTTGGACTTGCAGTTGCTCAGATGTACCCATGTGCATGCCTTGGCTCAAAGCTAAGCCCCTACAGCTTTGGTGTATCTAAAAACCACTCCTCTAGTCCTCCACATGTGGTGGAAGACAGGAGGAATGAGGCTTCAAGTGGTGATTTGCATGTCTCCATCTGCAAGGCACATCAGAAGAGTGGAAGCTGTCAGTGGACCACTTTACATGTGATTTCTGGAACCACTGAGTTTTTGAGGCCAAAGGGAAGGAACTTGAATGAAAAATGGAATTTCTTAAAGCCCAAAGCTGCCCAAGACACAGAAGATTCCAGTCTCTGATTCTTAATAGGGTTTTAGTTCAACCCTGGTCAGGCAAGCTTCTGGATATTTGAGGCCAGTGCAATCTCCTAGAATTGGTTGAGCCATGCAGAACTTGGCTGGCCCCAGGCCCTCACTGTAGCAGCCAAGGAGCTGGTTACTGTGGTCACAGCATTTCCTAATGAAGAATTGAGTCTTCAGGATGTGGGGTAAGTCCCAGTTTCTCCTATAGTTTGTGTAGTGGGTCCAGGTGTTTCCAGATACCATGAGAAAAGGAAGCCAAGACAGTTTTTTTTTTCCTGATCCTTTCCTCAATGGTCCCCAGTTCTCTCAGCACTACACACAGATTCTTCAACAGTTTGTGCACCTTGTTTCATCTTCTGAGACTTTAAGAACCACAGAAGCAAAACCATACAGACATTGAGACGAGAGATGCAAAGGCACAGAGAATTGAGACAAGCGGGAGGGCCTCCCCACAGACAGATCTGCTCCTGAAGCATTTAAAGTGTGGCCTGGCCTTTGACCTCAGATTTTCAGCATGTCTAAGTGGAAATGCAGGGGATGGCAGTTCTGAACCTTAGAACTTATTAATAGGACAAGCAGGCTTGGGATCCCAACTGGAACTCCCCAACTTCCTTCAGTCTTGTTCCTTATAATTATTCTCTCTTTAACTTCCATAAAATAACTCTACTGTTGCTGATCCATGGCCTGGAATCTTTTCATAATGGGTGGGATGGTGACCACCTGCATCCCTGGAGCTGATAGACAAACCATGTCAGCCAAGCATACATTCAGAAAAGTTGGACTTCTATTTTACACAAATCATTTTTAACTCCCAGCTTCAAGATATTAAATTTTAATCATTCCCTTTACCACCCACCATCTGGGGCTCTACCAAGCCTGACCACCATGCACCACAGGCTGACGGTGACCCCAGACTCTCACTGGACCCCATATTCCCCACACCCATGATGTCTGCTCAAGGGTGTGTTGCCCAAACCATCATTCATCTCAGATTTAACTCATATTTACTGAGCACTTGCTTCATGCCAATTTGCTAAGTGCTTTTCTATATATTTTCTTAGTTTATTTTACTTATTCCTTGTAATGACCTTTTTCAACTAGAGAAATATAACACATTAGTTTAATTTCCATGTGAGAAAAATGTGACCTAGGCACTTGAATGATTTGCTCAACTTGATTCAAAAGAAATAAAACCACGATGTGGGATCAAGTGTCTTGGCTGAAAGTCTTCTGGCTTTTCCACCACACCTCTGCCTACACACTCCCTTGCTTGACTGATGGGACATTCTACCTTTCTTTTCTTCCTGCTGCCTCACTGAACTTTGAGAGGCCACCTCCCTGTGTGGTACATTTTATCTCAGCCTGCAGGAGCCAAGGCCGGTTTGACCTGTGTCTAAACAACCCATCTTGAGATGGCCCAAGAGCAGGGGCCCTTGAGGCATCAGCCTGAGACTGACATATGGAAAAGACATCTTTTTTTCCTCTGTTTCCAAAGATTTTTGCTGAAAATAATACATAAAATAGATCCTGTGAGAACCACTTTTAAAGCCAATTGGTGTTCTTCTGATCTTTCCCAGGAAGATCTTTTGGCAGAATCTCTCTATGTTGTAGAGAAGAAATCAGGGCATTGGGTGGCATCATTATATTTTGAAGCCCAAACTGCTCAAAAGGAACTGAACAGCAAATCTCTGCCTCTAGCTAAAATTGCTGCCTCCAACACCACTGACCTGAAGTACTGGGCTCTAGCTTGGCTTCAGGAAGCTTGCAAAGACCTCGGTGTTGCCCCATGTCAGCTGTCAAAACTGGCAGCCACCTCCCTGAGGTTAACGGAAGAGATTTCTTCCCTTGAGAACTAAGGTCTCAGTGAGATTCCTGGACTCACGCGCAGTCAATTCATTCTGTCCATTAGTCTTCTAACTTACGCACTCATTATTCATCTAGCAAAGATCCCAGACGTGTGACTAGACCCTGTCCATAAGTGATTCACAGTCTGGTAGGGAGCTAACCTCTGTACATCCAGGGCTGAAAAGTAAGATGAAATTAATGAATGCAGATAAAGCTCTCTCAAGTTCAAAGGAAAGGAAGGCATCTTAGCACCACCAAGCTCAAAGAAAGAGGAGATGACATGGGCATTAAGGACTGTTGAGCCTTCCTCATGAATGGCACATCCTGCGTTAAGGACATTAGGGAAGGTTATAAGGAAACAATTAAGATATATGCCCCCTTCTTTGCCTAAAAGTAACTCCCAGTGTGCACCAATATATTGGCTCCTTTGATAGCCATCATTAGAGGATGCTTCCTGCAATCATCTTCCTTCTTAATCAGTCACCAGGCGTACTTCTCAAACAGGAAAAAATGGCTTAACCACAGCAAGAAGAGACAAGGGGAGGGGAGAGTAAGGAAAAGATTCCTCTACTTTTGAGACGGATTGCTTTAGAAAGAAAGCAAAACGTAATCATGTTATCCTTGGTCTGGAAACTGAAGAAAGGGCCCCCTTACTGCGTCACCCCAAGGAAAGAAGAAGGACCTGAAACTCAACATCCCTATGCCTTTCTAGCTGTCATTCCTAGCCATTGTTTCTACATGTCCACAGACCCCATGCCTCCATCCTGAGCCTTTTGGACTTATAGAGTTTAGGTTAAGCAATATACTATGAATAGGCACATGGGTTACAGAGAACAAGAGAAAAGGATATTCTCTTAGGAAGAGCCAAGAGAGAAATGGGACACAACAGCATGACACAGCGGTCAACACAGGCCTTGGATCAGTTGACTAACCTTGAAAGGTTCCCTGTGAAATAAGAAGCTCCAGGTTAATACCACATTGCCCCTTTAGGCCAATAATGAATTCTGATCAATTCCACTTAAGAATCGTTCATTGTTTCTTTGTCACTGCTCTAACCTCATGGCAAATGCTGAGATATGTCTTGAGGTGATTTATCACAAGGGTTTCTGAATCATGATATATCACATTCATTGCATCCTTCACTTACCAGGCACCCATTTCCAAAATATTACATATTTATCTCCATTTTTAACACTACAGATTAGGTCAATGGTGAGTGCCTTTTTTTAAAAGTCCCTACTAATTAGCGGTGATGAGAAATAGTGTTGTTTATTTTTTAACCTTCAAGACGTAGCTATTGTTTCTTCCTCAATTTCCTAGTTCAGTTTGGCAAACTGGACCACTGAAAGTCCACTAGGCGTTTATCTAGTGATTTCTCTAAGCATGGCTGGGTGAGAGCAAGTTGAAAATGACGTCTGTCAGCAGAAATTCGAGAGTTAGGAAGCTATGCTGTTGCATCCCAGGACCACAGAGAACTGTCATCCAGCCCTACCTCCCCTCCAAGCAGGGTCACCCGTTTCTACATTCCATTGCAGCAGCTGGAGTCCTGGATTTGCCACTAACACACCCCACGTGCCCAAGCACAGTTTCATCTTCTGCAAAATGGTGACACTCCTTAAAGTTTCTTCCCATCCGAAAGTTCTGTTATCAATACCCACTCATCCAACAAATGGCAAGAAAATTTAGCTTCTCCTTAAATCCATGCTAATGTTTATGAGCATAAGAACCCAAGGAGATCCTCCTTACATAGAAGGCAAGCATCTAAATCAATTCAACTCTACTTTTATCTTGCATTAAAAGATGAAGCCAATACAAAAATTAGCTGGGTGTGGTGGTGCACGCCTGTAATCCCGGCTACTCAGGGGGCTGAGGCAGGAGAATCACTTGAACCCAGGAGGCAGAGGTTGGAGTGAGCTGAGATTGTGCCACTGCACTCCAGCCTGGGTGATAGAGCGAGACTCCATTTCAAAAAAAAAAAAATAAATAAAAAGATGAAGCCAACTGCTCACCCTAATAAATATACTCACAATATATATCTTGAAGGTTAAAAACAAAAACAAAAACCACATTGCTTCCTCTAATCCCCTTTTTGTTATTGATGTCAAGGAGTTGAAATGTACTGGGGTGCAGACCGGAGCATTAGCTTGTCAGGAGATGAGAATCAGCCATATGGGATATACAGAGATTATTGACCAAACAAAATAAAGCCAAGCAAAACACTGCAAATTCTCCTGTCCTTAGAACGCCACTTAGCAAACGACCGCCGCTCTAAGAAAATGCTTTGGGTATGGAAAAGTATCGAACTTTGAGGTTGTCCGGGGAAGGCTGTGATGCTTTTATCAGAGGTGAATAAGGTTTTCCAGCACAGTTCCTAAACGCCTGTGGGGCGCTTTCACATGCAGTATCTCATTTGATCTTCTCAACAACGCTGTGAGTAATAAAGTCACACCCAACATGCAAAAGAGAACACTAAAGTTCAGAGAGGTTAGCCCACCTGAGGTCACACTACTATAAAGGGGTTAGGGTCCAATTTCGAATCCCATGCTGCTGTCTGTGATGTCCAAAGCCCCTTCTTTTGAGAGTTGGAGGAGCAGCAGACCACCTACCTCCCCACCAAGGCCCTGGACTGACAATGCCTGTTCTCCACCATGCCTAGGAATCTCTTTCAGCCAGGGTGGCTCCCAACAAATGGTAAATAGAACCAGATGGTCCTAGGTACCAAGAGTAGGACATCATAGCCTTGTCCTGGGGCATTTTCGGGATTCTTTAAGCATATCTTTACCCTTAAAGCCACACTACACATCATCTCATTTCCTAATTTTATTCTGTCCACTTCCTTATGTAAATACATCTATGATCACAAATCCTCAAACATGGTTTCATCTACAAACTGCCAGGCCAGAGAAACACCATTTGGAAAGAGCTGATCTAGTAAAGCAGAGTTCTGGGGATTGATGTCAGAAGAACATCATGGTGTTTGCTAAGGCCATTCAGCCAAAGCAGCCTGCACCTCTTAAAAATCCTCCCTTTGAGGGAAGACCCATGGTCAGCGGCTCCTTAGTTGGCTTTGCAGAACCACTCCCTTAGGGGGGCTCAGAGCAATGAGCAGAGGGTACCACCTCTGAATCGCAGAGGACCAAGTGGTGGCTGTGTTTTGAGTCAGGGCTGGGTGAGGAGTACAGAGAAGGTTTCCAGGACAATTGCTTTACTATGATAGGTCATGGGTGGAAACTGAAGTCTGGGAAAGCTTAGTAAGAGATGGGATTCAGAAGGCAAGTAAGGTGGGATCTCCTCTGGCCCAAGAAATGAATAAGTGTGAGCACCTTACGCAAAAAGCAAAGGACAGGGGCACTGGTTCTGCCTGATTCTGTCACTCCTAAAACAAACCCCAATGTGCGTGCTGGAGGAGGCCATGTGCTGGACTGATCACAGCTGTCCACTTCTACCCATGAGAGTAGGAACCAGACTGGTGTGGACGCTGGTGGACACTGAGCCTGTAGGGTCAGGGGGATCATTTTTTCCTTATTGAGGAGTGTGGCAAAATGTTTAGAGGAAGTCCAAATTTCCTGCTATGGCCAGATTTTAACCAAATGATCGAGTGCTTCCTGAGCTCACACTAACATCTCACACTCTATTTCAAAGTAAGAAAAACTTCCTAATGTGGCAGAGGAATTTGCATTTCTTCCCTTTCTTGGGCCACGGGTGTGAGTAAAGGGTTCTCTTACCTGAATGCAGGTCACTAGTAGGAGGTAGGTGGATCAAACCACAGGCTACATCCCAGGGGAGACAAGAGAGGGTGCTGCCCACACCCTACACAGGGCTGGCCAGTCCCACTCCCCTACTGCCTCAACAGCAGCCTCTTTCTGTCTAAAACTGCCTCTCCAACTCACTTAACCTAGGAAGAGTTGCCCTGTGCAATTAGGAGGGACTTAGACTGGGGTAGAAGGGGCCAATCCAAATGGCTCAAAGAGCTGCTATCTTGGGTTTAGGCCCCAGGATAAGGCTAGAGAGGGGCCACATGAGGAAGGCCAAAGACCAACAGGGATGATGTGTGGCTTCCGTGGGCTTCTAGCTTGCGGTCCGTGCCAAAGGGCCATCATCCACCCTCGTCTTGGGCATGCAGGATTCCTGGAGGCATTCTGATGCATCCTGCCTTTCTCAACCTGTCCCAGACTAGTTCTTGCTACAAATTTCAGAAGAGGATTCTCCCTCAGTCTCCCTTGCCTCTCCTCCTGTCCTTTAGCATGAATGTGAAGACCATTGCCTGATTACTTCCTTTAGCCTCTCGCTGTCTGCCAGACACTTGCCCAAAGGTGAGGCTCTCGGTGAACAGCAACTCTTGTTCCCAGATGGCCTTTTGCGTTCTTGACTTTCCCTTTCTTCCCTTGCTGACCGTGAGACTCTGAGGCACAATGGCCTTGACAAGGGTCCCTCGTTTATCAGCTGAAGGCTCCTCCCCAGCCTGGCCTCCCAGCTCTCATTTTATTCCATTTTTCTTTCCTCGGGGTGACCCCATTATGTTTTCCTTTCATTCCATGGGGTGCTGCCTCTTCCTCTCGCAACAGCCTGGGATGGTGTGGGTGACTGGTGTTGAAGCACAAAGCAACATTGCCAAAGAGGATTATGGTAGGAAAAAATAATAATAATAAGTATAATGGGAAAAGCTCAGTGATGTGGGAAACTCCCTTCAGATCCTCCACTGGTCAGCCCCGGTTTTCCAGTCCTTTTCTTCTGAAATTTTAATACCATCTATTTGCTATGATTGTTTTTAATGGAAGAAGAACATCATGCTAATGAGTTGTGCAAAGGACATCATTCTTTTGTTACTATAATTTAAAGGGGTAAAGACTACAATGAACCGTGTTTATGTTCAGATATCCATTTGTTGTGCTGGGTTGATTTCAGACTGGTGCATTCTCACTTATCAGGGACCTCTGATTCTAGCAGAACAAAATCAGCTATTTACTCTAGTTACTGTAAGCAGACACATAACTTTTACTGTAATTTGAAAAACCTTGCACTGTAATGGTTTAAAAAAAAAAGCAAATCTTATTGAAACTGATTTTGTATTTTTGATTACATCTGAATTTTCACATTTTTGTATCTAACCGTGACCACGGTAGCGCTTCCATAGCTTGTGTTCAAGGTCTCGTTTTCTTTCCAGATTGAATTCCTAAGATTGTGTTGATGCCAGATGTTTAAGGGGCAGGACTGGGGCCTGGCTAGCAGAACCTGTCATGGGGGTTGTGTCTTTGGCCAGATCATGAGCTGGCAACAGGAAATCTTGCCTAGATGGAGCAAGCTGTTGTTGCGTTTCATTGCGTGAATTCCCACAGACAGTTCATATCTCCAACTAATTTAAGGCCAACAGTTTTTGGCCAAACCTTTGCCAAGGACTCTCTCAACTGAGCTGCCCCCCACCCCTGCATTACCCAGCTTCCTGGGTAAGGGAGGACATTTTTGAAAACAAAACTTGTGAAATTAATTTGTGCTTATGATTTTTTTCTTCTTGCTGGAAACATGCTGGGAAGCAGAGAGCATGATGTTATCGCTCTTTCTGCTTTTCCAAACCAATACACCTGTTGTACTCTTTTGTTTCTTAGTGAAGAAAATTCTAGACACAGACCTAAATATGAACTCTTTTCCTCCTGTATTTCAGATTAGCAATTCTCCCTATGTATTCCTAACTTGTTGAAGTGTTTTCCTTCTTAGCATTTCTTCTCACACTTTACTTTATTTTTTTTTACTGAACAACAACAACAAACCCACGAAGGAACAAATAATCTCTTTCTCTTTCTCTCTTTCTCTCTCTGATGTGTAATGTTGTGTTGTCCAGATTCTGTACAAAAATATGTATATGATGTATCTGATATTTGGCAGCCACTGGCTGTTACTTTAACCAATATAATTAACAAAATGCATAATGTTGGTGTTTGATTTTTTTTTTTACAAAACAAAAAAACAACCTAGTTAAGATGTTTGTGTATTTTTGCATGGTTAAAATGTACTTAGTGCATTGAGAAATGTCGTGGAGGCACTCAGTGAAAAGGCCGGTTTACTTTTTGATCTTAATGGTAATTGGTTGTTGACTAGACTAATCCCTATGATGTATGTCTTCTTTAAGTTAGCATATTTCTATTTATAACTTGTTTTAGTACTCAAGATTCAGCATAGCGTATCTATCTATCTCTATTGTATTTACTGTTCCTTAAAACCAGGTTGTGGAAGTTCACTTCGTCTGGCTCAAATGTCTCCATTGCCGATTTCTGTTGAAATGTGTTCCATTTAATTTGCTGTACAGTCCAGATCTGAAGCACCCCCAGGGCCCATGGACAAGGGCTGTCATCTCTCCTTCCGGAGGCCTATTCCTTTGAGCAGTACTGTGGTTTTTCCCTTGTCATGGAACATCTTTTTTTTTTTTTAACCTAGTTATATAAAGGAGGATAAAAGACAGGAAATTAAGCAGAAATATAAGAAGTATTTATATTTTATACAAATAGCGCATATAATATATTATAGAGTGATAGACAGGCCGACTTTAAATGTGAATTAAGCAAAAAGGCAATGAAAGATATTGAAGGACTCAGAGAGATCTTGGGTTTTCCTCCCAGGAGTGGCACCATTTCAATAGGAGAGCTGCAGAAAAATGGGCTGGCCTTCCTTGTGCCTCAGTTTCACTCTAGGTAAGATTAGGAAGGGCAGTGTTAGGTGAGAGAGGCATCTACATTTTCTTGGGCCTTCAGTGCATTTAAAGTAAAAGTGGATCTTCAACTGCTTAAGAGATTGGATCGCTGTATGTTTAGAGACAGTGCTCGCAGCATCCCCTCTCCCCCCTTGGACATCTGGACTTGCTCAGAGGAAATGCATGTCTTAAAAGGCGCAAACTATTCTGGTTCAAGATTACCCTGATTTTCTTCTTGCTGGGATCTCAAGTCATCTCTTCAGCCAGGTACTTCTGCACAGCTTTTGAAAGAAGGCAGATTTGGAAAGCAATATCTCTGGGAAATAGAGGTGAATCTCTGGCACAGGGTTCGTTTGTTCTCCCTAAAGGAGTCAGAATCATGGACTTCTTTTTTTCCCCTGGGCACACAGGACTTTGCCATTCTATATTTTTCCAACCCAGACTCAGAGAGACACATCTCCCCCACTCCCAATGCTAGGAACCAGCATACACAGAAGGTATTAGAAGCACCTAGACAGATTTTTCCAGAGTCTGTGTTTTGGCAGACATTTGCCTTTTGGCAGAATAGTGTACCTATCCACAGTGAGCCATTCCCCCCTCCGCAAATCTGGAGATACAGCCAGTCCTCTGAAGTCTTGGGCTTATTGGCTGTGCAGTGAAACGTTAATCCTGATGGCCAGCCAGGTGGAAACCAGGACTGTGGTGCCTCTGCCTCTCTGACTCTTCACAGTTAAGAGCTCAGAGTGCTTTACAAACATCTTGTTTCTCGTGGCCACTGCACACCTCCGTGATATGCCTGGCCATGGGCACTGATCATGTCACTGTCTGCTGCTGGTGGGCATCTTTCAAGATCTTTTGAAATTTTCATTAGGTTCTAATGCACTTTTTACTTTCCCTGAGTTGAGGTTGACCGCAAAAGGGCAGGATTCCACAAAGATGTGGCAGACACTACTGCTCTCCTGTTTGGCTCTTTCAGGGCAGAATCTAGATGGGGCATTGCGGACATGCTGACATTGGTCAGGAGTCCCAAGGAACTTGCTAGAAAATGTACTCACCATTCCCCAGGAACAAGGTTGGCCCTCTTTGGATGAAAGGCTGGCAGAGCCCTTCGTGATCCTAGAATTCAGCCCCTACCTCATGTCTTTTCCAGACTGATATCAGTTCTCCAGGACCATAGACTACAAATGTCAGGAAGGTCTCAGAGCATGTGGAGTCCCATCTCCTCTCTGTACAGATGAGGAAACTGAAGCCCAGAGAGAGATGAAGTGATTTACCCAAAGAAACCCAGCTCAAAAGGAGCAGAGACCCCCTCAGACCCTGCTTCCTGATGCTCCTTTGTCCCCCTCCTTACTTATAACCAGCAGCTCAGAATCCTTTTAATTTGTGAAATTCAGATATCATTCCCAAACTCTCATGTTTGATAGAAGTCCCTAAGTTTCTTTTCCCAATGATTATGGTCAATGTGAACATCCCAACCCAGCCCCGTGTTAGCCAAGGGAAGAGGGTTTGGATTTAGGATGTGAAATGAGCTAATGTCTCATTAACCTATATTTTTGAGGGGTAAGGAAGAACAATGAAAATAAGGAACAGCAGAATCTAAACCTATAAACTGCCCTTACTAAATCTCCTGTGAGAACAGCTTTTTTCTAAAAAATCTCAGTGGTCCATCCATCCACCCAGTGACCCTACCTGTTGTTCAGCCATCCCAACTTTCCTGGACGTCTTCCATTCCAGAGGCATCTGATTTCTCCAGGAAGTCCCTTTTAGCAGAGCCCGTTTCAGGAAACCGTCAACTTTTTAATCCAAGCAGGTGTTCATAATGTTTGTTATGAATTCCTTTTATTGTACCTCTCTCTGCTTTTATCTCAATTGAGCCACCAGAAGCCAAAGCGTGTTTTCCTCATGCGAAATAGTAGACCAGGAACGTCTTGCGGTGTCATTCTTCTAAAAAATGGCTGTTGGCCTCCTGACCTCACCTTCCCCTTTATACGAGCCTGGAGGCACCTGGCTTAGCTGGTGCGTTTTCCTTTGGGAGGACTCTTTGAGGTTTGTCCCCCAAAGCTTACAAAGATATAGTCTAGAATGTGTTTTTATTTGAATTTTTGTGGTTTTATTTGAATTTTCAAAATAAACTCTGTAATTTGCTACTGAGGCCCTTGATTCTTTGTTATCCCTGAGAAGGGCCCAGTGAGTCCCTACTCCTTTCCCCAGCTTCCAGTTCCTAACAGTCTCTTTCTAATTAAATAGATCCTTTTTTTATTCCAATTAGATTATGGTGCTGTTTCTCAAAGAGACCAAGTCCCTGAGTTGAAGATCTTTAAAGGGCTTTATTCCTTTAAAAAGGTGCCATTCCAGCCCTTTCCAGCTCTCACCTCCCCACTCCCTTATAAGTGACACCGCCTTTCCCCACCAGGCCCTGACTCAGGCTCCAGAGAAGACTGACCATGACCCTGTGCCACGCCAGGGGCCCAGGCAGGACCTTTAGTGACCTTTCCTGGAGGTGGGTACTCTGTGAAGAGGTGAGCAGCTATAATAAGTGATTTGTCTTGCCAGAAGTTAGGGTGGGTTTGGGTTCTCCCTTTGAAACACGGGGGCTGAAGAGCACTCTCTGGTGTCTTTATGGGAGAAGAGAGCGTCCAGAGTTGGCCAACGCTGGGGGCAGTTATCTGCGCAGCCTGCCAGGTCTGCAAGAAAGGGGACTGCAGCCGTGACCCCTAAGATAGGGCCATAGGTCCCAAAGCTAATTTGTTTGATATTAATAAAAATTATAATTATTATCTATTTTAAAATAGAGTGATAGGGTTGGAAACATGGTATTTCACGACTGCATTGTCCTAACAACTCTTTCTCACGTGGTTCTGGAATTCCTTCCCACCGTGTAGCTATTCTGGTAGTGCACGCATGTGCACCTGCTTTATGTCCTTGCAGTCCATATCAAACCTTCCTTTTTGTACGTTACTGTTTGTTTTCTAAACCTAGTCCATGTAATTCCTGTATTCGCCAATGTTCTTAAACATACCAACACAGGCACGGCCCATGGCTGCTGCCTGCAGACCAGCTCGTGGCTCAAAGCAACACACAGACCTGAGGCTGCTATCTTTACTGAGCTCTGTTCACACCCTAGAAGGGTGTCTGCAGCTCGGCGAAGCAATAAAGGGTGCTTGCCATTATTATTATGTTCCGAAGGCTAATAGGCAGGGTGTTTAAAAATAGCTGCCTGCCTTTCAATATGTAAGAGCAGAGTTGGAGAACATACATTGACGTAAGAATGCAAATCCAACCAAAATATCCGAATCCCTGCAGAAAGAGCACAGGGTTCCAGTAGTGATTCTGCAGTAACTCCCTGTGTGACTCTAGACCCTTAACCAGTGGCTCTGTCTGTAACGTGAGGGATTCCTCTAGATTACCTCTAAGGGGTCCTGTTTTGGGTTGTGGATAACTTAGAAAATATATTTAAACACATATCAAAGTCGAATTGTACGATAAAGTTCCACAGCCCTACGGACTGGTTTTGACAACGATCATTAAATCTTATGTTGTTCGTATCCTCACAGTTTGATTATCACATTCACTTTATTAATTTATTATTATAATTCTTAGATTCCTGGATAAAATGACACCCATTTTTCTTAGGATCAAAACAAGATGGCTTCCACCAGAGAAAGAAAGGCCAGGCACGGAACTGGTCCCCACGTGGCTGGCCATTACAACTGCTGCTTCTCCCTGCTCCCATCTCATCCCCACGAATGTCCCACTCATGGGTGGCCCTGAGTCATCGTAGAACAGTGTGTCCATGCCTCTGCTTCCTCAGGCCCCAGGCATCTCATGGAGAGTCCTTTCTAGACTGCCATCTCATGCCAGAGGGTGGAGGGATTTCCGCCTGGCTTACCACAGTTGTGTGTGGTTTGTTTGCTGGCATTCTTTAGCAGCAACTGCTTGAGAGCCAGTTCTTCAATTCTAGGCAGTCGATTCACCCAGCATCTTGCCAGAAGTTGGCTCAGAATAACAGGCAGCTCTCCATGCTCATCCTTCCCGTAGCATTTCAAGGTAACTGTCCATCTCCTTCACTCTAGAGCAAGAAGAAAGGAGAAGCCTCTTCTATCCATTCTGTTCTGTCTCCTGCACTTTGTCCTGTGAGTGGAGTCAAGTTAAAGGAGCTTCTTTCACTTCCCCAGAGACTCCACCAGGACCTCACATTCCCAAGGGCATTGTAGCTGCCATTCCATCTGTTCTAGGGAGAACATTCATGAACCCTGAAAGGCTGTCCTCTTCTCCAGCTGAGCATAGGTTTCGCTCGGGCGTACAGGCAGCAGACCTGGTTTTCCAGGACACGTGCCATTCAAGGCCATTGGGATGGGCTGAAAGGTTGATAGCAAAGGTCTTGATCTATCTTTTGCAGGAACCTTGGTGCTTCCATCTTCCACTTGCCAGTCGGGTGACCACAGAAAAGAGATTCTGGAGAGTAGAAACTTCGGTCAAGTTGCCCCAAGTCAGGGATGAGCCTTCTTTCCATGGAGCCTTCCAAAGGGCAAGCCGTCTGCTACTGTGTACTGTAAATTCAGAGCTTCAGGAGCTGAGGCCTCCTGTGCTTGGGGGAAAGGTAGCTGAGGAGAAAGGGACACCTTCTCACCTTTTGTTTACCTTTGATCTGGCTGAACTTAGCTGCCCTTAACTTCTAGTTTGCTTAAGTCCTTATTGCCTTAATAACCACCTAATAAGCAGTCAGAACCAGGAGAGAAGCCCCTCCCGTGGAATCCATTGCAAGCCTGTCCCCAGTCTCCCCACTGCTGCTATGCCTGAAAAGAGCCCCAGCCCCGTCTCCAAAGCCCAGGGTTCGCCTCTTGCTGAAAGAGCAACGTTCCCAGGCTGAGGACAAACCCAGGACTGCTCAGGCGGAGAGATCCCTGCCCCCACGTTCACCACTGACAACCCAACTCCATCCTCAGTCTCCGTGGCTTCAGATCTGGACTCCGCACCCTCCTCCACCTCCACCTCTCTTCCCAGAGACCCTCCCCACATCATGCTCAGTGCTGTTTCTGAAGACCATCTAGACTTTTGTGTTCTCTGGAACATTCTACTCACCTTCAGCTGCAGCACATTTCTTCAGCCTCTCCACCAAGCTCTTTAAAATGAAAGGCAGTTACTGTCTTCCCTTGGACAATAATGAATGTATCTACTGTATGTGCAGACCATGTCGAGAAGTGGCTGGGTTAAGAAAAAAGAGGGTTTTTGTAAAGCCTGTTTATTTTTTTAAGTCAGTTTTGAGCATTTCTATTTTACCACCCTTCACATGGTTTTGGGGAACCCAAATTGTATCAAGGTCTCATGCCAAAACAAGCCAAAAGTTGTTTTCTTTACCTTTTTCCTCCATGCACCATGATTTCAATGATTGTTTCAGTGTCATTTTAAATGTTTTCTTGTGACATGTACTGATGATAAAAGTCATCTTGACAAAAAAAAAAAAAAAAGATTTATACATGAATCAGAAAGTATTTATTTCAATTTTGTACCTTTCCATTTTAATACATTATAATGTATTGACTCAACGGAGATAATATAAACAGTTCATTTTAATAACACACGTGTGTGTGGCTTTTCCTTTATGCATGGTGGGGGAGGGGCAAATCATCGTGGAGTGGAAAATTCTGGCAGCTGAGGGGCATCCATTGTGAGCAGAGGGTGGCCTCTGGCTGCACCAAATGCTTTCTGCACCTGGAAGTTAGAATCAGCTGGCACTGAGAGAAGAGGTGTTAAAGGGAAATTGAGAAGGTAAGTGGGTGGTGACGTCTCCAGGCACCAGCTGCCTCTCCGACGGACACACACCTTCCACCAGGTAGGAAAAGCCATGCACAGAGCAGAGCTACCCACTCCCGGAGCCTAAATGCAGGCTGGCAATTGGAGGTTCAGAGAAGGGCCAGGTAGGGGAAACCCCAAAGAAGCTAAGACGAGAAGAAGGTGGAGAGAAAACTCAGTGCTGAAAATGAGGGTCTGGAGGTGGGGAGAGGCAGAAAAGTCCTGGGTTGTATTTTCTCAATGTAACATTTTTCCCCCTAATGCCTTTGCTAGAAATTCTGCAAATAAATCCTTGGGGCAAACTGGCTTCAGACCAAGCCCCATGGACATCCAGCAGAGGTTTCTTCTTGCCCCATTAGGAGTATTTCTCACTGCTCAATTAGGAGGAATACAGCATCGAATACAAGCATACTCATTCCAGACTCTCCCGGATAGTGCGTGGCAGGTGGGGATGGGGTGAGGCTGTGGCTGGTGCAGGGAAGAGCAGGGAGAGCCAGGAGGGAGGGAGGGCATGTCAAAAGCGACTGTATCCAGAGGGTTTGATTTAAACATTTTTCAAAACATATGTGGCAAACAGCGTGGTGAGTGTATCTCACGACGTTATTCTCCACTCTTCTCTGCATGCTTGGACCTGTTCCACTTTCAAAATGTGTCATTTTGGAAGGAAAGGGAGGAACAACTACTTGAAAGGAATACACGTCAGTATGAGCCCTTTCTCCTCAGCAGAAGGTTGCCCCAAAGTACCTCCTCTGAGGCGAGAGAAAGGAGAGAGGAGGAGAGACAGCTTTCATCAAATGGGGCACCCAGGACTCTAGGGGAGAGAAGGCACGTTCTCAACAAATGGCCCTTTGATCCATCTCCCTCAACGTCCCTGTTCTCTCCATTCCCTTTTCTCCTTCCCGATATTTTCAATTCCGAATCTTCTATACCCGCCTCCTGGGTACATCCCCTTCAGGGCAGGCACCCAGAGCTCAGGCTTGTCTTTGTCAGAAAAGGAATGCCATGGAGCATAGAAACACTGAGGGGCAAGTAGAGGGGCCTCTTTCGCTTCCTCCGTCACCCGCACCCCACCTTCAGTCTGTCCTGAGAACACGCGTGACTCCTGGGCAGGGGACTGTGACTAGATTATTTCAAGTCCTAATCCAAGATGTTAGAAAGGAATCAGTCACCAATTATACCAAATAAATGCCTCTTTGGGCCTAAGAAGGGGCCAGTTTGGGGACACGTCTACCAGGAAAGAAACAGAAAGCCCCCTCCCATCCACTCGTTTCCAAATCTCTTTTCCAAACCTCTTATTAAACTGATGAGGAATCTTCAGCTTGCAGAAGGTTCAGCTGTTTAGAGAGAATTTTGGTTCTGCGGAGAAGATATGGGAAGCTCCTACTGGTTAGTTTAAACTATTAATAGAATCCTTCCTAAATTGAATTCTCATCAAAGGCAATTAGAGAGGACTCTTTTGAATTCTGGCTCTTGGGGAATTTAGGTCTGGGATTTAAGATTCTGCCTCTGTGCCAGCATATAATTGTGCTCGTGAATCTGGACCCTGTCTTAGCCCGTCTGGGCTGCTGTCACAAAATACCATAGACTGGGGGGCTTATAAACAACAGAAACGTGTTTCTGACAGTTCCGGATGTGGGGAGGTCCAAGATAAAAGTGCTGCTGGATTCAGCCTCCTGTGAGGGCTTTCGAGTCACAGACGGTGCCCTCCAGCTGTGAAGAGGCTCTCTTGGGCCTTTTTCTAAGGGCACTAATCCCATTATAAGGAATCCACCCTCATGGATAATCACCTCCCAAAGGCCACACCTCCTAATCCCATCACCTTAGGGGCTGGGATTTCAATGCTTGAATTCTGAGGGTACATAAACCTTCAGATTATAGCCGACCCTCTTTTCTCTGTGGTAAATGGAGACACTTGGGCTTCCTTGATCCCTGGTAGTTGGGGTTGCTGGGGGACTATTGTGAGCAAACCCTGTCACTGAGTGAACTGCTGTCCAGTTAGCACTTGCTGGCGCGCGCACGCGAACACACACACACATCCACAGGGCTCCCCACTCACAGGTGGCCCACCCATCTGCCCCTGGGACTTTGGCCCCAGCCATCTCATCATGCACTATGGAGGCCCGTTTGGACACTCTTCTAAAGCCAAGGCAAATGGAAGTTGAGCTACCCCTTCCTTTGTGCCCTCTCTTCTTCCTCATCCTGCTTCCTGCTTCCTGCTGGCTCCCTCTCCTGCTTACTCTCTCCCAGGCGGCCTGATCTCCTCTGCACCCAGGTGGAAGCCCATTGATTTGAATGATGGTCCCTTCTCAGAACCTCATTGCCACAGGCAGGTTGCAATTGCCCCTGGGCGTCAGGGGTGGTTCACCTCATCATCCCCGCCCTAAACTCAGGGAGAGGGGCAAAGCATTCCATGTGGCCTGGGGCCTGCCTGACACCCCCTTGGCTGCTAGAACTCTTAAGATTAAGTCTCCTGTTGCTTCATTGTCTAGTGGCTGTCTTCATCCTCAAAAGATGTCTTCCGTCTGGTGCAGTGAGCTGGCATTTCTTTTTTTTTCTCAGAGTGGTGCTGGGGGCGCATGCACTCCTGTAAGTTCACACTCTTCTCCTAGCTTCCCAGACCCTCACTTTACATCCATCAAGGCCTTTGCCTACATTGCTTCAGGGAAAGACCCACCTTCCCTGCCCTCCCACACACAGGCACCATGATTGCAAAACTGTGAGGCAGGAATGGTTGTAGGAGAGAGGCAGGGAGGGCAAGGGAAGCCCCGGAGCCTTGGGCCACCATCACCTGGCTACAGGAGACACCTTGTCCTTCAGAGCTGCTGCTCAGATCCCCTCCACACCCCTCCACCAATGCTGGAGAGGGAGCACTGATCTAGCCCAATGTTAAGTTTCCAGAAGAGGCTGCAGCGTGCACGGGACACAGAAAGTGGGAGCTGGTCTCACAAATGAAGAAGGGAACAGGCTTCAGGGGCTCCTTCGACATGACGTCATACTTAGGAAAAATATACAGCACAAAGCAATATTTAAGGATTTTTATGTACTTTGAAAAAAACCCAACTCTACCTGAATTATACTCCCAGATGCAAACTCTCCCCATCCACCTCCTCCTGCACGGGAAATGTGGTCTCAGCATCTGGGGAGGAGCTTTCAAAACTGGCCTAGGAATATGGAAAATCCGATGGATCCTACCCTCTGCCTGGGAATAACACAGACACAGAAGCCAAGAGGAGGAAAGAGCACACTCGGAAAATGTTCTCTTTTCTGTTCGTTTTCTGGGAGTAGCTGGTCCTGTATAGGCCCCAATCAAGGGCCTAGAATCATAAAATACTGTTGGATAAGGTTAAGAAAACATATATGTTCCTTTGGGAAATCAGGCCCGATTACAGCCTAGACTCCCTTATTCTCCTACTTGGTGAGGGATGGTCCTGGATTTGCTGTTAATGTTTAGGTCTAATTATGGCTCCTCTCAGCAGAAAACATCCTCACTGTCAGCTGCGTTTTGGCTGGAGTGTGAATTTCCATGTGGGGCGAGCATTGCCCCTCCAAGGGTCACCTTCCCTGGAACCTCCGAGACCACCAATGTGGTCTTCCCTTCCGCGCGCTGTCCGTCCCCTCCCCGCGATCTGCTTCCCTTCCCCGCGCTGACCCTTCCCTTCCCCGCGCTCCCCTTCTCTTCCCCGTGCTGACCCTTCTCTTCCCTGCCCTCCCCTTCCCCTCCCTGCGCGGACCCTTCCCTTCCTCGCACTGACCCTTCCTTTCCCCGCCCTCTCCTTCCCTTCCCTCATGCTCCCCTTCCCTTCCCCGTGATCTCCTTCCCTTCCCCGCGCTCCCTTCCCTTCCCCGTGCTTCCTTTCCCTTCCCCGAGCTAACGCTTCCCTTCCCCGCGCTCCCTTTCCCTTCCCCTTCCCCGCGCTCCCCTTCCCTTCCTCGCGCTCCTGTCTTTTAACCCCACAAGCACGCGTGAGGTGAGCTGGATCTTCCCAAGTGCCCTCACTGAGCATCAGGCAAGAGTCACAGGTGACAAGTAACCACTAGACAAGGAAATACAAACAGCCGAGCCTCCAGGGACCTTCCCCCTGCCTGCCTTCTCCCGGCCTTCCCCCTGCCTGCCTTCTCCCGCGTGTTCTGAGCTATTTCCGCCCTGGGCCCAGTGGGTTGGCACAGCTGCCAGACACCGTGCCCAAATCCTCCATTTCTCAGCCCCTTCCCTCAATAGCTTGCCGGCTTTTCCAACTAGGCCAAGAGAGACGAATCCCACCAGGCCGTTTCCCTGCCCCTTTCTGTTGCCTCCCAGAACCCTAATTCTTCTTCCCCTCGTGACTGATGCCACAAATAGCCTCGCCTTTTAGGGGAGACCACAACTCCACAGGGGCAGCCATATACTTTGTTGTACCAAAATAATCAGTTATTCAAAGAGTTCCAGCTCTGGGATCAGAATGCCTGATTATTATTATAACAATTCCTGATTATTATTATTATTATTGGCTCTCACTATCTGTAAACTTGTTAATATCTCCATGCCTCAGTGTTCTCATCTTTAAATGGGGACAATAGTACCACCCCCCTCACAGGGATTTTGTGAAGAATAAATAAAATTACATATATATAAAACATGTCAAACAAAAACGGTTAAATAAAACTCCATAAGGTTAAATAACTGATAACTTAGCAATACCCACCCCTCCCCCCAACCCCGGGGCCAGCCCACCTGGGTTTCCTAATCTGCCTGGCACCTCTCCCTACCCACTGACTCCCGCCTCAGCCTTTACTCTGAAAACATCAGAGGAGAGTGCTCAGAATTATGCCAAAGGCAGTTCTTGTCCAAACAGAAAGCTCTCCCACGGCTTCTTGTTTCAAAGCTCAGCATTCATCCGGGCTTTGTTATATGGACAGGGGTCCTAGGCCCAGGGAGAAGGAAAGCTTAGGATGGAAACTATTTGGGATGTGGCCACGGTGCTCTGGGGGCTGACCCGGTTAAACACAGACTCATCATCACAACTGCCTGCTCCTTCCTTAACTTACAATCCACTTTCGTACGTTGTTCCCCGCCGCCCCCGCCCACCGCCTCCGCTCCATATTCTCTTTCTCTCCATGTTGCAGATACAGAAACGAAGCCTCACAGAGGCCGGGTTACCTCCTTCCCTGGGGAGTGGCAGAGTTGTGCCTGGCCTGCTGTGGGCCCCAGACTCAGGCTCTTCCGGCCACAGCCCCTGGCCAGCCTGCTGCCTCCCGCTCCCAAACTCAACACGCCCCCTCCTGGAAAGCAAAACAGGTACTCACTGACTGCAGTCGGCCCTACATGGAGAGCTATATGGAGCTCTAGTTAACGGTGGATGGATGTGCCAGTCCTAGGAACAGCAAAGCAGGAGGAAGAGCTCCTGAGACAGAGAGGGCACTGAAGCGAGTGCTAATGGCAAGGCAGGCAGTGCAGCTTGCACAAAAGCTGGAAGGAAGTTCCCTGCTCAGAAGACCTACGGGGAGACATCAGAAAGGCAGGGTGGCTGAAATCATGAAAAAGCATGAGCCCTCGAAGGGAATGAGACTATAAGGAAAAGAGGAGAAGACCAAACAAGTTCAGGTGATAGCTAAGGCTACACATCTGCAGGAGAAATAATAGCAAAGGGAGGGAAAAGAAAATGCAGGGAATTACCGGGCATGGTGGCTCACGCCTGTAATCCCAGTACTCTGGGAAGCCGAGGCGGGCAGATCACCTGAAGTCAGGAGTTCGAGACCAGCCTGGCCAACATGGTGAAACCCCGTCTCTACTAAAAATACAACAATTAGCCGGGCATGGTGGTGTGCGCCTGTAATCCCAGCTACTCTGGAGGCTGAGACAGGAGAATCATTTGAACCCAAGAGGTGGAGGTTACAGTGAGCCAAGATCGCACCATGGCGCTCCAGCTTGGGTGACAGAGCGAGACTGTCTTAAAAAAAAAAAAAAAAAAAAAAAAAGAAAGAAAGAAAAGAAAAATGCATGGAATGGCTGGGTGCAGTGGCTCACACCTGTAATTCCAGCACTTTAGAAGGCAGAGGCAGGAGGATTGCTTGAACCTAGGAATTCAAGATCAGCCAGGGCAATATAGTGAGACCATCTCCACAAAAAATAATTTTTTAAAAATTAGCCGGGCGTGGTGGTGCTAGCCTGTAGTCTCAGCTGCTCAGGAGGTTGAGGTGAGAGGATCACTTGAGCCCAGGAGTTCAAGCCTGCAGTAAGCTATGATCACACCACTGCAGTCCAGCCTGGGCGACCGAGTGAGATGCTGTCTTAAAAATTTTTTAAAAAATAAAAGAAAATGTAGGGCAAGCAGAATATGGCAATGAAAGGATTCAGGAAGGTCAGGCAGTGGCAGAGAATGAGTGCCATGAGGCTGGGAGAGATCTTTGGTATTGGAAGGGACCAGCACACTTTGGAAGGTGCGTATATCATGACATCTTCACTCTGTGAACACTATGGAAAAGTGAGGACTTTCCCACCCTCGGTCGCAAAAAACAGCGTTTTGTAAATCTCATCCTCCACTAGAAGTCAAATTTTGGAGTCAGGAGGCATCCCCGTCATCACTGGCTTTGGGTGCGCCACGTAGAGTTGGACTTCAAAGAATCATTTGCTCTGTGAAAAAGGAAGTGGCCCCAAGCAAGAGTTGACATCAGTGAATGAAGCTCTTCCCTTCACTGTACGTCACTGTTACCTGGACATGTGGTGTTTACCCTGATGTACGGTTTCTGGTAAACCAAACTGGAGTCCATGACCAGACTCCGGGCCTAAGTGAGGCTGCTTCTCTGCCTTGAGTCTAACTCCTTCCCCAGCTGGCTGATCTATAAGCCTGCCACGCTCGTACTCACAGAGAGGGAGAGAGGTGGAAAGCAAGATGGGCAAGGCTTCCCGGAGAGACAACTCTGGCTCAGCCCATTCCTTTTGCCATCACAGAGAAAGCCACATCTAAGTTTGTGGCTTGTGACTTTTGCCACCCACAGTGACTTTGACCACTAGAAAATGTGGTCCAATTGGTGTCTTGGAATCTGACCCCATCAGTTCAGTACATTGTTAATTGTCTAATGGAGGAGTAAGCTGGAGGGTAGCCCACAGAATATGTCTTCTTAACCCCACTCCAACTTCTCCCAAGCTACTAACAGACATAAAATGTGGAGTCATGGCAGAGCAGAGCTGCTGCAGACACACTATGTGCACCAGAAGCCAGGGCGTCTACAGAGGACCCAATGGTGGCCAACTGAGTGACACTTTCAACAGCTCCGCATTCACATAGTCATCCTATAGGGGTCAAGTGGTTTCCAAAATGCTGACAGATTTCTGTCATGGGTGCCTATAATGGGTTTCCAGCATGCCTTGGAGTGAGTAGATGAGTTGGAGTTGAATTTCCAGGCAAGACACTTATGTCCATTCCATGTGCGGACCACACTTTCCACAGTTGCATGCCCCTTTTCTCAAATTAATGAATAGAAGTATTTAAACTATTCTGATATCATAAAGAAGTAACATGTATTTTTATTATTTATAAGTTTTGATAATATAGAAATGCATACTGTAGAAAATAAAAGTCTTCTGTAATGTCTTTCCCCCCTCTGCTGAAAATATCAGTATTAACAATTTGGAATAGAGTCTCCCCCAATTTTTCCATGCATATAATAACCATATATGTATGTATATATAGACTATTATATATACCTTTTTTGTATTTAAAAGTGGGATTTTAAAAAATGGGGTGCTACAGTTTTGCAAATGGTTTTGACTTAATATCTCTTGCAACAAAGTTTTTTTAAAGGGACTATGTATAAATTAACACTGTATAAATAAAAGTGTCCTAAAAGACTTAGAGATATTTCCTTAAAGTAATGCCTGATGCAAGTATTTGTACTCTATGGTCATGGCCTCCTCTTTATCACCCCCCTCAACCAGCAATAACCCCCGGCTAGTGATGTAACAGGTCACGATTCTGAAGGGTTCTATGTCCAAAGAAACTCCCCCCCACCACCCAGGAGTCTCTCATTTGTTACCTACATGGGCATCAGTTGTGGACAGATCAAGACAGTGGCCTTGGTGTATAGTTAAAAACAAAACAAAATTGTGTGCACTGAAAACAGGCACATCATATACTGAGTTCCTTCTCCGTGCCAGCTGCTGTCCTGAGTGGTATATATCACTTCATTGAATAGCAATGCATGTATTGTCTTAGTCAGTTCAGGATGCTATAACAAGATACCAGAGACTGGGTAACACAGTCTTATAAACAACAGAAATTTATTTCTCACAGTTCTAGAGGCTGGGAAGTCCAAGATCAAGGTGCTGGCAGAATTGGTGTCTGGTGAGGGGCCACTTCTCACCATGTCCTCACAGGGTGGAAGGGACAAGACTCTCCAGGATCTCTTTTATAAGGGCATTAATCCCATTCATGTGGGCTCCACCCTAGTGAACTAATCACCTCTCAAGGTCCCACCTGCAAATACTCTCACATTGGGGGTTAAGATTTCAATATGTAAATTTTAAGGAGGAAACCAATGTTCCATCTATAGCATCTACAGTACCTTTGAGGTAGGTATCATTGCTATTCTTACATAAATGGGGAAAAGAAAGCATAGGAAATTTAGTAACCTGCCCAAGGTCAACAGCTGGTAAGTGGCAGAGGAAGACATACATAGAATATGAAGAATAAGAGATGGAGCAGATTAGGCACCAAGAGCTGCTTGTAATTCTCAAGGCAACTGGCAGTGGCCACCTGCAGTATCATGAGGCATCCCATGTGCTCACAGCAACCCCATGGATTAGCAGGTGAGGAATCAGAGAGGGGACATAATTGTAGGTGTCACAGCCAGATTTGAACCCTTAATTTTGGAAGTCATTCTGTTAATTACTGCAGCGAGGCAAATCATTATGGGAAGGACAGACTATACCCACAGAGCTCCACAGCTCTGTGCTGTGGAGTGCTTACCTGGAGGGCAGCAGAAGCTAGAAAGAAAGCTTTAGAAGGGGTCAGGGAGAGCCAACAGTGAGACTCGGGAAGCCTCCTTAGATCACTCCAGAATGTCCACCCATAACCACCGGGATAGAGCCCCTGCCTGACATGATGCTTTCTCACTTAGGACAGGAGTCTTTAGCCAGCAGTGCAAGTCTGGAGACCCTCTCAAATGGGTGACTAAATCGGTTACCATCCCTCTCTCCGTTCATCATCTTGACTCCCACCTCATCCCCATACCTTCCTTGTGCAGGTATCTGTCTCCCTGCCCTATCCCCACTGCCCTCTCCTCTGCCACCAGCTGCCCCTGAAAACATTTTAGAATATAAGAAACTAAAGTGTCACTATCTCACTCAAAGGTTAGGGAATGCTAGTTTAGGACAATAAAGAAAGCAGTTATCAGACAGTGAAGAAATCAGGTTTTTCTTTTGACATAATAATGCTAATTTGGATTCCTGGGTGTGATTTTTGATAGTTGGGATTTACAGGTGTTCACAGTACTTTTGTGACGGCCACAGCTTGACATCACACAATGTTGACAGGAAGTATGCACAGAGAAGGAATCTCAGGCCGGAATTGCTGCCAGGAAGCCAGAAGGCATCCCTGGACTGTGATTAATATAGCGTCTTCTTTTCTTCACACTGCTCTTGGCTAGAGTTTGTCTTCTTTGAACTTCTATAACATACAGAAACTGTAAGAGAAGGCAAGAAAAATGATTACAGGAGCCCTAGGGGATGAGAGCGCTGAGTTGGCATTAACTGGGCATAGGACTTTAACAAAAACATTATCACTGACAAATTCTTCTGACCCAGAGACACAAGCAACAGAAAGCTGAGTTTAAAGCACATTGCAGGGGCAACAACCTCACAAAATCTGAGACTTTCCCCCAGGGGATGGGTAAATAAACATGTTGTCAATCATCCATTTCCAGTGTGTTGGACTAAGTGGGCAGGCCTTTTACGACACGATGATAGGACTGTCAGAGAAAGTGAGAAGGTCTTAGGTAGGGGCTGCAGGAAAAACCCTCCATGGAGTGATGAGCCTTCTGTTCCTTGGGCAATAGCAACTGGATTGATACGTTTGGGGAGTGTATGCATAAGCATAGGAGAGGTCTTCCAAAACTTCGTGGAAAGGTCATATTATGCATGGATTTCAATTTTTTTGCACCAAAATACACTTGTAATAACTTGTTATAACATGTTAGAACATGATCTAGTTTGAGGCACTAAGACATCAATTTGAAAGAGCCCCCTTTCAGAACAACATGAATTCTGCTAAAATTGAAGCAAGAACAAACACCAAATTTATGGTGAAGCTTGGGTGGAATGGTGAAATCACTGATGCTTTATAAAAAGTTATGGGGACAATGCCCCAAAGAAATAAGCAGTTTACAAGCGGATAACTTACTTTAAGAAGGAATAAGATGATGTTAAAGATTACACCTATAGTGGTAGATCATCCACATTAATTTGCAAGGAAAAAACTAAGTTTGTTCATGCACTAATTGAAGAGGGCTAATGATTTACAGGAGAAACAATAGCCAAACCATAGATATCGCAATTGGTTCAGTGTATACAACTCTGACCGAAAAATTAGAGTTGAGCAATCTTTCCATTCAATGGGTGCCAAAACTATTGCACCCAGATCAGCTGCAGACAAGAGCAGAGCTTTCAGTGGAAATTCTAAACAAGTGGAATGAAGATCCTGAAGCACTTCTTCGGAGAAGTGAAACAGGAAATAAACCACAGCTTCACCAGTACAATCCTGAAGACAAATCACAACCAAAGCAATGGCTACCAATAAATGGAAATGGTCCAGTCAAAGAGAAAGTGGACTGGTCAAAAGCCAAGGTCACGGTGACGGTTTTTTGGGATGCTCACACACAAAAAGATGCCACAGGCTGCATCAGTTGTCTTTAGGAAAATTAGAGAAATAACCCAAAATGTTGGTGAGGGAAGGGTGCAGGAGAGACCTACGGCAAATATCAATGGCAGAATTAGCTTGAAATACATGGAAAAAAAAAATCTCTTCTTCTTTTACCCTGCCTCCCCCAATGTCTACAATATACACAAATCTACTAAAATTTAAGATGCTCTTTCAAATGTTTAGTTTTTTTTTTAAACAGCAGTCGTTCAGAGCACATGATATTTTATTTTTCTGCATCATGTCATTTCAGGTTTATCTGTCATCACTAAAGAAAAAAAAAAAACATTGATTCTGTAACTGCCTGATGGGTTTCTCTCGCAGGCTAACCAGATAGACCTGGTTTATCAAGACAGGGGAATTGCAATAGAAGGTTTAATACACATAGAGCTAGCTAAATGGGAGACTGGAGTTTTATTATTACTCAAATAAGCTGTCCCGAAAATTCAGAAACTGAAATTTTTATACAGTAGTTTGGCAGGCAGGAGGCTAGGGAATGGGGATTGCTGATTGGTTGGGTTGGAGACGAAATCATAGGTAGTCGAAGCTCTCCTCTTGCATGAGCCACTTCTTGGGTAGGGGCCACAAGACCAGACGAGCCACTTTACTGGCCTGGGTGGCTCCAGCGGATCCATCAGAATGCAGAATGTTATGGTCTATTATAAAACACCAATCTTAGGTTTTATAATAGTAATGTTATCTATAGGAGCAAATAGGTAGGTTAGCAGTCTTGTGGCCTCTGGCTGTATTATACCTGAGCCATGGTGGGGCTGTTTCAGGGAGGGGCTGTTATCATCCTTGTTTTAAAATTAAACTATTAACTAAATTCCTCCCAAAGTTAGTTCAGCCTACACCCAGGAATGAACAAGGGCAGCTTGGAGGTTAAAGGCAAGATGGAGTTGGTTAGGTCAGGTCTCTTTCATTGTCATAATTTTCTCACTGTTATAATTTTAGCAAAGGTGGTTTCAATTCAAAGGCAAAATTTGGTTTCTTGGCTTAAAACCTTTACAGTTCTAATTTGCCAGTTACAGACAGAATGATTCTACTTTTTAAATACTTGACTTTTGTAAGTACTCACAGCTAGTATACAAATTGTAGGTTATTTGAAATAGTCAGAGTATTAGCAATTTCTGCTTCCGGCCATGATGGAGTAAAGAAACTGGATTTACCCTTCCACCTTCACTACAAAGCTGGGAAAAATAGACAAAACAATGGTTTTGAGACATTGAGCAACAGGCAGTGAAAGACTGCAATCCTAACAATTTGGTAATAAAGGAGGTGAGCCCTTTGATAGCCCTCATTTCTGGCCTGAAGAGTTTCCAGGTTGCAGCATAGGGAGACGGAACTCAGACAGAACCTGGAGGTCTCACTGAGCTAAGGTGACAACAATCAAGGAAGCTAGGATTCTTGGGGCCGAGTGTCAGAGAGAAGAGAATTATACCAAGGGAAACTCCAGATATTTGCAGAAGCGTCCCCTCAAGTCTTCAAATGAAGATTGAGCAACACTTGCACTGGAGGAAACTACTGGGAAAGAACCACCAGAGACAAGAAGGCAGAAAAATCCCCAGAGCTCACACAGGGCCAAAAGCAACTTGCGTTTCCCCAGTGGAAATAATTTCTAAACACATGGAGCATCAAGCAGAGTCCTTGACAGGCTGCTGCTTTAACAATGGGACCAGATTATAACTAAACTTAAAGACTATTGTGGGCCCATCTAGCAAAACTTACACAAAAGGCTTGCAAAGGCCACATTTTCCCCAAAGGACTTAACTATCCCAGAACAAAATATTTGAAGGAATACAAAAGCCTTCAGCCCCCAATAAAGTAACACTCACAATGTCGGATGTAAAATAAAAAGGTTACCAGGTGTGAAAGATGCAGGAAAATATGACTCACATCAAGAAGAAAAATGTACCAAAAAAAAAAAAAAAGCATTAGGAAGATCAAACAACAACCCATAACCTTACCAACTAGATATGGTTTTCAGTGAAGAATTAGAGTATTACCTTTTAGACTTTAATTTAATATGTATTTTTTAATTACTGATATTAAATGAACTATGAATGATCAACTTGGTGTCCTAGAGATTTTTTCCCCTTTACGTATCTTGAGCACTTTCTCATGTGTATTTCACTTTTCTGCTTGTAAGAATCAACATTCACTTGGCTTACCTTACGTAATGGGAGGTATATTAGAAGTATGAAAAGGAAATAAGACTCTCAGCTACATGAACCAAGGGAGGAAAAAAGACAAATAATCGGACCTCACAGGGAGTGAAGGACCAAGAGTGCAGCCAGGCTCTGCAAGCAAGTTCGCTGGGGCCCCAGGGCCTCTCCAGAGCCTCAGGAGAAGCTGTTAGTGAATGAGTGTTCCCTCTGATGCTCTGCCTTAGGGAGATCTAGCCCTTATTATCTCAGTCTTCCTTCTCTTCATACATCTTTTGGCTTCTTTTGTTGTACAGAATGGCTTCTGGCCTGGATCATTCAAATCCGTCCTACATGCCTGATTAGTGTTGCCTAGTCTAGAATTTCATATAAATGGAATCATATAGCATGTACTTCTTCCACTGAGCATCATGTTTTTGAAATTAATTCAGGGGCCAGCGAAATTTTTCTTAAAGGATCAGACAGTAAATATATTAGGTTTTGGGGGCCACACAGTCTCTCCCAACTGCTTAGTTCTGCTGGTGTGGCCAGAAAGCAGCCAAACAATAGATACATTAATGAGTGTTTATCTATTGTTTAGCTGCTTTCTGGCCACACTAGCAGAACTACGTACTTGGGAGAGCCAACTACCTGTGTAGAAAAAAAAAAAAAGAGAAACTACTTTACCCTTGAGTCCATTCATACCTTTGCTCATGTCATGGACTGTTATGCAAAGAAAGGTCTGTGGATCATTGGTATCCACATTTTTAGACCCTGTTATAAATGCAGAATCTGGCTCATGCCTGTAATCCTGAAACTTTGGGAGCTGAGGTGGGAGGATCACTTTAGCCCAGGAATTTGAGACCAGCCTGGGAAACATAGGGATATCCTGTCTCTACAAAAAATAAAAATAAAAAAATTTAGCTGGATGTTGTGGCACATGCCCGTAGTCATAGCTACCTAGGACACTCAGGTGGGAGGACTGCTTAAGTCAGAGAGGCAGAGGCTGCAGTAAGCCATGGTCACACTATTATGCTCCAGCACGGACAACATAGTGAGGCCCTGTCTCAAAAAAAAAAAAAAAAAGGCAGAATCTCAGACTCACCCTAGGCCTGCTGAACCAGATGTGCATTTTAACATGATCTCTGGGTGACTGGCGTGCACAGTCATGTCTGTGAAGTATTGCCCAAGGGAGTCTGCTGAGACACTGAAGGACAAGATGGAATGGGTTACATTGGATCACCTTCTTTTAACAAGTGCAATTTCCACTCCAGCTGGCCAGTTAAAATACAAACAAGATTCTGTAATTTTTTTTAAATCCCAAACTTAATAATATTCTTTTTCAGTAGATGATCTCCATTAATATTTCATAGCCATATAGAATGCTGGGGTTGAAACAAAATAGGAAACCATCCTGCATTCAC
This sequence comes from Homo sapiens, assembly GCF_000001405.40. Taxonomy (NCBI): domain Eukaryota; kingdom Metazoa; phylum Chordata; class Mammalia; order Primates; family Hominidae; genus Homo; species Homo sapiens. Next base: position 2,505,848 of record NW_018654717.1, read on the forward strand.
CAAAAGGCAGAGTCCCTTCTACAATATTCCTCTGTGGCCTCTAACTGAGCGTTTCCAGGAGACACCTCATTGTAACAGAAGATCCAACGATAACTAACCATTTACCACCTGAACCATGGCAACAGGCCATAAATGTCTGCTTCGATCTTCTTGACCATCTTAGAGACAAAATTACCTTTCTGAAATCATATACCAACACAGGAGGTGCTTGAAAAACTCTGATTTCCGACTAATTCAGTATTCTCCATTCTATATAACTACCTTCCACTCTCTCTGGCATAATCCAATAGATCTGCTAATTATCCTAAGATTTTTGTGATCCTGCCTTCCTGAGTCCAGTGCCCTACTTTTAACCTTGTTCCCTATGTCACAATGTCACAGCTTTCCTGCCTTGGCTGGGAAAATTCCATTCACTTGCCTCCCCTCACCCCCTCAGTATTCACTGATAGCTATAAGCATCCTTTTGTGTTTCTTCTAACTTTTATGAAACTAGGGTTTACCTTTTTCATCCAGATTCCTAGTTAAAGGGAGGATTTCATTGTAAACAAGAATCTAGTCCTTCAATTGCTTTTCTTGGCACCTGAGTGGTGCTCTTTTTACCTTCCTTTTATGTAGGAAAGGCTTCTGTGTGCACTGTCACCTGAAGTTTACTGGAGAGTCACTCACCCAAAAACATGTCTTTACCATACTTAAAAGTGTTATAGCTAGGAGCTTATTAGAACTCCCCTGGAGACAGGGATACTTGAATTAAATTTTGCAAACATCTATGGAGCCTTACCATACTCACATTATTTTGCGAGGTGCTGGTACGAATACAGAAATGGATATAATAAAGGCAACCTTCCAGTGTGTGCACTGTGGTGGAGAAAATAAATAAAACCTTTGCCTTGTTGAAGGCATCCCATTATTTAAAGAGGTAACATTTTCCCCACAACTATTTTGTGTGGGGTCCCACAAAAAAACCGATAGATAGCAGACCTATCTTCTGATATCTATCTACTATCTATCTATCATCTATCTATCTATCTATTTATCTATCATCCATTTGTTTATCTATCTCAGAAAGCAGAGGTAGGGTACGAGGAAGAGATGGGACATTACAATGCAAAGTCCTCCCCTCCAGCCAAGTTTTTCAAACTCCTTGTCCATACAACATCCATGACCCTAAGTTCAGCTCTTTACACATTTCTTTTCCCCGTGAGGCTGAGCTGCTTGAGGGCAGGTCACGTCTTTCCACTACCCTTCTTGCCGGCACCTAGGGCTTCCTGATGGAGACCCTACAGGTAATCCACGTGAGCTTATGCTCCGCGGCAGACACGCCCAGGCGGGCTTTACTCACATCAATAGCTTAGTACGCACACTCCCTCTAGCCAATGAGCGAATACGTACTCCTTTCTCCACCTCCCGCAGGGCGGCCACCGCCCCCTCAGTCCCTCTTTCTCCCGTCACCTCCCCAGGTTGCCCCGCCCTGCTCCGCCCCCTCGCCGCCGCGTGCTCGAGGAGCGAGTCGCGCGCTACTGACGTCACCAGCACGCGCCCCGTCCGCTGCAGTCCGCCGGCGAGGGAGTTACGCACGTCCTGATTCTCCTGGAGTCTCCAGCCCGCCCAGTGGCCGCAGTCACCCAGGTCCAGAGGCGGCGGTATCACAGGCTCTCCGACATGTCTATGCTGGCTGAACGTGAGTGTCGGAAGCGGAGGCCCGACCCAGGCGCGTTGGTGAAGATGCCGGGTGACGCGCACGGCAGCCCGGAGTGGCTGGGAGCTCGGGTTGCCGGCGCGCCTGGCGCATGGGATCGGGGGACCGGGGAGCCGAGCCCGGCTCTGATTGTCCTGCTCGCCGCAGAGCTCCCCGAAAGTTGGCCGCAGGTCTGCTAGTGAGAGAGACCGCAAGTGTCTCCCGGAGACGCCGTCCTCAGAATCACCCTGGGGCGCGTGCGAAGTGGGTCAGAACACCGGGTCCCGGGACTGGCCCCGCCGCCGCCCTTTGTGGGGTCCCGGACTGGTTGCTTCACCCACCCCGGACCTCAGCTTCCTGAGGTTAAAAAGAGAAGGTTGAGCAGAAGGATCACTTGAAACTGTAATCACATTGTCCAAGATGTCTTGGACCCAGAAAAAGAAAAAGCAAAGGAGTTAGAAGTCTCAAATATGGGACGTCAGCCACTTAGCGAGGGAGTGCAGGGCTAATGTGTAATTCTAAGTGAGACTGGCGTTTTTGACCTTGTTAGTTGGCCACAGCGCCCCGTCCTGCCTGTTTACCTTTGACATTTATCTTCACTTGGTGGAGTCGGTGAAACCCCTGTCTCTGGAGAGGCTGCTGAACTTCTGAATTGTACCTGTAGCGAAGGTCGCTTGCCGCCAGATGGCAGTCATGCTTTGATCCTGAAAAGCGGGTCCTGCTTGGCGAGTTGTATAGTGAGCAAAGAACAGAAACAGCTTATTTAACAGATCAAGCAGACCAGCACAGGGATTTTGTGAAATAAGTGCTGTTAGCACTCTCTTTTCTAAGAGGGTGGAGGACTTAGGAGCACAAAACGAAATGGGTCAGGCACCATCCCGATTTTACAGGGGCAGAAATTGACGTTCAAAGGAAAATAATTTGCCCCTAGTCATTGAGCTAGAAAATGGCAAAATTGATCCAGTTATCTCTGTATCTTTATGTTCTTGCCAGTAAGACCAGCGGAGACCCATAGAAATGAGTATGTTTTAGACTGAACCCGTCGGTTCTATTTTTTCACCAGTAAAAAATGAGGAGTCAGGGTTAGAGCCTAGATAGCTAAGATCTCTTCTGGTTTTCGTATTCTTTGATGTTTGCTTAATTCAGCATGCACTTGGCGACTTTGGCCCTAGTTCTGCTATTCATTTATGTCTGTTCCTTTGATCAGTGTTTGTGAGGCCACAAAATCTTCTCTTAATATTTTTATCCCTAGGTGGCCTTAAATCAGTGAGATGGTGAACATGAACATAGTTTGAAAAGTCTGAAGTATAGAGGTGTAAAATGCTATTTGTAGGCATCAGTAATTCAGATTACATGATTTCAAGAGAGTGTTTTCAGTTCTCCTCTTCCCAACGTTATTCCAAATTGTCAAATCCTTGTCATTATAATATGTAATATTTTTGTGTTTTCTTTTTCGTAATTTGCTAAATGGGTATAGCATCTTCTGTAATTAGATACTTAGGATTGGTGTTGTTAAGAAGAAAAACCTTAGACAAATTATACAGAGTTTGATTGAGCAAAGAATGATTCAAGAATTGGGCAGCCTTCAGAACTAGAACGGGTTCTAAGAACTCCAACCTGCTATGTGGTCAGGCAGTATTTATGGACAGTAAACGGAAGTGAGGTACAGCGACAACTTGGTTAGGGTTACCGCTCTGATTTGCCTTATTTGAATCAGATGGCTGCCTGTGATTGAAGCCTAGCTGCTGTAATGGATTGAGGCTCACTTATATGTTATAAGAGTATACTCCTACGGTAGGCTTTCGCTTCCTTTAAGTTCTAACGTAGGTTGTAGTTCCTTATGTAAGGACTCAAGTACGGAGGCCTCCTCAGGCCAAATTTAATTTAGTGTAACAATACTCTCCTTCTGATCAACCTCTGAATTTTGAGAGATTGTTTAAAACTTCTGCCTCTGGCTCTTGGGACTCAACACGCCCTTTAGAGTAAACGGGATCCTAGCATAAGTCATGTGGTATTGAGCTGTTGTGTGGATGGTTTTTATTGGATTTGCCCCAAAAGTATCCCGACAGACCCATTTACAGTTAGATCTCCACATAGGAGTACCTGCTAGAGGATGGTTAAATACATCCCAAATAGTGATTCTGCAGATTCAGGGCATTCTACCTGAGGCCCAGCGCCATGCTGTAAACACTGCTGTTCCAGATCGTGTCAAGGGTCCCCAAGATCATCCCCAGATTCAATGATGTGCTGGGGGATTCAGGCACAGGACTCAGCATATAGTCGCACTCACTGCTAAGATTTATTACAGCAAAAGGATGTAGAGCAAAGCCGGCAAAAGGAAAAGATGCACGGGGCAAAGTCCAGGCTAAGCCAGGCGTCAAGCTTCCAGAGCCCTCCCCCAGGGAGTCACACATAACACGCTTAATTCCTCCAGTAGTGAGTTCTGAGAGCAAATATGGAATGTTGCCCACCAGGGAAGCTAGTGAGAGACTCGGTGCTAGGGATTTCCTGGGGCCTGGTCACATAGACACCCTCTACCTGGGAGGCACCAAAATTCCTGGCTCGCAGAAGGAAAGCAGGTGCTCAGCATAAACTGTATCATTTGCATAAACAGGCACAATGAGCCACTCTTACCAGTTCTGCGAATGGTGGGAACCCTTGAGTTCCCTGTTATGAACATGCCTTTCAAAGGATAGCAGTCAGGCCTTCTGTGTTAGTGAACAAAGCTGAGATCTGAGCACAGAACAGACTGTGGCATGAGAATTACAAAGGACATGTAAAAGGTGGGAACAGCTCAGAGGCAGTCTTTTCCTTACCATGATTTTCCACACCTGGAAACTTGGGTGCCATTAGAGCTGGGAAATGTTCCAGGGAAGCAGGGTTCTGGTCAAGTGAAGTCTGGGAAGCATGGCAGGCCTGCTCTGGCCTCCTCTAAGAGGATCTGCACATTTGCATAGTAAAGTTTCCGGGAGATTCTTCCATATGAAATTTAGTTTAACCCAGTGTTACTCATTTTCAATGGGAAACTGCCACCCCCCGCCCCCCCAACATCCTTGTTTGGAAACACTGGTGTGATCCCATTGATTGAAGCTAACTGCCATTTTCCCAGGGGAGAGGAATTGACCTTGAATAGCTAATCTCTTGTGTAGGCATTATAGTTTGTTTTATATAAGTAGGTAATGTGAAGCGTGTGCAGTTCTTAACTGCAGAGCGTGAGCTTATTCTCAAAACTGTCTCCTTCGTACAAGCCCTAGTCAAAGACCCCTGGCAAGCACTGCATAGACACATGAACTCTGACACACTGATGCCAGCTTGCATATAGAATACTGGCTAACAGGCTTCTCTCTGGTGTGTTGTTCATTAGCAGACGCAGTGTTATGCTGAGTATTTGCCAAGATAAGTAAAGTGGTAATTTAGATGGAACATTTTTGGGTCACCTTTTTTTTTCTGCAAAACACTACAAATTCGAGCCCAACTTGTTTTGCTTTGTTAAGGGCCTTTTTTTCTGCCTGTGTATTTGTAAAGGATTTCCTATTTTTGCTGGAGTGTGCATAGTTATGGGCCTCTATTGATTTTATGTGTGCCACAGTGAGCCCCTTTGACAGGGGGTCATGTTATTTTTTAATTATGTGATGAGATGGGCAAGGTAGGAGGGGTTGTGTTGATGGTGAGACAATGTGCTTATATTGATGTGGCAGATAAATGATAATGACACCTCCAAATTTCTCATTTCGCCACAGTCTACTTTTCGGTTTGACATTCTTGTGCTTTGAACCTTTGGAGTTCTTTATTTTTGCCATAATTTTCCTTAAAACGACAGTGATAAACTGGAGTTCATAATGATCAGTAATTTATATGCATTAAAAAAAGTTGCTTTGATGAGATTCAAAGCAGTTCCCTTAATTCAGTTATACTCCTTCCTTCCTTTTTTCCTCTCCCTCTTCTTTCCTCCTTTCTTCCTCTTTCCATTCTTCATTTTTATCGTTTATTCCATTCACATATTTATTGAGTGCCTGCTGTGGGCACAGTGATTTTTTTACTTCTTGCAATGAAGCCTCAGAAAAAAGACATGAATATGAGCCCTAAGGAGATGATGGTCTAATGGGAAACCGGAAAGGCGGATATAAATGGCCCTAATACAGTGGATGTTAAGAAACAGATAAGTTATTCTAGAAGTTCAAAGAGGGGTCAGAGGGCTTCAGGGCATCTCAATGAGAGGGATGGGATTGTTATTATCTGTAGGTCACATGTGTGGAGGGTACAGTTGACTCTCCCCAAGAGCATAATGACTATTGTATGTTGTGAATTAAGAATATAAGCTTTGAAGTTAGTAGGACCAAGGTTGGTTTAAAGGATCTGGTTTTTGCTTGGGGATGTTCGGCAAATTTCTTTCTCTAAGCCTCAGATTTTCATATCTGCCAGTGACAATGGTACTATCCACACTCGTTGGGGTACTGTGAAAACTGAATATTATGTACAGCGTTTGGAGCAGGTCTCAGGTTGAATAATTGGCATTTACTATTTTAAGCGCATCCTTGGTATTGCATGTTCTTTTGTATGTAGTAACGCATGGCAATGGAAGCTGTAATGCTGCTGCTACTACTGCTGATGGTGATGAGGATGCTGGTGTCCACGGGTGCTTTCAGTTGTGCTGATGGCGGAGTATGGAAGGCCCAGCTCTAGTATATTGAGCATTTGCTTTGCCACATTATGAGGGAACATTTCAGTTTTAATCTTAAGAGGTCAACTTATATGTCTAGAATATACATTTATTAGGGAAATCAGGATAAATGATCCAGTCTAACATTCTGTTGAGTGTTGAATTAATTTCTGTATTGTAATGTATGTCATATTTTACATACATACATAAAATACACAAAGTTATGCATGTGTATGTTTGTGTGGTATTTTCCGGGTATCATCTCCATTGCTGATGATAATGCTTTTTCATTTACAGGTCGGCGGAAGCAGAAGTGGGCTGTGGATCCTCAGAACACTGCTTGGAGTAATGACGATTCCAAGTTTGGCCAGCGGATGCTAGAGAAGATGGGGTGGTCTAAAGGAAAGGTATTTTGGAGAAAAGCAGAAAAAAATCTGAGCTATGAAAAGAGATTAGAAATTAGGGGAAAACTTCCTTCTTAGGAGACTGGAAGAAACTTATGCTTTGGATCAGTAAGTGATTTTGATCCCAAATCAAAAATTGTTGTGACCTTATGATGATAAATTAGGATTGGACATAAGTGTCAACTCTCTATCATTTAAGCTGCCATGCTTAGCATCTTTCATAGACATTGCAACTAGGCTACACGCTTTTTCCCTTTCCATTTATTCTTGACTCCAGTAGAGCCTCTGCTGATACCTCTACACTTAAATGGTTCTTGTTGAGGTCTTTAGCGATCTCTAAGTGCCAAATCAGTGGGCCGCTTGTTTTGTTCTCACATTACTTAACTCCTCAGCAGTGCTGGATGTAATTGACTACTCTCTCCTTGAAATACTTCTGTCTTGGCCTCCACAGTGCTATTGTCTCTTCTGCTCTTCTTTTCACCTCACTTGCCACTCCTAAATTTGTTGCTGTCTCTTCTTTCTATAGACTTTTGATTATTAGGGCTCCTTGAGGCTCAACCTCAGGCCCCTTTTTTGCACTTTGCTGCAGTGATCTCATTCATTCCCTTGCCACACTTTGAATTAGCTAATGTCTGGGAACTGTCATTTTTCTATATTGAGTCCAGTTCTGTCCTCTGAGCTCTAGATTTATAAATTCAATAGCCTACTTGATATTTCCACTTGAGTAAGCATTTCAAGGGTATCATTTCTATTATAAAACTCTTGATTCCCCCAAATATATTTTTCCCAGGTTTTCCCCATTTTTCATACATGGCACCGTCTGCCACTTACACAAGCCAGAAACCTGACAGTCATGCTTGGTTCCTCCGCCCTCTTGCCTCCCGCAGCCCAGTCGTCGTTTGTCTCCAGCCTCCCGCAGCCCCAGTCGTCATTCTTCTCCAGCCTCCCGCACCCCAGTCGTCTCTTCTCCAGCCTCCGGCACCCCAGTCGTCTCTTCTCCATGCAGGGCAGAGCCCCGCTTCAGCCACTGTCATCACTTGAGCTCACTGACTGGTCAGACTCTCAGCTGCCTCCCTTCCTCCCTCCTTTTTCTCCTCTGGCCCATTTGCTGTACAGCAGCCAGAATGATCTTTTAAAATATGGAAATTAGATCATGTCATCCTTGAAAGACCAGTGGTTTTCCATTGTCTTTAAAATAAAATCCAAATTCCTCCCGTAGGTTATGTGAGATCTAGCCCCTCCGTCATCCTACTTCCTTCATTCCTTAATTTGCAGAAGCCATCCTGGGTGCCTCTGAGGTTTCCCAGTACACTGAGTTTTTTCCCACCTTCGGGTCTTTGCACTTGATCTTTCCTTACCTGGAAAATCTTACAGATGAGTGCTAATTGATGCAGAGGACTTAGAGTCCTCCCGCATGTTGCTTTGTGAAAGTATTTAATGGAGAGAATCATCAACTCAGAACACCTGCCGTAGGCATCTGTGAGTTTTGTAGCAGTGCTCTGCTGAGTATCAGTGAGAGGAATGTTCTAACTCTCTGTATTTAATCTCCACAGGGTTTAGGGGCTCAGGAGCAAGGAGCCACAGATCATATTAAAGTTCAAGTGAAAAATAACCACCTGGGACTCGGAGCTACCATCAATAATGAAGTGAGCAGCAGTGTGTGCCTCCTGGGTGTCTTTGCATAATTGGCTTCAGTCTTGTAAATCTGAAAGTTGATTGGTTCATCTGTTTCTGACCATTGGTGCAGCACTTCTTTTTATTCACGTTTCCTCTTGAACACTGACGCTTTGAATGCATGGCACTGTAACTCAGAGTCAGTGGCCTACCGCGCTTTTTATTTTTAGTATCATTGTTCCCTTTTGGAAAGGATCTAAACTGAAAAGTTTTGTTTCTAAGTTTTTGCAGCCAACATAATCTGGTAGGAAATCTGGGAAATTACTTTAGGTAAATTGAATTACTTTGGTTAGTTCCGTATCTCTGAGTAGTGGATTGGCGGAGCTAAAATTTTTAGCCACTAAAGAAAGAGTTTATATAAAGTTGATTTCAAATGTAGTTGTTGAGGGATAGATAACACAGATATACTTATTTTCTTAGAAGAAGCATTGCCCAGTAAACCTATTTCATATTCCTTTACCTTAAGCATTCTTAAAAATTGCTAAGAATGTGAGTAAGGCAGATTCGTACACTGAAACCCTGCTTCCCACTGGTTTGGGAGATCTTCATTCTCTTATAAAAGCCAGGTTCATTTTTTTATAATAAACTTATTAGGTAACCACCTTACAAATGGGAACTCATCGATTCAGGGGACTTAAGGTTCTTCCTCCTCCCCTTCCTCAGAGTTTTGTAAAATTGGAGTTGATGCAAGTCATCAGAAGATTTTAATTCTACCAAGCAAAGAAGAGCATTTTTTTTGTCCTGCATGGTTCTTGTCCTTTCAACTATGGAATTTCCCCTAGTGAGAAAAAAATAGTCATTTCATTATGTTTTGCTTTAACATTTAGCACACAGGTTGCCTGTTGATTATTTACTATATATTGACTTGATCGATAAGTCATTCCCATTTGAAATCAGGCCTTAAGCTTCCAGGAAGCCCCTTTTTAATATTGACCTGGATAAAGAGCATTTTAACTTTATATTATTTCTTGAATCCACTTAAATTTATCAAATAGTATTTTGATGGAACATTTAAAATTTCTTAATTAACCACTGGATTTCCTTGATTCCAAAATGTATCATCTCAGTCAGTGTAAGTAAACTACAGGCTTACCTCTCGTTCATTTCTTTGATATTTTCAGGACAACTGGATTGCCCATCAGGATGATTTTAACCAGCTTCTGGCCGAACTGAACACTTGCCATGGGCAGGAAACCACAGGTAGGGAAATCAGATGACATAAGTTCTCAATGAAAATATGTTTATCTACTTTTTGTTTTTTGCTTTTATTATTTTTAGTTGACACATAATTATACATATTTATTGAGTATAGTGTGATATGTCAGTACCTGTGCACAATTTGTAATGTACACATGTGTTATGTTCATCAACGTAATTGGCATATATATCACTTCAGACATTTATTATTTGTGTTGGGAGCATTTAAAATCTGTTCTTCTAGCTATTTGAAAATATAAAATAAAATATTATTTATTATAGTCACCCTACAGTGCTATAGAAGACTAGAGCTTTTTCCTCTTATGTAGTGGGACTTTTATATCCATTAGCCAATCTTTAGCTGTTCCTACATAGCTGTTTTCCTTACGCAGCTCTAATAACCACTATTCTGCTGTCTACTTTTATGAGCTCAACTCCTTTAGCTTTTCCATATGAACGAGAATATGTGATATTTATCTGTGCCTGGCTTATTTCACTTAATGTCCTCCAAGCTCACCCATGTTGCCTCAAATGAAAAACTCTCATTCTTTCGTAAGGGTAAATAGTATTCCGTGGTGTGTATGCACCACATGTTTCCCAGTTCATGTGTTGGTGGACACTTAGGTTGATTCCATATCTTGGCTGTTGTGAATAGTGCTGCAGTGAACGTGGGTTTGCAGGTACCTCTGCAACATGCTGATTTCCTTTCCTTTGGGTAATGCCTGGGAGTGGATTGCTGGATCATATAGTAGTTCTATTTTTAACTTTTTGAGGAGCGGCCGTACTGTTTTCTGTAGTGGCTACATCAACAGTGCATAAGAGTTCCAATTTCTCCATATCCTAACCAGTAATTATCTTTTATAATTTTGATAATAGCCATCCTAATGGGTGTGAGATGATGTCTCATTGTGATTTGGATTTCCATTTCCCTAATGACTGATGTTAAGCATCTTTTCATCGCTTATTGGCCATTTTTATATCTTCTTTGAAGAAGTGTCTAAGTACTTTGCCCATTTTTTAATTGGATTTTGTTGTAATCTGCAAGCATTTTTATAAACATTCTTGTTTATGAACAGTCTATTCCTTGTGTGTCATGTGTGAATAATCAAAAGATATTTGGTAGATTGAAAGAATTTTGTGGAGTGAAATAATGAATTAGACTTGAGTTCAGCAAACATTTATTGAGCTGTGTGCTGGGTACTAGTTTAGGTGTGAGGATCTGCAGAGGTGTAAGACACAGTCCTGCTTGGAGGTAGCTAGCAGAATATGCTGGTAATTACCTGGTAAAATCACAGCACACATCTAACCATAGGAAGGTTTATTGCAGTGCCGTGTGTGGAAGTGAGCCCAACAGTGTGAAGGGAAAGGTGCTTTGTTGGTATTTTTTCTAACCAGATTGGACTTTTTGTTGGAATGTATAACTTGGACCGTTTTCCTTATCCATAGGATCATGATTTTGAAATAACCTAACAGTTCTGTGTGTGGTCCTAATATGAAGGGCAATAATTTATTAGCAGAAGAAAAAGATAAGGAAAATGTTTTCTGAAAATACTGAATGACTCATATTAGGAAATGCAGGATCTATGAAGTAGTAAAGTTCAAGGACACTATTCCTTACTAATTATACACAGAAAACATCTTGATATTTACGATCACAGTTGAACTCAGTAGAAACACAGATAAGAATGTAAGCTTGGCTGGGCACGGTGTAATACCAGCACTTTGGGAGGCTGAGGCGGGCGGATCACCTGAGGTCGGGAGTTTGAGACCAGCCTGACCAACATGGAGAAACCCTGTCTCTCCTAAAAATACAAAATTAGCTGGGCGTGGTGGCGTATGCCTGTAATCCCAGCTACTTGGAGGCTGAGGCAGGAGAATCGCTTGAACCTGGGAGGCGGAGTTTGTGGTGAGGCGAGATCACGCCATTGCACTCCAGCCTGGGCAACAAGAGTGAAACTCCATCTCCAAAAAAAAAAAAGAATGTAAGAATGTAAGCATGAACATATAAGACTTGGAGATTAAATAGAATGCAGTGGTTTAGAGACAAACACCAGAGTCAGACTGCCTGGATTTTAATCCTGGTCTGACTTTTCATTTGTATGACATTCGGTAAATTGCTGAACATGGCTGTACCTCGATTTCCTCTTTGGTTAAATGGAAGCAGTAGTATCATCTTTGGAAGGTTGTTGTGAGGACTAAATGCATTATAACATCTAAGAAAAGCAAGCAGAGATACTCAGCACTGTAAGCCTCCTGATAGTGTGGCTGGCAAATCTAGAGCCATAAACCACGATTAAGGCCAGAAAATTTACTTTACTCTGAAGGATTTCATAAAGAATCTAGGGTTTTATTTTCTCTCTCTCTTTTTTTTTTTTTTTTTTTTTTTTTGAGATGGAGTCTTGCTCTGTGGCCCAGGCTGGAGTGCAGTGGCACAATCTTGGCTTACCGCAACCTCCGCCTCCCGGGTTCAAGCGATTCTCCTGCCTCAGCCTCCTGAGTAGCTGGGATTACAGGTGCACACCACCACGCCTGGCTAATTTTTGTATTTTTAATAGAGACGGGGTTTCACCATGTTGGTCAGGCTGGTCTCCAACTCCTGACCTTGTGATCCACCCACCTCAGCCTCTCAAGGTGCTGGGGTTACAGACTTTAGCCACTGCACCTACCCTCATGATTAGTAGATCACAGTGAATAAAATTAGCAGATCTGTTATACATTTTAATGAATGCTTATTAAACACATCTCTTTGGCAGTGCACCTCCTGATGAGCTGGGTTAGCGTAGGGGTGTGAGGGCCGGGCCAGCTGCTTTGATTGCTGCTTTGACAACAGTATTTTCCCTTGTCCCTCATTGATCCCGGTAAGAGGAAAGTTGTGCCTTTCCTTTGTAAAGTGGGAGGGGATACCCGGGAAAGGACGGCCAGATTGGTGCATAACTCAGACTCCGAGCAGTTTCAGGCATGAGTGCACGTGAACAAATAGATAGAAAGTGATTCCTCAAGGCCTGGCGGTGCTCACGCATCCTTCTTGATACCTGCATGCTGAGAAGGTAGAGACGCTCACCAGGTGATTCTTCTGCCCTCTCAAGGCTGAGAGAGCTGCTCTGTGAGGGCACGGCGTGGTGCTTCAGGATGTGGCCTCTGCGTCATGTCTGCCTGGGCTTCGGTCCCATCGCGGGGGCTTCCTGGGTGTGCCTTATCAGTGTCGTCCTCTGTAGTGAGTTCAGGCATCACAGCAGCTCTCTTATGGAGTGGCTGTGGGAAGGAAATCCAAGAATTCATGGAAAGCCTCCAGTCCAGCGCCTCGTCCCTCATACACTTGCAGTCGGTAGGAGCCGCTTTAAGCTGATAACTTCCTCTGTGATTTGTGATTGGAACATCAGCATTGAAAATGTTATGTGCCATATGAAGTGCAAAAGAGAAGAATTTACTGGTAGGATGTCTTTGCAAAAAATCCAAGGTGTCCCTGGGAAGTGGCTGCAGAAGAGAATGTTTCAGCTTGTGGAAATAATGAGCCTGTGCTGGGCTTTGCCTCAAGTGCGGAACATCTGCCTTCACGTTCTTTCGAGCCTGCTGTATAGTTCCCATAGGGAACTATACCTTTGAAATAAGTGACTCCTGGGAGGGGTTGCAGTGCAGTCACATGTTGTTGAATGGACACGTGCTTGTTTCGCTCCACTGTCAGGGTGAGAGTTTCTTTTTTTCCAATTTCTCTTATATCCTCTGAAGAAGGTTGGTTTGTTGGATTTTTTTTTTTTTTTTTTTTGAGATGGAGTCTCGCTCTGTCACCCAGGCTGGAGTGCAGTGGCGTGATTTCGGCTCGCTGCAAGCTCTGCCTCCCAGGTTCACGCCATTCTCCTGCCTCAGCCTCCTGAGTAGCTGGGACTACAGGTGCCCGCCACCACGCCCGGCTAATTTTTTTTTTTTGTATTTTTAGTAGAGACGGGGTTTCACCATGTTAGCCAGGATGGTGTCGATCTCCTGACCTCATGATCTGCCTGCCGCGGCCTACCAAAGTGCTGGGATTACAGGCATGAGCCACCGCGCCCGGCTGCTTTTTTTCCAGTTTCTCTAACCTCATATCTGAATGTTCTTAAAACTGTAGGAAAATTTAGTCTCTCTTCTGCCTATGATCGTTTCTGTGGCACTCTTCTGTCTGAACTTGACAAGCAGATACAGGTGAGAGAATGCAGGTGGCTAGCTAATTTATAATTGACTCTAACCCCAGATCAACCTGCTCTGATCAACCTTTCAGGCAAGGACCTACTTTCTGGCTCACATTTTCCCTTCCGTCAAAGGCGTTACCACTCGGATGTCTTCCTCAATGGTGTGTTCCTGCTCCTTTTGCCCTTCCAGTTGTCCTTCCCGAAACCCTGAAAAGGTGGCTTGGAGCTATTGCTGCTCCTCCATGCGTCACCTAATCGTCATCTCTGATCTGTATTTAGGTGATCATTTAACCTGTCTTACCTTTATTTACTTTTTAAAGGAACTTTTTATTTTGAAATAATTACAGGCTTATAGGAATTCGCAAAATAATTCAGAGAGTCCTGAACGTCTTTCCCCCTGTTCTCCCAGGGTGGAGAGACATTACATTGCTGTGGCTTTTCGCAACCGGGAAGTTGACATTTGGTGTTACTGTCAACTGCACCACAAACCTTAGCCAGTTTTCATCATCTTTTTTTGGTCTCCATTCATTTGTACATGGGCGGATGGTTCTGTGCAATTTTATCACAAGTGCAGATTCATGCAGCAACCACAATGGTGAGGATACAGGATTGGCCACCACGGCACAGCAACCTCATGCCTCATCTTTGTATTTGTACCCACTGTACCTTCATCCTTGTCCCCTCGAAACCATTCATCTGTCCTCTCTCTCTGTAGTTTTGTCATGTCGAGAATGTTCTGTAGATGGAGTCATATGTTATGTTTGTAGATGGACCTCTGACTAAGCACAATGCCCTGGAGTTTGTTTTGGCCATTGCGGTGGCAGCGGCCGCCGCTCTTCACTGTGGAGTGGTATTCCACTGTAAGGATGGCCCAGGGGTTGCCCAGCTGTTCATGCATTCACACGTTGAAGGACTTGGGGGTGATTTTTGGTATTTTGCTATGATGAATAAGGCTAATGTGAACATTTGTGTCTAGGTTTTGTGTGAACACAAGTTTCCATTTCTTCCTCAAGGATTTTCTAAATTTCTGGAGGGCAGCCTGGCCTGATCCATAGTATGCAAATTAAGGAAATATTTCTAATCATTTGACTCGTAGAAAGAAAACAGAGATCCAGCAGAAGGGTGCTGTTGCAGAGCAAATGAATGAAAGAGTTCAATCATTAATGATAGGGCTCCTAAAATTTTCTTTCAAGACTATCCACTGTTAGGAGAATAAATGAGATTGGATTAGAAAGACTTTAATGTATTTTTTTCATCTTTTTTAAAGATTCCTCGGACAAGAAGGAAAAGAAATCTTTTAGCCTTGAGGAAAAGTCCAAAATCTCCAAAAACCGTGTTCACTATATGAAATTCACAAAAGGTAAGATTAAGCATTTCTTTACTTGTTATTGAAATCTATGTGTTTGTCCTGAGTTGCTTGAAGCATTTTAGCTCTGGGCCAATAGCGACTTCATGCTTTATGGACAGCTCCGACTGCATTGCTGTGAAACAGCGCTGGAGTCTTCGCATTGACTGTGGTGTGCCTGAGGATCTTGTTAGAATTCAGATCTAGGAGATCTGAGATGGGACCCAGATTAGGTTTTAGACTGTAAACAAGTCCTGTGGCTGAGCTAAAAAATGGAATCAGCTTATATTTAGAGGAAAACGGGACTTTATGTAGCTAGGTCAGAAAATAATTTTAATTTCTTTCCCAACATTTTTAGCTGCATGGTGTTTTTTCACAGCTGAAAGTTGGTGTTAAATAGCTTTTAATACGCCAGGTTAGAGAATTATGCTCTATATTGATACCTCCAGTGTGATAAAGCACACTCCCTGGTTGACCCTTTATTCCACGTAATTTCTCCATTTCACAGCGTAGGCATTCCATAGTCATTGCCAAGTCGGGTAAAAAGCCGTTTGAGACCTGGGTGAGAATTCCTATTCCTTCATCACCACCTCCCTAGCCCCTTCCCAGTATGTGAAATCATTTGTGCATGCGGTTGTTGTCTTCAGCCACTAGGTGGCGATCTTGCATTGGAAAGAAGCAATTTAACCTAATAGAACCAACTCCCCAGTTTGTCTGTAGAACAGTATCATGAATTAGAAACCTACTTATTACATAGTTTACATAAGAAGCGTGATGATGCTGCTGATGCTGTAATATCTAGTCTCTGTTGATGGTTCTTTCCTGGGAGGTTGGATGTGTTTCTACCTTGATATGCCAGGAACAGCACATCTCTGCTTTGGTCTTCTAGGAATGTCATGCGTATCAGGGCATTGCTGGGAAGCTCTTAACTTGTACAGCCAGCCTGGATAGCAGTGGGAGCTGGAATCCCCACTACTCTGAAGTATTGATGATGCTTTTCATTTAGGGCCAGGAGCCCAAAAGTGAGGGCTGGGTTTGGTTGAGGTGAGAGGCCGTGGCAGAGCTGAGTGGATTGGGGATTGTGTGCAGGGAGAGGCTGGGCCTCCCTTCCCTCTCCAGCAGCCGTGGCTCTTCCGCTTCCTCCGTTCTTTCTCTCACATGGAACTTTCTTGGCTGTCGCCCGTATCCCTTCTGACTGGGGTTCTTCTCCACCCCAGCGTGCTATGGAACAGAATACAGGCTTCCTTGGCCCTCAGTCCTTTTGAAGAGAGGGTACATGCTCACTTCATACCCAGTCCCTGAAATAGCATTTCTTCTTTCATTAGACTGTAGAGAAAAACTAGAGATCACAGAAGGTGCTGTTGCAGAGCAAATTAATAAAACTCAGTGACCTGTAACTTTCGGATGATGTGGCAGCCTTTTACGCTTTCACTTTTACAGGTAGAATCTTCTAATTTTCCTTTGATGCCAGACTGCATGCATGATTTCATCTGAAGCATTTGCTGAGGCTGGGATAAGCCTCTGTAATCTGCTTTAATCTAATGGATGCCGGGAGCATCTGCTTTCTATTTCTAGTTAAGCCACTCCTTTGCTGGGTGACCCTGTGAGACCGCTGAGTGCCTCGTGCCTTCGTTTTCTGTCTTCCAGCGAGGGTTCTGTATCTATTAGCCTTGCCTGGGGAGAAGAGGGAGTCAGTATGCAGAACAGAAGGATTCTCGGATCTATTGTCAGATTGCAGAGAAGAGCTGGAGTGGAGACGGGAAGGACATGCAGACTGGGCCTACGTAGGAAAGGGAGAAGGAAGCAAAAGTCCAGGGAGTGAGGAAAAGAATGGTTTATCAGCTAGCTTTCCAATCACGGTGCACACTTATTTTAAAGTTTCCTCTAGGGTGGACTATCTTAGATCACAGAAAATCTCACTCTGGCCATTACTCGCTCAGACAAGTCACCTACCCATTTCCCTTGAGACTCAGTTTCCTCTTTTGTAAAATGTGGATACATTTGTAAGTGACTATTAAGTTCTAAGGTAGGTTCTGTTTTATGATTTATTAGAAGTGACCCATTTCATGGAACTTTTGCTTTTTCAGCATTGTAGATAATAAAGATTTTCGCCAGTGGGTATGCTGATAACGACTGTAACTCATTCACTTAGTTGATGAGGATGATTCATATTGCAACTCATGTATCGTCCAGGAAATCAAACAGGAAGATGCAATTGTACATAGCTTGGGAAGAGTGAAGATTAAAATTTTACTCTACTAAGATTACAGTAGCAAATAGTGTTGTAAAATTTGCTACTGCCTAAATATCAGCTGTATCATTATTTTTATTTTTATTTTGAGACAGGATCTCACTCTGTTGCCCAGGCTGGAGCACAGAGGAACAGTCTCAGCTCACTGCAGACTTGACCTTCTGGGCTCAAGTGATCGTCCTGCCTTAGCCTCCCAGCGTGCTGGGACTACAGGTGTGAGCCACTGCACCTGGTTGGTTATATCGTTTTAGTTCTGATATATAATTATTCCTTTCCCTGGTCCTGAGTTTATAATTCTAACTTGAGCTAATTTATTGTATAATTTTAAATGTCAGTTTTATCATACTTATTTAAAGGCTCAACTCCAGCTTGGTTTGTAGTTTTTTGTATTTTTTTTTAATGCAAAAGGTCTCTGCAGATAGAGGCTATATCTGCAGAGGGGAAAATGTCAATCGATACAAAGCCATTTCTGAGGTTTTCTGACTGGATGGTGAGACGTTGGCAGGAGAGCAGGAGAGCAGTGCTTCCTCCCCTCAGTTATGCAGTTGTTGGATGAAAGTTGCATAAACTGTAATTGTGCAGCTTTATCCTGGGAATCTTGCAGACTTCTTAATCCTTTGAGAGTTTGGGCTATTTTATATGCTACTGAAACAAGGAAACTACATGCCTAACGCATGTGCAGGTGCTCGGCTTCCTGGTCGGGAAATACAGAATTGGTATTCACAGCGCAGTCAGCCCCGCCCCTCAGTTGCACACTGGTAGTGAGGAGCATTCAATCTCCTCTTCTGATTCTTTTGACATTTAAATAAATATCAGGTAGCACCTGGTAGGTCTGACCTGTGTCACTCACACTGACTCTTTCCACTTTCCTGGTTTATGGTGTCTTTTAGTGGAGTTACCCTTATCTTCTGCCCTCGGTTGACTGCCAGTTCTGTGTGTTTGCCATTTAAAAAGATACAAATAAAAGTATGTCATTTTATTTGTCCTTCTTGATTGAATAATGCAAATGAATTTTCTAAACTATTGAAGCTACCTACATAAACCTTAAGTGTTCTTTTATTTTAGCAAACATATTCCTTGCCCTTCACTTCTTTACTCTCGGCAGCTCAACTCTGCTTTTCCATAGAGTTGGTTTTTTGAGCCTCAGTTCTAATACAGCTTGTTGGGTTATTGCTAAACTGTTTCCAAATCATCTTGATTCCTAAGTTCTCGTGTCAATGAAAGTTTTAGTTGCCTCCCATGTGTATTTCTTGGTATTGTAAATGTGTCTGACTATAGCAGTAATGTTCCTCCCTTCCCAGTAGCTACTCTGATAGACTGGGAAACTGATAATCATGATTATTAGACAAACAGCTAAAGCAAACCTAAATAGAGTGTTCTTCCTTGAAAGTACCTGCTCATCCTTGCAGGAACTTTCAGTTTGACTCTTGGAGGCCTTTCTTACTGGTTCTGGAAATGTTACGCATTGAAGACTAATAGATGAACCAAATCCAGATAGATGTTTCCTATTCAGTTTTCTTCATTGTCGTTTTCTCTAAGTTTATCAACAGTATTTTGTATGATTTGACCATAATTCAGAACTGAAACAAATAAGCTTTTTAAATGCTTTTTAAATTTGTCGTATTTATTCAAAAGCGGCCATAATTTCCTGGTGTTTATAAGCTTTCCATCAGGACCATTAATTAGTAACTATCTCAAGGTCACTTCCATCTTCACCTTTTTGTCCACCTTTTATGTTCCTTTCCACTGGTCTCTGACTCTTCTTTCTTCTCTGTGTTCTTGTTTTCCAGATCAAATCCAGAGCAAGGCCTGTAACAATCCTGGTTTCTACATTTACTTAAGTGAACTTTGCTAAAGGCTAAAAATTTCTGATACAAGAATCCATCATCAAAACTTTAGACACATTTGCACCTTCATTGATATAGCTTACTGTCTCTACCAGCTTGACAGTTTTCCCTTTGACTTTCAGATCTGTTTTGAATCTGTGTGTTCACATTTTGACATCATGTTTTAGAACTGTGATCTCGCATGTACCCTCTCTTCCTTAATCCCTCCAGCATTCCTTTTAGTCAAATTGCTATAGAAGAGACCTTAATTTGCATTTTCTAGAGTGTCTCTATTCCAGAGGATAGGTTAGGGATAGATGGCCAGTACACATTTTGAATTAAGTACAGCTGCCTTTTCTGAAGTACAAACTGTGCTTTGCATTGGAAAATGGGTTGTGCTGGCAGCAAAGCTGTGAGGACATCTCTGCACCTCCGATGAGTTTGTCCACCTCTTCCCGCTACAACCAGTTTTCTTCCCCACTTTCCCGGTTCATTTTCTGCCGTATCTGTGATGTGCATCGTCTATTCTTAAGTAGGTTTTCTTTTGGGTCTTTTTGTGTAGGTCCTATTTAATCATAAATGAAAAGCAGGAGGGCTTAGTGTCAAGCTCAGGTAGGAAGGAGAGCAGCAGCCAGAGCCCAGAGGAGCCTGCCCTCCTGGCAGGAACAGGTCATACCGCCTGGGCCACTTCATCTGGTACTGCTGCCTAGGAAACTGGTTTTGGCACCTGGTTTTGCATTAAATTGAAGAGTGTTTTGTTTTTTTAATTTCACGGAGTCACTGAGCAATATCATATTTAAGTGCCCCAGTGATAGTGAACTAGAACCTTCTGGGTCATGACATTACTTTGCCAAGGCAGTGTGCTACAGGAAACCAAGAAGACAAGTGAGTCTGTGACGGTGGAACTCGGCTTCCAGCGTGAGACTCACATTCCTGTGTCTGACCCAGAACCTCCCTCGCCCAGAGCCTCAAGCCTTTACATGGAGTAGTTACATTTTAAAATGCATTTACCATGCCGTTGACAAATGGGACTAGATTTGGCCTACTGCTCACAGAGGATTATTGGGTAGAAGTGGAAATTCCAAAGAAGTGAATTTTAAATTAGTTGGTTTGGGGGTTTGAAATTAAAGAGTTTAGTGTTTTAAATAAGAACCATAGAGCCATTTAATTTCCTACTCTCCCTATGTAGCTTTTTATTTAGAGACAATATAGCTAGAGCAGTAAAGAACATTTTAAGAAGAAAAATCTGAAACCCTGTCACCCTTATACAGTATTTTTGATTTACATATATTCTTTTAAAATTTTTATTTGTTGAGTTAATTATTAAGATCCTGTGTGTCAAATATGATACGTTCTCATTCATGTGCATATGTGGGGTCTGGAGCTGTGTATCTAGTGATATTTTTTCATGTGTATTTCGTAATCTTCTAAGTAAGTAGCTCATGTCTCTGAAGCAAATGAGATCTATTTTTAAATGAAGAACCCAGAGACCCAGGAATTGCATCTTGAGGGCATAGCGGGAGTAGGGTGAGCTGTAGAATTTAGCTTTCCTTGCAGTCAGTATGCTCTAGGTTGTTTCTACAATTAAGAGAATGTCAAGAGTTCTGGTTCTAAAACATTTACTTGGTTTTAAAATTTAATTAATTTTGTTTACTAATGAAAGAGTTGTAATGAAAAAGTGGGTAGAAAGTCAGTAGTTTCAAAATTGTTTCTTTCTTTCCCAAAAGCCATTTTCCTTTGAGGTGCTGCATAGTTCATGTCTGCGCTCTTTCTTTTAGGAAGAACAGTCTTACTGAAAAGCATCACGTTGTTTTTCTAGGGAAGGATCTGTCATCTCGGAGCAAAACAGATCTTGACTGCATTTTTGGGAAAAGACAGAGTAAGAAGACTCCCGAGGTATAAAGCCACGTACAGTTTCCGTGTTCCGCTTTAATACTGTCTGATTTTCACCTGTGTATAGGACTGTTTCTATCTATGACTAGTACTTTTCTGACAAAGTTTCCAAAACACTTTGGAGGCTTCATGCACAGCCTAGATATGATCCTTTTCATAATATTAGTGGGTAGATAATGTTTTATAAGGAATCTTTAAAAAAAAGAATAAGTGTTTTCTGGTGTTTGGCTTTTGTTCTTTTTGTTGTGGTGTGAGGACTAGATTAAACTTGGGGAAGAACACCCATTGCCGATACAATCAGAGGGGAAAATATCTCTTCCATGGCCGAGAAGGGGAGGGATTTTGTCTGTTCTGCTCAAACTGCATTACTCCACTTGGAATGGAGGTGGGAGGAAGCATGTCACCTTCATTCTCTAGAACCAGCCTGTCCCATTCTAACAGCATTTGAGACAGCGCTAGATCAGCACCATCTATAAGGGGGTTTGATGGGTATTTCCTCTATTATACAATATTATTTGCCTTACAACTAGAAGAAAAGAATGGGGTGACTAAACTACACCCTCAATGGAATGAACTCCATAATTTATTCTAATTATTAAATTGGGCTGTATAATATTGCAAAGAATTTTTTGTGCTGTTTTGAAGTGTAAGAGACAGCCCTGGATATAGTTTGAGATATATTAGGATTATGGATTTCTAAAGATAACAGGCTAAAAGTATTTAGAACTGGCATTGTCTGAGAAAATCTGGAATATATGGTTGTGACCACTATTACTCAGCTAATCTGGTATGTTGTACTGATGATCTTTTATTGGTTTGTAGCCAGGGCCCTTGGTGACCATAGAACAAAAAAGAAGACTTGGTTTATTGATTCCTGGCATTTTTCCAGACTGACAGAAATCTTTATTTCTAGGGTGGTGGTTTGTTTCTTAATAGTAATAATTTTTAGAGAGTCCAGAATTACCAGTGGTTAGAAGTCTCATTAGATGATTCCCTGTGCAGATTGGGACTGAATTCCTGGGTCTTTTAGCCCCTGTCTGCCCCTGCACCCTCAGCAGATGGAAGCAGCAGGCTGGGAAAGGATACCTGGCTTTGGTGCCTGCGCGGACTATGCTGAGTCACGGGATAGGCAGTGGTCACTAGGGAGGAGCCGCTCTGACATCAGGCCGTGCCGGCTGCTCCTTCACAAGGGGCTGCTGGAAAGAGCCATGGTCAGACAGGCTGGCTTCTGGTTGTACCTCTGCCCTCAGTGCTCACCGTGAGACCTGGACTACGCCACTCTTCCTTGTTCACCAAGGACATGGCCTCTGGCTTATCCCAGCCTCCTCTCCAACCCCTCTTCCTTGACTCTCTCAGTCGTCTCCGTGTCCTCAGGAAGAACTAGAATTCCAGTCCCGCGCCTCTTGAACTCCATCTCCTTTGCTCTGCCCAACAGCTGCCCCCACCCCACGATCACACCCTGAGCCTTTGTATCAACTCCACGTCCCTCCCATACCTTGAGATAACCCCCATCTCCCCAGCCCCGTGGGGCTCACGTGCCTTCTGTACTGGCGTTTCCACATCCCTGCACGTTGATCCTCTCTTCTGCCTGCTGCTCACCCACCACCCCCAGCCTTTGCCCTCCCGGACACCCTCTATGAAAATGTACAGTTGAACAGATCAGGGAGGGAAATGTTACTTGTGGGCTTTTGTAGAACTTTAAGAGAATTTATGTGTTTGGTGCAGAAAGCTCTTAGTTGTAAGAGATCAGAGGTTTCTGATCCTCTGGCAGATTTCTGTTTGAGAATTTATTGGGTGTTGGGTGCCTTGAGGTTTTCAACACTGTGTGGTGTTACTTGACTCTTTGGTAGCTAAGTCATGTTAAAGTGAGACACCCACCTGTGTTTGAGGAGCTTCAAAAGCAGTTCCCTAATGCTAGCCCCAGGAAAATCTCTTTTGGTCCAGTGTGTGTAGAGATGATCAACCTTGATGCAACATCGTGTTTTGTGTGAGATTTCCATTAGTCACATCTCTCTCTCTCTTCCAGTTCAGTGTTTTCTTCCAGTGATAAATTTAGGTCCTACCTGTTGGTGAGGTGGTCTTCTACCAGGCCCTGCTCTCCGTCTGTAGCCATAGTTCTCAACAAGGTCGTCCTGGCATTGCCTAATGAGCTTTAAACAAATGCTAATGCCAGGGTTCTGCCCAAGACCGATTAAATTAAATCTTGGGTCAGGGTCCAGGTATCTATATTACAAAAGGAGAAAAATTTAAAAAAAATTTTTTTTAATTCCTCCCCAATTGTTGCAGCAGTTATTCTGACGTTCAGTAAGGAGCGAGGGTTGAGAACACGGGGATAGCCTGCCATGCAGCTGTACTGAGAGCTTCTGGCTTCCGGGTCGTGAGTAACCCTGAGGACAGAGCTCCTCAAGTCCTGCCGTGTGTACAGGTCTTCCCTGTCAAACTGCAGATTCCAACTCAGGAAGCCTGGGCGGGGGCTGAGAGCCTGTACATCCCCATCCGAGGAGCCCCCAGGTGATGCTGCTGCTGACCTGTGTGCCACACTGAGGAGGTCGCGTCTAGGCAGTATTTTCCTTTTGACATGCCTGCATGTGTGCAGAAAACAGAATCTATTTAAATGTAATCACATTTAAGACAAACAGAGTATCTTTCTGTAAAGCAAAATGACCTCTACATTTATCTTTGACATCCTTGTGGATGTTCATATGTTAAGTTTGCTTTTATTGAGGTATACCGGTACCTTCCTTGAGTAGACTATTGCTAAGAAACCTTAACCTTGTTAGTTACAACAGCCCTTATAGTCAAAGGCAGGAGGACTTTGATCAGATTTGTTTGAAAATACAACCTCTTTCGGCTCCCATCCTCAGTTGGCGGGAATGTTGTATGTTGTTGCTTCGCTTGACTCTCATAGCTCCGTCGGTCTGGATTTATATTTGGCATTGCAGAGGCCAAGGTGTTGCTGGAGGTCACCTCCCTCCAGAGTCCTGGAAACCGTGGTAGTGCGGGCCACTAAGGTAGCAGTAGCTCTGTGGGTGCTCTAGTTAGGTGCCGATGCTGATCTGTCTTCAGCATCCAGAGTTCCAGAACGTTGGCGTTAACCATGTTCTTGGCTTGGGTAACAGCATCACCCTTGCAATAAGGGAAGCCTACTGATTTTAATTTCTACAGCTCCTGACTGCCATCGTAGAATTCCAATTTTATTAAGCACCTGTGTGCCAAACCCTGTGCTGGATTTTTCTCATTTCATCCTCACAGCAATCCCGTCATGTAAATATCAGTATCTCCTCTGTAGCAGTGAGGAAACTGAGGCACAGAGAGAATTGTTAGAATGCTCCAAAATGGCACACGTGGGCTTTAAATCTGTGTCCGTCCAATTCCAAAATCAGCCTTTCTCCGATAATACAGCAGTCCTGCCGAAGTTAATGAACTCTTTCTCATTTAACAAAAAATCTACATTGAAGGGGGTTAGTTAGGCCTTAGCAGCTTCTGTTGAGCTTCACCAGAGACACCAGTGGTTGATGCTGTATCGTAACTTTGTGGGAAAATGATTGGCTGTTGCTATTTTGTGGAAAATAATGGTTTAAATTTCAAAACTTCTTTACCTTACCTGTAGTCAGAGGTGAGCTGTTAGGGGTTGACAAGCATGTGACCAGGTGTCCAGGCCAGCCTGAAGAACGACTTGACTTCCTTATTGGCTGGAGGCTGAATTAAGAAAGAGCTTGAGCATCTGGAGCATAGATGTTGTGTTGCTTGTGTATTTTTTCGTCTCTCTATTGAACTGGATGATCTGAATGTATTTATATCTAAGAAACATCTGCAGCCCTTGATTAATAGTCATGAGGGTTTTTTCTTTAACTTTTTATAGATGAACAGGATGTTGCAAAGATAGTAAAGGGGTTCTGTGTACCCTTCATCTGGTTTTCCCCAGTGGTTACATCTTACGTAACTACAGTACAGCATGATGAAACCAGGAAATTGGCATTGGTACCATCTGCTCATACAGCTCTGTGCCCCTTTATCACATTTGTGGATTGTGTAACCATTATTATCTCAGTGAAGATCCTGAACTATTTCATTACCACCAAGGCCTCCCTTGTGCTAACCCCAATCATAGTTGCATACCCCTCCAACACCGCCCGTGACCCTGACAATCACAGCTGCCGACAGAATCGTCTGATTAGGAGTGGAATATCGTGTGTACAGACCACATGGTCTCTCCGTTTGATGCTGAGGCTGCTCAGATCTGCAGGGGTCACTACCCAGTGCTAAAGGCCGATTGTCGTTTCCATGATCTACTTCCTGCACTTAGCCATGCTCAGTGTTATTTTCTATTTTATGAGTCTTTAGAGAACTCCTTGTAGAGATCAAATCATTTGATGTCTTTAAAGTTCACTCCAATTGGTTAAATCATTTACTTAATAACTTCAGGGGTATGTTAAACTGTGAAGTGATATGTAAGTACAAAGTGGTATCGTGACCAGTTTTGTCATCTGTAGCCTGCTGGTGTTGGAGAGCTCATGGTGTTGGCAGTATCTCAGGGTACACTCACTATAGTGAGTTTGTGACCTCCTTTAAATTGCATGCAAAACATGTGTGGGCCCACGTGCAGAGCTTTCATTGGATTTTCGAAGGTGTCCTTGGTCCAAAAAGAAGCTTTAAAATCTAAGACTATGCATTTAAAAGTCTTCATTCAAAAAAGAATTACTTAAAATGTAAATTTTCTTTGTGCGCATAGTAGGAATGAACTTTGTGTTGTGTAGTGGAACAAACTATGCCAAGTAAAGAATGTGCTCTCTTAATTATTTTGAATATAATGTATAGAAATTAAAAGAAAATTATATCAAAGCGAAACAACAATCCAAGCTAAATGCAAGATTTCTAGGACATGTTTATGAAACTTAAATCATGCTTTCTGTCCTCTCTCTGACCTTTTTGCGTCTAATAAAGAAATTGCTAGCTGGGCACAGTGGCTCGTGCCTATAATCCCAACATTTTGGGAGGCCGAGGCGGGAGGATTGCCTGAGCTCAGGAGTTTGAAACCAGCCTGGGCAACATAGTGAGACATCGTCTCTACCAAAAATTTAAAAAATTAGCCAGGCTCAGTGGCATCCACCTGTAGTCTCAGCTACTCAGGAGGCTGGAGATGGGAGGATTGCTTGAGTCTAGGGGATTGAGGCTGCAGTGAGCTATCATCACGCCATCGCACTCCAGCCTGGGTCACAGAGTGAGACCCTGTCTCAAAAAAACGAAGAAAAAGAAGAAATTGCTTCACTGTGTTTTACATGTGGACTTTTTCATTTGTGGCATACACTGGCTAGCGAACACCTTAGAGAGGATTTTTGTTCTCATTCCTGGGTCCCCAGCATGTGACTGGCTCCAGTGCTTGGCACGTGGTAGGGATTCAGTCAGTTGAAGCCTCATCATTCTTCTCTTTTTAAAAAATGGACTTTGTTGCCATAAAAATCATGGTTTGTATAGCATCATGGTTGATATTTGAAATGTCTTTTCCTTTTGAAACGTTCTAATAAATAAGTATTTCTTCTCTGAGAGTAGGAAGTACTCATAATCTACATTCTACGCCATGCACAATCTACTTGTGGATTCTTGAGAAAGGATTATTGAATAAATGTTTGCTCACACCATTTTATGTTTTTAAAAATCAATCCAATTTGCCAGAAACTGGCTTTCAGACCTTGCATTTCACTCTAGAATAGTTTTTCACAGCTGTGGCTGTTTTTCATTGCTCAGAAGATAAAGCATTCCTACTGCTTGAAGGACTCTCCTCTGACTTCATTGGTGCTTCGTATTTCCTCCAGACACAGCAGCTGTCAGGAGGCGCTGTTTCCCTGCTGAATCCGGCTATTCAGAAGTACTTGCTTCAATGGTGAAAGATCATCACGAACTGCCAGTTGCTCAGAAAACTTCTCATAAACTGTTCTGTGTGGGGACGGCTGGTTGCACATTTCTAATTTCCAAGTTCTTCCTTTTCCCACCATCTTTGTTGTATATTGATTTGGAAGATAATAACTGGTTTGGAGTGCACCTAAATTGGAGATGTATGCACTTTCTGTGGAGACAAAGAAATGATCGAAGATAATGAATTGAGATTCCCAGGGCCCCTTGAGACCTGCAGCAGGTACTTGTGCTGACCGGTGCCTGCCGGGGCCTGTGTACATAAGCGTGTGTCTTCTCTCACTTGGTTTGCAATTTGAAGTTGGAGACACTGAAAAACAAATTCCATCAGTTCCTATCTGGTTGAACTTCCTGCTACTCTTTTTTTTTTTCCTCTCTCATTTTTTTCCCTCCCCCACCTTCCCAGTTTCCTTCCTCTCTCCAGCTTGTTTCCGGATTGAGCCTTATCACTAGAGAAAATACTCCGAAACCAGAGTGAGGATGGAGAATGTGTTACCAGCATTCTCACTTCGTTTCTCTGTCTAGCATGCTTCTGGCATGGGCTCCTGGCAAAATAATTCTCCTTTTCTTCACCTCTCTAACCTGATTGAATTAGAACCCTCATGAGAGTTTCACTCTCCCAGGATACCAAATCAATAATCATTTTCCTTGAAATTCTTCTGCT
The DNA here is from genome assembly GCF_000001405.40 of Homo sapiens. NCBI lineage: Eukaryota > Metazoa > Chordata > Mammalia > Primates > Hominidae > Homo > Homo sapiens. Next base: position 2,533,510 of record NW_018654717.1, read on the forward strand.
GGCTTTTGCTTTTTGAGGCAAAGCATGACTTCTTTGCAGTTTGTGTTCCTTTCTCGTCTCTGTCAATCTCCTTTTTTTCCCCATTGCTTGCTGATTATCCAGTCTGAAAATGAATTCCGAGCAGACGCTTCTGCTTTGCTTGGTGGAATTCATGAGGTATTTTGGACCATTCATTTTTCTGGTTGGATTCAATGCCTTAAGTTCCTCATGGGGAAGATCACTGAGAAGAGTCTCTTTATTGCCTTCATTTTTCAAGTGCCTTTTAATTCAAGGGTGTTTCTCCTTTTCTGAATTTTCACACTGATACCCAACATTTATGGTTAGGTGAGTTTCAAGAGGGGTTTATAGGAGGTGGATCCCTCTTCCTGCACCTATCGCTCTACCCTCCCCCCACTCCACATCTGGACACCAAAGTAATCTTCTAATTAAGAACCTTGTAGTTAGGGAGAACTATAAGCCCACAAACAAGCCAATTAATACACTTGAGTTCCAAAATTCATTTTTTCCCAACAGTGATGACTTCAGTAATTCTTGTCATCATTTTGACCATTGATAACAGAATCCTGATTCAAAATGATCGCTGTGAGCTGGGACAGTTGGCCAAAACATTTTCACTGCTTTAAGGTGAAAGCTTAGGAAGATATGTACAGTCATTTACTTCTAGAAAGATCTAATTTGCTAGCAGCTAGATGAAAATTAGTTAGAAGGTAGGACATGTATCCTGACCACAAGTTTAACCTAAGCCAAATTGTGTCTGGTCGCACCTGTCCTGAGCGCAGGCTGGGCGGTGTCAGGGAGGCTGGGCGGTGTCAGGGAGGCTGTGCCCACTTGCTGAAAGCAACAGACTTGTAGCTTGTGTTCCTCACAGGTGACTGTGCTTGAACGGCTCTGTGCGGGCCTGGGTGTCATGGGTGTCATGTTTTCAAGGAGTACGTTCAGGGAATTGCCTTCAGGGACAGTGGCGTCTGGAAAGCATGTTATGCACAGAAACAGATGGAAGAAATGGGTGTGGTTATCAGGGCGACAGTTTGGACAAAGGAAGAACTAGCACTGACTGATGAAATTCATCGAAAGGTAACAACTCAGGAAAAGGAAGCAGCCTGCATGGGCTGGCAGAGCTGCTGGCCACAGTGCACGTCTCCTTGGGAGTGCCCTGTGCAGGTTCTGGTACCAGGCAAGAGTCCCAGCTAAATGCATTCAAGCCCTTCCAGCTCTGACCTTCTTTCATTCTGGAGTAAAGAGAACACGTGAAATGATCACATTTGAAACGGTGCTGGAAGGTTTAAGTCTTGACTTGAAGTTTTACGTTTTCCTTGACCACAAAGGAGAGGACATTACTTGGATTCTTCTTGATTCTTACATACTTGAGCAATTTTGGCTTTATCTACTTATGCGCTTTATTCAGTAGATGAATGTGAAAGGCTCTTGATGTGTCCAAACAAGAGATCAAATAGACTTCAGGTAAAATAGCAAGTCATCTGTCTTAGCAGATTCAAGACTTAAAGAGTAACTGCAACTGTTGAGTGTCAAGGTGAAGTTACCTTCACCTTGGGTAGGGTGTTCCAATTTTATCTGTAAACTCAGTTATCTATAAATGAGTCTTGAGTTACTTGTTTGTGTAGCAGATTCTGTTTTCCAAAGATGGCCTCAGTGATACCTCTCATTCCACATGCTCTTCTAAGTGGGCCCTTACCACCTCCACACCAGGAGGTGGAGTCTGGCCCCCTCCCCTCTACCCAGGTGGGCCTGGAACTTGCTTGTAGCCAAGACAGTCTAGCAGTAGGGTTCCAGGTGACTTCTGAGGCCTCGTTGGCTGGAACACTTGCTCTTGAAGCTTTCATGTAAATAGTCCAGCTGCCCCGAGCCCCAAGCTATGAGGAGGCCCGGTGCCCAGGCAAGCCCCCGTGGAGAGACCATGATCAGTGAGTTATGCAGGCACCCCGAGCTTGCCTGGGGAGCAGGTGCCTGGCCAGCTCCCCGCTTTGCTAGCTCTCCCCACCTTTTGACAATATCCGCGTGAGAGACCCTGAGCCAGGACTGCCCAGCCCAGCCCTTCCTCGAATTGCTAACCCACAGAAATAGGGTGAACAGGGAAATGGCTGATATGTTTGAAGCCACTGAGTGTCAGGATGGTTTATTGTGTAGATAAATGAAATGGCTGTCTCAGGATTTGTCTTCCTGTGGTTCTGTGATTAGACATTGATACCTGGTATCAAATATATATACCTGGTAGAACCATCTGAGCCAGTAGAATGAGGAAATCAGGTCATCTAATGAATGTTCTACTCTGGTTTCTTCTAAAGGGCAACTGGTTCAGGGCCATATAGTGTTGTGAATAGGCACTTGAGATCTCGTTTCATATGCCTGCATTTGAGCCCAAGAGTAGTTTGAAGACTGTGTGATTTGGGGCAAGTTATTTAACCTCTCTGAGCCCCAGCTTCTTCATTTGTAAATGGGGATAATAAAAGATCCAGGGAGGATTAAATAATAAGCCACGAAGAACTCTTAGCGAAGTGCCCAGCACATGGTAAATGCCCAGTGCAGCTTAGCTCCTGCTGCTGTTGAGACCACTGTCGTCACAGTCAGCACCAACACTCTCACAGTTTAAAATGGCCAATAATAACTTATAGGAAACATCCTTTGGAACTGAGAAAATTGTATCTGTGTGTGCGTAGTCACAATATTTAATATAAACCTACTGAGTGAACAGGGTCATTGCTGAGAAGCACGTCCTTCTCAAAGTCCTCTAGTGAAGTGACTCCTGTCTGCCATTTTGCCATTACAGCAGTGGTAGAGGACATCCTAACGCGTCAGTTTTGTTTAATTGATGTTGAAGATAAGTAATGACTAAGGCAGTGACCTTCTAATACTATGTTCTCTGCAGTTTTGGGTGGAAGTACAGACATTTGGTTACTTGTTTTCCTTCACAGTAGTGAGCACCTGCTGACATGCTCGGTAGTTCCCTTGTTGACTGCTTGCCTTCCCTTAGGAGACTGGGATCCCCGTGAGGGCAGGAATTTTTATATTTCCTCATATCTAGAATTATGCCTGGCATGGAGTGGGTTCTCAATAAGGTTCTTGCTGAATTGAATTCATCTGTTGAAATATGCCTTGAACAATCTGGGGACACAGGAAGGGAGCTGCTCATGCTCACTGAGTCTGTCAGGAGGCACAGACACACAGAAGAATTGGAAGCTGAGCTAGGCCTGAAGGGTAGGAGTTCTCTGGCTGGACAAGGCATCAAAAGGCAAAAGCAGCATGAGCCACGACTTGTCCCGGCCTCCAACACAAATGCCAGTGGGGTCCAGGAATATAACTAGCAATGTGGAAGTCATCGTTAAATCAGTTGGGAAGGAAGGAAACAGTAGTGTCTTGTCTGAAGGCTTCTGATATGGTTTGGACGTGTGTCCCCTCCAAACCCCATGTTGAATTGTAATCCCCAGTGTCGGAGGTGTGACCTGGTGGGAGGTGTTTGTGTTGTTGGGGCGGATCCCTTATGCATGACTTGATATCCTCATGGTAATGAATGAGTTCTCACTCTGAGTTCACACGAGACCTGGTTGTTTAAGAGCCTGGCACCTCCTCCTGCCATCTGGCCATGTGATGGGCTGGCTCTCCCTTCTCCTTCCACCATGATTGGAAGCTTCCCAAGGCCTCACCAGGAGCAGATGCCATCGGCACACCTCCTATGCAACCTGCAGAACTGTGAGCCAAAATCAAACCTCTTTACTTTATAAATTACCCAGCCTCACGTATTTCTTTATAGCAATACAAAAACAGACTAACACAACTTCCAAGATTCATAAAATTAGAATGATGAACGAGGATGGTGATGATAAAGTGTGTGATTGCATAGCAAAGACGAGCTCCTTAGAGCCGCTTTGATGAGTGTGCTGTCAGTGGACATGTTGAAGATGTGCTTCTTGTCCTGGATGTGTGAATGTTCCTATCTGTCCTCCTCTTGAACTTCACTTCTTTGTGTTTTCAGTGCCCTCACAGCATAGGAACAGGTAAGAAGCTTAGAGAACCCACAGTGCAGTGGGATATTGGCTGGCTGGAGTGACTTTGGTGTGAATAGTGCTTGAGATGGGTTACTCACAGCCTCTTCTAATTCAGAGTGCAGGGAAAATGAGCCCCGTGAGTAAGAAGCATTACAGAGCTATATTTTCTATTGAGCACAGCTTTTGATAAAAGGAAGAAGAGCTAAATATTGACTTTTGGGGCCTGTTCTGTCAGTGGTCTGTAAATCAACAGATAAATTATTGCTCTTCAGAAACAGGAAGGCTACTCTTTCGCTTGAAGACATGTGTGCCTTTCTTTTATTTGTTCTTTCTCTTTATTGGTAGAGGATCTTCCCTCCAGCCACTTGCTCCTTAGGGGTTTTGTTAAGGACTGAAGGGGAACTGAAGGGAGCTCTTTTGATTTATCTTCTGTTCTTTCCTTTTGGTCACTCCACAGGGCTAAAATAGCCGAGTTGGCTTTAATGTGTCGCCATTAGAGACCAAACATTAGCTGAAGTAAACCATCATACCTCACAATGAAAAATGTTCTCTGATTGGCTAATTAATCAGTCAAAGGGGAATGACATGGCTCTCGGCTTGAGGGACTCTGCTAGAGAGAAACAGGCTGTTGATAAATGGTTTTCCAACAAATTCATATATCAAGGAAACTTAGTCATTTTTTAACTACAGTTTGTGTGACTGCAGTTTTTTTTCCAACTTTTCCTTTTCTGCTGCTCTTGCTTTTTAGGCTGTGTTTTTGTGTTGTTGATAGAAAAATATAGGAGTTTAGATATGAGAAAATAAATGCTTCCTACTTATTCATGTCAGATAGGCCGATTGGTTTTGACTATCTAGGTTTACCAATAGGTGAAAATCAGATTGTTTTTCCCAAGATGAAATTATCTTTTCCTGGCTTCCTTCCGAGTTAAGATCTCCAGCTTCTGGTCCACATTGTGTGAGTTAAAATCTTGGCTCTATCAGTTGCTAGCACTGCGCTACTGGACACGCTATGTAACCTCTCTGTACTTTAATTTTTGTATCTTAAAACAGGGATAATAGTAACATCATCTATTAGGACTGTTGTCAGAATTAAATGAGATCACATTAAGCATTTGAACAATGACTCATAGATAGCGATTATGTGTTAAATGCTTGTTATTTTTTAATCAAAGTAATATACGCACCTAGATGTAAAAAAATTAAGCTCCGCCAAACAGCTTTTAAAGAAAGAGCATTCTGTAGTCATCCTTGCCACTGCACCTCACAAGCCTCCTCCCTACTGCACTTTCAATTCTTCCTCAGTTATTTGGTATTTACCTTCATATTTTACAATAATAACTTGCATTGACATTTTTCCATGTCATAATTTTTAAAATGTGGACTTCTGTTTTGGTAGATTAAGATCTGGGCCTTTACACCACTCAAACTACTGATTGTATTGTATAATGATTAGTGAACTTGTTATTTGGGGTTTATATTTTTATTGCTATGTAAATATCGTACCCTGCTAAGCCAAATAGTGTACAATAATAACATTTCCTGTAACAATTTTTGGTTGTTTTCTGATGGGAAACAAAAGCATTCTGTATATCTGTGTGATTTTGTTTTTTCCCTCTAGACTCTTTGGTAGCCTCTTAATATAAAACTTTCAGTGTGTCAGCTGCATCAGATCATCTGTCAGCTGTATCTGTCTCCCAGGAGACCTCTCTCTTAAGATTTCCACCTCCCGGCTCCCTCAGGACTAGGTGCTGGCTCGGCCATTTCCCTGGCCTCCTGGACTTTTCCCCAGCCTTGCTCCTTTTAGCTCCTCTGTGTCCTCACTCATCTTCCACAGCTTTGTGAAAAGGGCACAGGTCTGAAAATCTCTATTAATACTGTGGCAGATGGTCTGGGTATAGAATTCTGAGTTGAAAATCATTTTCCTTCAGCATTTTGAAGGTATTACTCTAGTGTCTTCTGATAGCCATTGTTGCAGTTCTTATTTTAGTCCTTAGCACAGACCTGTTTATCTCATTTTCAGAAGGTTTTAGAATCTTAACATGCTCAGATTCTAAAACCCCATGGGAATGAGTTTGTTGGGCGTTTTTATTCACCAGGCACTTGGTAGAACTTTCAGTATGAAGATTCATATCCTTTCATGAGTTCTGGAACATTAGCTGTTTCATAATTTTTTCCCCTCTGTTTTGTCAGGAAGCCAGTAGTTGAAGCACTGACATCTTGAATTCCTCCTCAGATTTTTCTTTTGTCTCCAATTTTACTGTATCTTTGTTCTACTTTGGTGGGGGGGGGGTGGGGGGGGGATTTTCTTGATTTTTATTTTCCAACCTTCTTATTATAAGGTAAGTTTTGCTGTCATATTTTTAATTTTCAAGAGCTATGTCTTACTATCTCATTGTTATTTTTTAATAATGTCCTGTTCTTGTCTCACGGATACAACCGTATGTTCCTTGGCCTCTGGAGGCATTGTGTTTTTCACACATTCGCAGATTGTTTTCCTGTCTTGGTCCTCTGAGTTCCTCTTTTCTTTTGGTTTTGGTTTGCTCCCTTCATGAGGGAGGATTTCCCCCACATAGTCCGATGATCCTTTGCCGTCTGCTGTAATTTAACAGTCAATTAATGAAGAGCCATTTGGAAGCTGTTTGCAGAGGCAGCCTTCTCAGATGGGGAGTTTGCCATTTCCTTAGGGAACCCCCAGATGTCAGAGTTGGCGGGTCTTTCTGTCACTGGGGCTTGGCTTCTCTAGAGAAGCCCTCTCGCTGGGGCCATGGACGTGGGCTCTGGTGGACTAGTGGGGAGGTCCTCCTACATGCCCTGGCCTCCCTCCTGTCAGGAGCGCCTCCCCTGCCCTCCGCTGCATCCTAGGGCCTGCCGGCAGAGCCTCTGGGGGTCAGTTTTTCCAGGGGTTATACCTTCTGTTCCCTCACATGTTTCTCTTGTAGAGGAAACACTGGCTGCTGTTCCCCACTCTGGAAAGTGGTTGGGCCATTAGGCTCAGGGTATTCAGCAAATCGTTATTGAAGGAAAGGAGTGGAGAAAGACTAAGAGAAAACCCTTTCAATTCAAAAGTGTAACAAACCCTTTTCTCATCCATCATTTCCTCAATGTTATAAACTGTTTCCTCTCAATACATGTGAGGGGGGTGGGAATGGTTGCATTTTTCAAATCTTAGACCTGGCATCATTCCCATTTTAAAACACAAACAGAAAACACAAAAACTTACTCTGTTTGCTCCTCAGATTTACTTCCTTATGAGTTGTATTTAAGTACGGCCGTGGTGTCATGGAGACCTCTCCCCCACACGTGCGTCCATGAGCTCCTACTGCAGCTTGTTGGATCCAAGCCTGAAGAAGGTTGAGAAAGCCCCCACTGTGCAGTGAAGGAGATGGTGCTCTGCCTCCTCCCTCAGCACTAGTGTGGCCCCTTCCTGTGCTCCGTCACCCCCTCAGCACTAGTGTGGCCCCTTCCTGTGCTCCGTCACCCCCTCAGCACTAGTGTGGCCCCTTCCTGTGCTCCGTCACCCACTCAGCACTAGTGTGGCCCCTTCCTGTGCTCCGTCACCCCCTCAGCACTAGTGTGGCCCCTTCCTGTGCTCCGTCACCCCCTCAGCACTAGTGTGGCCCCTTCCTGTGCTCCGTCACCCCCTCAGCACTAGTGTGGCCCCTTCCTGTGCTCCGTCACCCCCTCAGCACTAGTGTGGCTTCTTCCTGTGCTCTGCCTCCTCCCTCAGCACTAGTGTGGCCCCTTCCTGTGCTCCGTCACCCACTCAGCGCTAGTGTGGCCCCTTCCTGTGCTCTGTCACCCCCTCAGCACTAGTGTGGCTTCTTCCTGTGCTCTGCCACCCACTCAGCACTAGTGTGGCCCCTTCCTGTGCTCCGTCACCCACTCAGCGCTAGTGTGGCCCCTTCCTGTGCTCCGTCACCCACTCAGCACTAGTGTGGCCCCTTCCTGTGCTCCGTCACCCACTCAGCACTAGTGTGGCCCCTTCCTGTGCTCTGTCACCCCCTCAGCACTAGTGTGGCCCCTTCCTGTGCTCTGCCTCCTCCCTCAGCACTAGTGTGGCCCCTTCCTGTGCTCTGTCACCCACTCAGCACTAGTGTGGCTTCTTCCTGTGCTCTGCCACCCACTCAGCACTAGTATGGCTTCTTCCTGCAAGTTAAGCATCAATCTTCGAGTACTCTGGTTGTCTAAAGTGTATCATGGAAATATGCCATTCCTAACTTATCTTACTGAAACATGGGGTGGGTTGCAGAAAGTGCTCTGAACCTCCATAAATACATGCTGGTTGTTATTACCCTGACGTGGATGTCTTTTGCGTGTGCCTCCTGTAGCCAGCAGGCTGTCTGTGCTGGATGGTTCCTCCAAGCACGCCCTGCAGGAGGTCGCAGCAGGTCAGGTAACTTGCCCCTGGCTCCATTTTCCTTTCCCACAGAAAGAATGTGAGGTGTTCTGCCAGGAGAGACAGGCCTCACCTATTGCATTTGCCTTTCTTAGTAATAATAATTGTCCTATTGGGAAAGATTAGTGGAAACTGTAGTTGTGATGTGGAAGAGAAAAGAGGAATGAGCTGAGTGCCACCAGTCTTCACTTCATTCCGAGGTGTGAACTCCCTTTGTAGCGTCAAACCAAGTCTTCTCGGGGGTCCTTCTTGAGTTTTTGATTAAAGTATAGGCAGGGTCACTTCATATGAGAATGATGTTGAGTAGATTAAACCCATACCCAGGGTTGTGGGGGACAAAGTACAAGCACTAAGCACATTTTTAATAATTGGATATCTTACTTAGCTAGAGTTGTTGGATCTTGAGTGTGATCTGTGATTTCTTTTTTTTTCTTTTGACATTACCAGGGCCTGCTAATTTTGTATTTTTAATCCTCCAGCATTCATCTTGCTTTTTCATTCCTTCCGATGAAACCATTCCTAATCATTATGACCCCTAAATTGTAATCCTAAGTAGCCTCCCCGGCCCCAGTGTTTCCTACTTGCAGGGCATCCTTTCAGAGCGTTTTGAGAGCTTATTCTCAAAATCGGCTCTTCTCCAATGCTGCTGTCCCATGTCAGCAGTGCCCAGCGTATGACAGATGCAGCTCCCTTAACACACACACCAGACCCTTGCCCAGCTCACGCTAATCTGCTTCCCTGATGCCGATGCTTGCTGGCTCCTGGTACGGACCTCCCGGGGCTCTTCTCACCCAGCTCTGTGTCACCCACTCTGCTGCTGCCTCTTTCAGGCCCCTGAGCACGTTCTGGCTCATTGTTTTATTTGGCAGGTTTTTATTAAATTCTTCTGTGCTAGGTACTGTTCTAGGCTCTGGTGATGAGAGTCACTGCCCCCGGCGGCTAACACCGCAGTGACATCTTCATGGAAAGTTTCCTCATCTCCATCCTGCCTCTCACTGCGCTCTGCGTTGGTCTGAATTTGCTGATTACTGTCTGCTGCCTGGCATGCTGTCCTTTCAACAGTGTGTGTCTTCCTCTTCTGCCCATATGACAGAGGCCATGGCTTTGTACTTTCATAGGCCCTGGCTCAGGGTCGTTAGTAGTTGCTCACTAGGTAACTAGGTAACTATATGAGTTCGTTGGTATAGTTAAAATGATAGCTAATTTGAACTTCTTTAATACTCATGGGAATCAAGGGTAGTTTTACATTGCAGGTTGATTTCCTTGCTTCTTAATTGATAGCCCTATGAAAGAATTAAGTTTCTCCTTCCTACTAAAATCCAGACACATTATCCACTATACTAAGAGTTATACAAAATTCACTTTCATAGTAAATCTGTTTTCAACAGAAAAAGAGTATTTTTCAGTCTAATAAAGAACCTACTATTTATGGTTCAGCCTTAGTACCACGGAAGTAGAACAAGCAGACCTTGTGTGCTCCTGACATAATGCAGTATAAATCTGAACTCTTCCTGCCAAAAAGCTGAACCTAAATCTAATCAAATCTCTAGAAGTATTTTTCATTCACAGAAAATATAAGTTATAGAGATGCAATCTTAGAAGGAAACAAACAAAAATCCAGAATGTGGGACAGAGCTCGAAACAATTGACCCAATTTCTACAATAAGTCAGTGGAATGAAAAAAATATGGGATTGTGGGAAAGAATAGGGTGTGGTAACTAGAAAAACCCTAAAAGATACAAGTATCATGCGCTAGTGTAGGCTTTATTTAAGAGCTGATTTGAACCATAAAAAGACGTCCATGAGCTGGTGAGGAAACTGATGATAGATCGCATTAGATGCCAAGAAATTATTGTCTGTTTGATTAGATGTGCTAATGGCACTGTGATTGTGTAAGGAAATTTCCGTACTTTTTAGTGGTTTTTACTGCAGCATTCAGGATGAAATGACTTGATGTCTGGGATTCACCTTAAAATATTTCAGCAAAGAACAAAGCAATGATGTAACAATGTGGCAAACTTTGTTAATTGTTGATAGGAATATTAGGGTTCACTAATTTTTTTTGTATATTTGAAATTTTTTGCACAATAAAAAAGTTTTTTTAATCTACTAATAATATGTTCTTTAATATTTATTTAGTCCCACCACAGAATGGTTTAATTTTGTGTGACATTGAAGTTCACAATGTCATGGTCATCCTGCAAGTGTGAAGTTGCTAGTGTCCAATTTATTTTTGCCCTCATATGTCCTAGTTTATTTCTTCCTTAAATCCTTTCAATAAGTCTTCTTGCTGTGTATACTAATATTAGTAGAAGTCAGGGCTGGAAGCAAACAAAGAGAAGAAAGATAGTTGTCCCAGGAGAATCCATATCTTGGTTCTTTACTGGAATATAATTCCCCAGTCCTCTGAGCAGAGCACCCCATCCCCCACCCTGGAGGTCTGGTACATTCCCTTCATAGAGATCTTCGCCCAGATCCCATGGGACCGAAGTGAGGTGTAGAAGCAGTAGAGTGCCTGGTTCCACCGGGCCCCTGCCCTCTGTGTACTCCTGGCTAGTGGGGAAATCAAGGTTGACAGTAGCAAGCAGTTAGGAAGATTTAGGAATGCAGAGTAACCAATAGGTTTTTGTTGATACTGGATTCTGGCAAAGAGGTAGGAGTTTCAGAATGGGAGCAAGCCCAAAAAGTAATTTTTAAATCATAAGATGATGGAGTGGAGTACAAAGCTATTCCAGGCCTGGGATATCCAAATTTGATTGATGTCTCCAGAGTGCAGGTTGTCTTCATACACGTCAACCTTGTTCTTGTCTGTGGGGTGAAGTGCTCCAAGGGAATGTCATGAGTGTATCAGTGTATGAGTGACCTGCTGTGTGTAAGTCACAGAAGTTTGTCTCCTTGGCAATTGTTCCCCAGGTGCGGTCAGCCTTGTGAGCTTCCCCCTAAAGCAATTCTCTGTTCCAGGGGAGGGAGTTCCCTGGCATTGAATGCTGCAGGCTTTTCGACTTATTCCAAGGAAGTTCTTGATTATGCTAAAGTTTTTTTTTCCCTTTGCTCTTCCGTCCCCCAAACTACCTTTTTAACTTGTTCATTTCTTTGAATCATTTGGGCCCTTTGCTTTTTCTTCTTTGTACATCTTCCAGTTTGTCAGTAGGATGTAGCTGGCACTTGTACGGCATGCATTGCATCTTCTGCTTCTCCATTGCGGGGATGGGGCAGTACTGTGAGATTGCTGCATTCCAGTGGTGCTTGTGCATTTCATGTTTTCCTTGACACTTCCTGTGACAAGGTCTCTCATGGGGCCAGGACGATACCCGTGGTCAGCGATGGAGGTTCCTTTATCTTTTAGGCAAATCTGTTCTCCTGGCAGTCTGGATTCTTGAGATATTGCTCACAGGTTTAAAGCATCCAGGAGCCAGGTTAGAATGATACCACAAATTCTTTTTCATTAGAGGTGGTTTGCTGTAGTTCTGTAAGGTCTGATTGCTTTAAAAGTCAGAAACTTAGGCTCAAGTCCCAGCTCTGTCACTGAGCCCTCAGTGTGACTTTGGATCACACTGGAAATTTTATAGCTGGAAAAGACCATCTAGGTCTTCCCTGGACTTCCAGAAAAGGAAACTGAGGTTTATAGAGGTTAAGCTTGCCCACTTCAGAGCTGGGCAGAGAGAATTCCAGCTTTTTGCTTCTAGGCGAGGGGACCACACCATACCTGCTCTGATCTTCTTCCTCCTCACTTGGGAAATGTGGATGACAGCCTATGCTCACTTTAGCAGTTGATGAAATTGTATGGATTGAAAGTACTTGGAGACTCTTTAAGGCATAAAGCAAATGTGCAGTCATCATTTTCTTGGAGGAAGTAAGTCTAAGCAGATAGCTGGGGCACCATCATCCTCTCCTCCTTTAGCATATGGGAGGGGAGTTGGAAGCACGCTTTCGTAAGCCATCATTGGAAATCCATCCCTTTCCTCTATTCACTTCCCCCTTCCTTCCCTTTCTGCAGGATAGGCGTGATTAATCTGTGGTACTGGGAAGAAGAGTTCACTGAGGTTTTTGTGTTCTGGAATTCGGTTTTCTACCAGCAGTGTCTTCCTAAAATATATTCCTCTTTATCTTGCTGAGATCATGATAAAATATAGAGCTTCTACTCCATTATCCATCTATTAAGAAAATAGAGAAAGCTGAAGAGACTGATGCCAGGGACTCCCCCAGGGGCCGCCATCTCACACTGACTCAGTGTCCATCTTGCAGAAAGGAGAGTTGGGACAGATTTGTCATCTGCATGCTTCAGTATTTGGGTCCTGTAAGCTGAGCGCCTGGATCAAGTGGTATGGTCTGAGGTGGGAAAGCAAAGAGAAGAGAGTGCTGTCCTTTTTCATTTGGGGCTAGTGTAACATTAAGAAATTTTACTTTATTCTTGGCCGGGCGTAGTGACTTAGGCCGGTAATCCCAGCACTTTGGGAGGCGGAGGCAGGCAGATCACTTGAGGTCAGGAGTTCAAGACCAGCCTGGCCAATGTGGTGAAACCCCATCTCTACTAAAAATGCAAACATTAACTGGGTGTGGTGGTGTGCACCTGTAATCCCAGCTATTCAGGAGGCTGAGGTAGGAGAATTGCTTGAACCCAGAAGGCGGAGGCTGCAGTGAGCTGAGATCACGCCACTGCACTCCAGCCTGGGCAACAGAGTGAGACTTGCTCTCAAAAAAAAAAAAAAAAAGTTTATTCTCAGTCAGATCATGTAAATAAACTCCATTCTATTGTTTTAGAATGATCATGACCAAGAAGAACCCAAGTTACTTATAACAGCTCTTTCAGTAAAAGAATCGCAAAATAATTATCATTGACATTATTTAAAACTCTGCGGTAACATCTGATTGCATCAGTGTCGTTTAGCAACAGGTTGACTCTTAAGTCGGACAAGTTCATTTATACATACGCAGTGTTCTTGTTCATGAATCCTTAAGAATAATAGCAAATGCTGTACATCAGACTCTTGTTAGGTAATATTCCTGCACCCAAGGTCTCACTTTGTGGAAGTGACAGTGGAGATAGAAAAAATGTTATTTCCATCAAAACTGAGAAGGAAAACAATCCTAAAGACTAGCAGTAACAGATGCAAGAATGGTGTGGTGTAGTAGAAAGAGTCCGGGATGTGTCATCACGCAGACCTGGATCGCAGTCTCGGCTCTGCCCTTGTGAGTCATATGACCTTTGGCAGGAATTTAACCTTTCTGAGCCTTAGCAGTCAGCTAGTGGAATGACAAATAGCCCAGTAAGGACTAACTCAGACCGTGGTTGAGAACATGTTCCCTATTCAGCTTTGTTGGAAGTGGCCCTAACTTGGAAAAAACCTACTTTGCCCAGTAAAATTCCCAGCATCCATGTTCTAGTCTGTAGTCCTTGGACATTGTCCTCCCTTGATCCCCTGCCAGCGGCTCCTCTTACCTAATGGCCCTGTGTCATGTCCCGTCACTCAGACATGCAGGGATTGTGGTTCTGTCTACTGCACCCCAGTTTAGAGAGGGACAGTAAGTGGGATTAGACTGCTGTGGAGTGGTCACCAATGTGGTCTGAGTGGCTCCACTTTTGCCCGAATGCTTTCTCCCAGTCAGGCCGCTCACCTGTCCATTTCAAAGCGTATTGAAGTTGGACCTCCATAAGCCAAGCAGGTGTGTTGGGGAATGAACTGGAATCTTTGGTGGCAGGTCTAGAATGCAGAGTAAGAGAAATGGCAGAGCCAGGCAGAAGAAGGATGGAAACAGGAGCAGACACATCTGTCCCATCATTTCCCCAGCAACTGTCAGGCCTCGGGGCCTCAAGGAGAACTGTTCGCTTGTAAAAGCAACAGCAAACACGTGAAGCATGAACACACCCTTTAAAGTCTCAACAGTTCTGTTGAGACCATCTTAAATTGATGATTGTATTCAAATATAGTTAACAGCATAAAACATAAGTTTATGTTTATAATAAAATTATTTAAGTGAATCTGTTACTTTTTGCAGGTACTCTGTCCAGATATAGATTCCAAATACACTGAAAAAAAAAATTGACAAACTAGAAAACCTTTTTTTAAATACTGTGTTTTATTGAAATAAAATTTAAATATTATAATACAGATGATCAGTTTCCCAAGAAAGTAGGAAGGGTTCTTACCTCTAATTTCCTTGCTGTGAAAGTGTACGTGAGTACAAACTCATTTTTCTAATATCAATTCATTGCTGCTTGTGCACAATTTGGGAAAACTGATTATTTTCTGAAAAGCTAACACCAGGAGGAGCTACTAAGCAGTAATTGATTCACCGCCTCCAGTTCTAAGCTGGCAGAATCACCCGGTGGACTTATTAGAAATGCATATTGTAGGCTCTGGCTCGACACTAGAAATCAGCATTCTTAACAAGCTCCCAGGGAATATGGTATGTAATTTCAGAAACAGTGACCAGGCCATTAGACTGAAAATAATTCACCTTTTCTGAATTTAGAAAAGGTGTCTCTACCTTTTGAGAGAGTTGCAAAAGTAATTGAGGAGGAGATGGAAAGAGTTTAGTTTTACCTGGCTTACTGCCAAGAGACTTTCCTAAACGGCCATCGGTGCAGCTTTTGAATTGCCTGGTTGGCTTTTTTTCCCCAGGAGTCCTGGCTACATGTTTGACTGATAAAAAGAAGTTATTTTTCTCTTCTTTAGTAATTTCCACTGTTATATTTTCTTTTATATATATCAAGTGGAAGTGTAACTTCATATTGACTTCTGAAATCATGTGCTAGTTAAAAACTGGTAAAAATAATATGTTGCCACAGTCTCATTCTGATTTGTTTCCAATTACGTTTGAGGGAAATGGATTTGGGAGGGCCTGGAAGTCAACTTGAAGTAATAATTTCTCAAGGCTGGAGCCTGTGCTGCTCTCATTATTTCAGCAGCACACATGTGAGTATGCATACACGCACACTTCAGTGGGCATTTAATAAGCATTACCCAGGCCACATGGACTCTAAAAGAAATGCAGTTAAGTTTTCAAAAATGTTGGCTGAGCAGTTTATTCAAAGGCAGCCTACCCGTGTCCTACAAACATCCCAGAAACATGTGTGTGGATGGGGCAGTTCCAGGATGGAATCTGTCTCCCCGTCTATTCCTCACTTCTAGTGTAGCTGTTACTCCTGAAAAGTCAGTTCAGTACTTCATTATTTTCTTTAAGAACACTTGCTTTATTTCTGATAGAGTGAAGTAGTAAGCACTGTTTAGCTCATCATTTAGAATGTCCCACCTGCATGCATTGGTAGATGGCTGAGATTCTCCTGACATGGTTGTGTTAGTGTAGATTTCTTCTCTCCATCAGACAGTGGAGAGGTCACTAGTTCCTGCTGTACCATTTGCTAATTCAAATTTTTGAATAAATTATTTTGAATTATGAGTTAATACATCTCTGTGACTGAAAATAAGCTGTTTTCTTTCTCTTCAAATTATATGAAGGTATGAAAAGGTGGTTTGAGGCATCTTTTGCTGTGATGATGAAGTGCTAGAAATAAAGTGAATTTCAGGCACCCCTGGTGGTCCTCAATGCTTAGGTTTCTTCTGAATCTGATTCAGGGGTCCTCTTTTTATTTTGAATAAAATAGTGGCTTACATATATTCCTGAAGCTGCAGTAATCTACATGACTTAGGCCCTGTTTGTTTTTAGAAAGTTGTTTCTGTTTTTTTGTTTTAAACAACAATATTGTCTCCTATAACCATGTGTTCAAAACTTTGAGATCAGGAGAGGCCACTGTTGACTGTTTGAGGCTCTGCTAGCAGGCTTGAGCTAAGTGCAGTAGAAGTGTCTTCCAGCACACCCTTTCTGTCACACAGTCAGTGGCTTACTAACAACAGTAATGCCTTGTATTTGAGGGAGCTTTTGGTTTTTAGAGTGCGGTTGAAACACTGTTTCCTTCTAGGTCCCTGAAACACCAACCCTGAGAGGTAGGAACTACTCATGAGGAAGCTGACAAAGGTTAAAGTAACCTGGCTGAAGACTCAGACTAGTGAGCGTGAAGACCCCTGCTGAAAAACCAGGCCCTTCTCCCTCCACGGCAGCAACACTCTCCGTCACCCGCTTTACTGTACTGGAGGTTCACGTGTGTTACTGGGTAGGGGAGACAGAGAGTGGATCAGCTTCCATTCAAGCTGTGGGGCTGTTTCTTCTGCTTGGTTCTTACTGTCAGCATTGCTGTAGGGCAGAGTTTCCCAAAATGTGTTCCTTGGAACCATCAGTGTTGCTGGTAGATGTTTGGGTTGGGAGGAGGGGAGTGCTGATAGTTGTCATTGTCACATGCTCAGATACATTTGGGAAACACAGATTAAACATGTAGATATTTAACAATTTTTTTCATTGCATCCTTCTTAGAGCCTTTTATATGGTAATGAACATGGTTCATCTCTAAAACTTAATGTTACTTTTTTGACTGGAACCCTTTTTTTTTTTAACAGCTCTTAGTATAAGTTGAGGAAAGCTACACAAGGTTACTAAGGGGAAAAAATCGCAGATAAAAAATGTGGGCAGAGTAATGGATTCTTATCACCTGTCTGGAGTGAGCAAGTTTGTTTTCTAGGACTTCCCATATTTTAAACATTGTATCTTTTAAAGGAAATCTATTATCAGAATAGAACTAAACAAAGAGAACAGCAGCCCGGAAGGCATGCCTGGCCAGCTCAGTCCTCCTCTCATAGAGAGTTCTTCATTCCCTTTCCCAAGCTGCTCTCTGGAAGGGGGAGCTGATGGCTGAGTGAGTCTTAATGGTAAAGGCTGGATACGAGAGGTAGAAATGGAACTCATCGGATTCTTGCGGGTGTCTCTACTCTGGTTGAAATTAAACAAATCGCACCTCTTTTATTGTCCATTTCCCCCCGGGGATCCTGTGCCTTTCGCATGCCTGGAGTCTTTGACTTCAGATGGAAGTTCTTTTCCCCCAAGCTGCCCTGTTTCTTGGGTTTTGCTCACAGTCCCTTGGAAGCCTCTCTTATCTGAGCCAATCAAGCTCCTTCCATGCACTCAGCAGATATTCTCTGTGCTCTTCTAAGTCATTATCTGCGCTTTTCAGAATCTCCCATCCCGTTATCATTTGAAGTGACTGGTTCTCCAAATCTCTAAGCTCTTTCACCACTTGGCCTGCAAAGTCATCAGCCAGTTCGCTTTTTGAAACACCTGTACCTTTCTTCTGTGACGATAATAGTTTGTCTTAAACCACCTTTAGGCAACTAAAGCAATGGCTCTGTTTTATTCATCCATACAAAGCTTTGTTCAGTTGAATGGGACAGAAGCTTAGGCATCATGAAAAAAAAAAATCAAATGGGATTTGTGAATAGGGCCTTTTTGTTGTTTTTTGCTAACTGTCATAATACTTGGCATTCCGTAACAGAGATTTTGGTTTAAAAAGTGAGATCACTTTACTTTTGACTTTACCTATTTAGGTAATACAGTATGCTTTGAGAGTCTTGGGATTTTTTCTTACAAGCAGTGACTATAAAAATAAGTCATAAAGTCACAAGTTAAAGACTTTTATTGGGCTGAGGCAGGTGGATCACGAGGTCAAGAGTTCGAGACCAGCCTGGCCAACATGGTGAAACCCCATCTTTACTAAGAATACAAAAATTAGCCAGGCATGGTAGTGTGTGCCTGTAGTCCCAGCTACTTGGGATGCTGAGGCAGGAGAATCACTTGAATCCGGGAGGCGGAGATTGCACTGAGCCGAGATCGCGCCACCGCACTCCAGCCTGGGCGACAGAGCAACACTCCGTCTTGGTGTGGGGGAGAGAGACTTTTAATTTTTACTTAAGGTGACGTTGATTGTTAAAAATTTTGCTGGCATCTTTAGAAAGGACCCTTTCTGCTTCATTGATTAGAGCAGCTAAGAAAGACAGCCTGGGAGCAAGCCAAGCCCTCTGTTTGTAGCCAGGTCAAAGACATTGCTATGAACTGAACTTGGCAGAGGCAGAGGTTTGATAATCCTTAGCCCTGGAGATTTGGTGAATTTTCTTACTTCGATATTAGGATTTTCACCCAACCAAGTGATTTGTTTTTTGAATGAATTAATCTTAGAATTTTGCTTTTATAAAGTCAAGAAGCTTTTGGATTTTGTCTTCTGATTCTCTGAATGCATACCCACTTTCTAGATGAGTATAATATTTGTCCTTTTTAAAAGTATTTGGAAACGTGAGGTGTTCATTTCTAGCGTCACCCTCCTTTATCACCACCTGCATTCTTCAGCAATGTTAAATCTCTCAGTCTGACACAGATGGGAAGCTTGCCCTGAATAAATACAGTAGATAAATGGTCTTTCTGTTCCTGGGAGGAATTCAGAGCACTTGTTATATTGATGTCACTAAAAACAAAATGCAATCTTAAAAACATACATGCACTCGGATTTTAGTTTTAAACCCGTAAAAGTCTAATTTGAACGCATCTTCCCACTCATTTAAAAGTAGTAACAGCAGCTGAGCGCAGTGGCTCATGCCCGTAATCCCAGCACTTTGGGAAGCCTCGTGATCGGACGGATCACGAGGTCAGGAGTTCGAGATCAGCCTGGTCAACATGGTGAAACCTCGTCTCTACTAAAAATACAAAAATTAGCCAGACGTGGTGGCAGGCGCCTGTAATCCCAGCTACTTGGCAGGAGAATCACTTGAAACCAGAAGGCGGAGGTGTTGCAGTGAGCTGAGATTGCGCTAGTGCACTCCAGCCTGGGCAAGAAGAGCGAAACTCCGTCTCAAAAAAAAAAAAGGTAGCAACAGGCGAAGGGTTTGCTCCTTTTTACTTTGTAATACTGTTCGGATATTTTAAGTCAATATATGATGAAGCTACTTTTTGTGAATAAACAAAAGTTACTTTTCTGTGTAGGTTAACGGAAATATTTGAAATTTTAAGATCTGTATGTTTTAAATGTAATTTAAAATTTTATTTTTAAAAAATTGTAATTTAAAATTTTAATCGTGATAGATTACCAGTGATTGAGCATTAATATTTTGGTTCATCTGAGCCCATTTCTAAAAATACCCCTTCACTGCCACTTCATAACGTTCTCACTTTTGAAGAGAAAAATTAATGAAGAGAGTTATTCTGGTGACGACACCTGCTTAGCAACTAGCAAGTCCATTTTTTAAAACAGTTTACATTTGTTCAAATTTAAAAACATTCCTGATCTTTGAATGTAGTTATCTTCTCACACAAATGCTATGTTGAGCAGCGTAGCTTTTACACACCCCAGTGGAATTATTTTGTCGCCTCTTTGAATCTGTTACTAGATACTCATTGCAATATTTGTTTGAAGTTTATCTTGAGTTAAATCTGTACAGGTCATAAGGAATATACTAAGAGGCTCCTCAGTGACTCATGTTGTCATGATTTGTTACAACAGCATTAAGTGTATTCATGTTGCTGCTTTGACAGAGATCCCTGAGGCAAAATGGTTTGTAAATTCACTATACTTTTGTTTTTCAAGTAAGGTCTTTTTTTTTTTCTGGCTATTGAAATTAATGACCTTTAATAATTAAAATTAAAACAAATGCCCCCGTTCCAGCGGACGTCTGTGTCCTTTCTTTAGCATTAATTCCTTAGAAGCTTTTTGGTAGAAAGGTAATGGTCTAGGTCAAGCTTGTCCAGCCCATGGCGGGTGGGCTGCATGCTGCCCAGGGCGGCTTTGAATGTGGCCCAACACAAATTCGTAAAGTCTTTTAAATGTTGTGAGATATTTTTGCAATTTTTTTTAAATAGCACATCAGCTGTCATTAGTGTTAGTGCATTTTATGGATGGCCCAAGACAATTCTTCTTCTTCCAGCGTGGCCCTGGGAAGCCAAAAGATTGGACACCCCTGGTCTAGGTGAAAACATTTGGGCAAACTAAGCTCAGGAGCATAACTCTTGGCTCAGAAGAACTTGTCAATAATAATTTGGTTTGTAGACCAGTTAATTGAGCATTATGTAGATAATATGCTTGTTAAAATAGTTTAGAGGATGCAGACACTAGGAGTTACAGACTTGGGGGCAGGAGCTCTTCAAGCTTACACTTCTTGAAGCACCTCAAGCGGAAGATCATGCTTTCGTCATCATGTGTATCTACCCCTAGCAGAGTGTTCGCGCATAGTAGGCACTCAGTAGATGTTAGCGAGGGTCAGAATGGCACGCCGGGAAACACGTTCATTTGGAGCAGGATCTAGCAAATCCATGGAAGTGGCAACAAGACAGTCTGGACAAGGGCTGAGGTGCAGTGTGCGGTCAGCTTCCACCTGGAAATGAAAGCTGCTTGACTGGGAGAGGTAAGGGGGCATCTCAGATAATGAGATGGTGTATTGTGTATACTCACACTAACTAACATAGTAAACATTATGAGCTAAGTAATTCACACAGGTGACAGCTATGCCATGAGGAATACAATGTAGACTGCTGTTTATCACATCACAGCAATTAATCGTGTCCCTGAAGTAGTTCTTTTTTTCCTATTACAGTCACCTATAGATACAACCATTTAATCTCAAGATGCTAAAAATACCTTTGCCAGAGTACCGGCGGCGTGTATGTGGTGTACCATCTGCAAGCCTTTCATGAATTCCATTCCTGAGAGTATTTCTGTTTGTTGTAAACTGCTTTACTTCATCTGTTTCTCCCAGAACCACTCCTGAGTGATGGCGGGTGCCAGGCGCTCTTAACCATGGACTGTGAAGAAGAGGCACAGTCTGTCCCTTCAGGGAGCGCACAGCGTCACGGGGGAGGGACGGTCAATGATTTTGATGCGGTTTGGTTAACTGTTGAGCTGGAGGCAAGGTGTGCACGTGGCCCCCGGGGCATCTCCCTCTCAGGTGGGTTCCTGCCCTCCTGGAGGAGGTGTTGTCCTTGCTAGTCCATAAAGGACAAAAGGGTCAGTAAGAGAAGATGCAGGAGGATTTTCAAGCAGAAGTAGCAGTGGGTGTGGACGTGAAGTGGAAAGAGGGCAGAGAGGAACCTGCAGCTGCAGGCCCATCCAGCGCGGAGAGTGCATGGAGAGCGAGGCCAGCGCATCTGCGGGGCCTGCTGTCATCCAATGAGAGGATAATTCTCTAGGTCTCTAAATAGCTGGACCTTTATCCAGAGACTCAGACTCCAATAGCTGATCGTAATACAGACAAGCTCCAGCGCTACCCTTGCTGGTCCTGAGCGGGAGAGAGGGGGCGGTCCTGGCCAGCACGGAGAGTTAAGAGTCTCATCACTGCCAGGTGTAACTGGCACCTCTGTGGAGAGACTGAGATGGGGCATGTTGTCCTGGGGGTCTCAGGGCCTTCAAAAGCTGCACGCTTCTTGTCAACCTGGAAGAGGGCAGGATGTCTCCCCGCTCCCAGGCAGGAACCGCGGCAGCACCACAGGCCAAATGCGAGTCCTTTGCCTCGCGCAGTGCTGGAGAGAGGTTGCCGCCACCACCCTGGCGTCTCTTCCAGGGTTTATAGTTTGTAGTCAGACTCTCTCTAGAAAGCCAGGGGGCCAGCAGATCGCCCAAGCACATCAGCACCCGCCACAAAGATGGGGGCTGGAGCTCCCCAAACCAAAATAACCCACCAGTCCTTTTAAAAGAATATAGCTATGTTTCCAACTTTGCACTGAAGCCTAAATTCTAATTGTAGCTTCACAAGCAGGTTTCAACAGTCCCCTTTATTCTCAGTTGGAGTTTACCAGCTGGCATGCCACAAGTGGATTGTTGGTGGTCCGAGGGGTTGATCCCCTCAGCCCTCGTCACGGCCAGGAGCCTGGAGCAGCTGCCATCCCTAAGCTGGTCACTTCATACTGTGCCTGCAGTGACCCAAGGATGCTGTGTACTGAGCATTTGCGATGTGTGCTTCCACCGAGGAGGGACGGGAGTCACTAGAGGCTTCAGATGCTTTAGCTGCAGCTGGATGTTGAAAAACAGAGTCTTGTTATGAATTAATTTTGACTTTTCTGGTGGGTGTTGAAAAATAAGCTGAGGATCTAAAAAGGGGGGATTTTGGCTGGGCATGATGGCTCATGCCTGTCATCCCAGCACTTTGGAAGGCTGAGGCAGGCAGATCACGAGGTCAGGAATTCAAGACCAGACTGGCCAACATAGTGAAACCCCATCTCTACTAAAAATACAAAAAATTAGCCAGGTGTGGTGGTGCGCACTTGTAATCCCAGTTACTCGGGAGGCTGAGGCAGGAGAATCACATGAACTTGGGAAGCGGAGGCTGCAGTGAGCCAAGATTGCGCCTTTGTACTCCAGCCGAGGCAACGGTGGGATACTCTGTCTCAATAAAAACTGGGGGAGGGAGGGGGATTTTTTTTTCCCTGAGAGCCCCCATTAGACATCTGCAGGGAGTATAGACTGTTTGTTTTGCGTGTACTTGAGAGCTTCTGGGGCTTTGAAGTATGGGACGGGGCTGGTTGCTTTTGCATTTTAGAAAGATCCCTTTAGCAGCAGAGATAAAGCACTAAGAATGAAGAGGGCAAGGAGGGGCCAGACTGAGGCAGGCAGGTAGAGGTCGCTGTTCCAGAGGATGCCAGAGCCCGAGCCTGAGCCTCAGCCTGAGCTGCTCAGTGGTGGCAAGACCCAAAGAGAAAGGGGCAGCTTGGTGGAGTCATGTTGGGAGGTCGAGGCCCTGGGATTGGGGGCTGACAGTATGGACCAGTTGAGGCTCCGACAGCTTGGATGGATGGTGACACGGCTCCTGGGAGAGGAGCGCACGGCAGGGCAGACGTGCAGATGGGAGCAGCTCTGGATGTGAAGCCTCTGCTGGCTCACCCTTGCTTCCTCCCCCTGGCTTGCCTGTCATCTCATCGCTCGTGCTGTTAACTTTTCCTCCACATCTGACCTGATGCTGTGAGGTCCTTCACTTCTTTCATGTACTCATCAGTGCATGTCAGAGCCCTCTCTGCCATCGAGTTGTGACTTCCTGAAAAGCCTCTTTTGTTCTCATTTGAACACTTTTTCTGTCATTTGCTGTGCTGGAAGACTTTTTTATTCAGCCCCGTTAGATCGCTTACAGACACAAGCCGGTGGGGTGTAGTTGGGGAGGAACCTTGAGAGAAGCATGGGGACCTTCTGGAAGGGAAAGGGATGAGGAGGGAACCTGAGTCCTGAGAGTGAGTGCAGACGGCGCCTCCACCTGTGTCTTGTCGAGATGAGGGTCAGGACCTGCCGCTTGGCTGTGACAGCATCCTGGCCTCCTGAATGCAGTTGTCCTCACAGAGAGAGCACTCTGCCCTAGGCTTGTAGGGTTTTTTCGGTGTGAGTTTTTAATTTCAAATATTTTTAAATTATAAAAGCAGTACCTGTCCACTCTAGAGAAACCATGACCTGTACATAGTACATTAGGAAGAAGGGGGAAAAATCCATGATCCAAACAGCCAGAGATAACCACAGTGAAAAGCTGGGCACGTGGAGGTGTGTGTGTGTGGTCTCAGTGGTGTGTACCCTTCCTGTCTGTCTCAAAAGCAGGGTCATCGGATACGGACAATACTGAACTTGAAAAACAATTGAACACGTTTTGTCTCTTTAGCAGCTTGCGTTTTTGGCTCTGCCACTGGGCCTGTGACATGTGTTGTTTATGGTCCCTGTGCTATTTGAGGACATTCCTAAAATGCTACTCCTCTGACCACTGCCCTGTCTACATTGCAAGGGAGCTCCCCTCTGGACAGAGGCTAAGAAGAGTAAGTTCTGGAGACCTAGCATACAGTATGTTGACCACAGTTAATAAGAACACACTGTGTACTCGAAATTTGCTAATAGATTAGATCTTAGGTGTCCTCATCACTCCCAAAGGTAACTGTGAGAAGTGATGCATGTGTTAATTAGCTTGACTGTGGGGATCATTTTGCTATGTATATGTAGGTCAAAACATCACATGGCACACCTTAAACATAGAGTCTTCCTCTGTCACTTATACCTTATTACATCTGGAAAAAAAGGATGCTCGTCCAGCATGGCTCCTCATCTCGCTGGCCCATCTTCTGTCTATGCAGGGTCCCCTCAGTTACACTGTAGTTACATGGTCAGTTACCGTCAGCCTTGGAGAAGGTGGGAGTCTTTTATTCCTGCTCCATGTTCTGTCTGCCTATGAGATGCCTGCTCATCCCGTGAGGGAAGGCGCTGCAGCAGGAGGGAAGGGGAGGCTGGCAGGAAGCCGGTACTGGGCTTGTCCCTTTCACGCTCCCACAAAGGGCTCTGCTCTTCAGTCCCCACCCCCACCCTCATCCTGCTTTTCCTGAGCTCCTCAGTTCTGGTATTACATAATATTCCTGTTAGGACCAGTTCCTGTTTTGCCAGGGAGAGGAATTGTGACTCTTTCAGGGAAAAACCCTGTTCTAACATTAGTAGCGGTCTCTGGCGGCCAATCCATGATCTCATAAGGGAAACCCACCGCTTTGCTGTCTGAGTCAGCGCACAGATGGGGTCACCTTTCTGCCTTGGTTGGCTTCCTCTCAGCCTTGTTTTTCTGCAAGAGTCCACGATGATTTCTCCTAGGATAATGGAACTGCCAGGCTTCAGGTAGGCCACTTTCTGTGACCACTTTCACTTAGACACAGATGCCTTAGGTTACTTACTGTACTCCAGGAAGAACTCTAATGATATTATACCAATAGATATACATTCACTTTTTTTTCCTGTTTTTTTTTTGAGACAGTGTCTTGCTCTGTCTTCCAAGGTAGAGTGCAGTGGCACGATCTTGGCTCACTGCACCCTCCACCTCCCGGTTTCAAGCGATTCTCTTGCCTCAGCCTCCTGAGCAGCTGGGATTGCAGGCACATGCCACCATGCCCAGCTGATTTTTTTGTATTTTTAATAGAGACAAAGTTTCACCATGTCTTCAACTGCTGGTCTCCAACTCCTGGCCTCATGTGATCTGCCTCCCTTGGCCTCCCAGAGTGCTGGGATTACAGATGTGAGCCACTGTGTCTAGCCTACATTCACTTTTTAAAACTGTTGCTTATGGAGAACTTTACATGTGTATAAAAGTAGAGAGAATAATAAAGGAGTCTGTCTGTGCCCAGTACCCAGCTTAACAATGATCAATTCGTGGCCAGCCTCATTCCAGCTGTACTCCCACCCCTCTTTCCCATTACTGAAGCAATTCCTACACATCACATCATCCTATCTGTATGTATTATATATCTAAAAGATAAGGACTCCATAACACACAGTCACAGTACTGTTATCACACCAAAAAACATTAACCACAGTTTCTCAGTATCATCAAATCCAGTCAATGTTCAAGTTTCCCCAGTTGTCTAATAACTTTTTACTTTGAATATGTATTTGAATCTAACAAGGTCTGTATATTATAGATTAATTGATAATGTCTTTCAGACTTTCTTAACCAATAGGTTCTCATTCCTTCTCTCTTTTTTCTTTGCAGTTTATTGTTGAAGTCACCTTGGATTCCTTGTCTTACAGAATTTCCCATGTCCTGAATTTTGTTGATTTCACCTTCCCAGTGGGCTTTAATGTATTCACTTCGTAAAGAGACCGTACACTGACTCACTTTAACCACATAGATTACCATCCCTGCTGAATCCACATTTATCCTTAATTTCCCTTGTGTGGCTTTTTACCAAAAGGTAAATGGTTCTTGCCATCACATAGCTTACAGTGTAATCTGAAAGATAATAATATTGTAAACTCTTTCAAAATACTAATGTCAAATAGAAGATATGTCAGCCAAGCATGGTAGCTCACGCCTGTAATCCCAGCACTTTGGGAGGCTGAAGCGGGATTGCTTGAGCCCAGGAGTTGGAGACCAGCCCGGGCAACCTAGCAAGATCCCATTTCTACAAAAAATTTAAAAATTAGCTGAGTGTGGTGGTCCATGCACTTATAGTCCCAGCTCCTTGGGGGGCTGTGGTGGGAGGATTGCTTGAGCCCAGGAATTCGAGGCTACAGTGAGCTGTGTTTGCGCCACTGCTCTCCAGCCTGGTGATAAAGCAAGACTCTGTCTCTTGGAAAAAAAACAAACAAATGTGTGTGTGTGTGTGCATAAAATATGTGTATGTGTGTATATATATGTAAATACATTTATATATATAATATATCAAATATAGACATTTCTGCTATTTATGCATTCATGAAAAATATTTTACAAAAATATAAAAATAACAGAGCTCATGGGAAAAATTGGGCAAGAGTCAAACTGTTAAAATGTATGTCGTTTTACAACCAGAATACTTGTTGCCTACCCCTCCACACACACAGTAATTGTTCCCTCATGAGATAATTCACTGAGATCGGGGGGCTACTTGGGAGTCTTAAAAATGTTCAAAGACAGTCGAATAGACATGCTCCCCATTAGGGGTCCACAGTGGGGTGCAATCTGCCACTAGCTGAGGGCTGTCTGGGGAGAGGCGCTGGGTGCAAGTGCAGTTTGCAGGTTGGTTCCTGGGAGTTGGCCTGCAGAAAGTTCCTAGGAGTGCTTTCAGGACTGCTTTCTGGGGGAGCAAGAGGGAGGAAGCAAGATTACACAGGGAGAGGATTTGGCCTGCAGTATACACTGAAGTTTTCAGCTGACTCCACAGGGAGCTCTTCCCAACTGCCCCAGATCTTTGGAGGGGGCAGAGTCTTTGTGCCCCTGCATTGACCAGTCACAGGGTCCAACCGTGTGGGGTGAGCCCTTCTGGGGCGTAGCTCACGCTTAATTTTCCTAAAGTAGGCTGGAGGGGTCCTGCCTATGCTGCAGCCACGCTGAGACTTGGGACTTTTTCTTTCTTTCTCAGGGTTATAGTTCTGCTCACACTGTCTTGGCTCCCCTTGCTTAGGAAATGTCACGTTTGAACCGTGCAACTCCCCACTTTTACTGGCACCATTCCCCTGTTTACCAAGACAGCCACGCTACTTGGTGTTGTAGAAAGAGCCAACCATGCAAGAGAATAGGAAGGCCTCTTCACTTTTGTATTGGCTTCAGGAAGGTATTGATGCCGTTTATAGACCTAACTCTGATGCTCAATTATCAGGTTTGTCAGTCCCAAGAAATTCACCTAAAATGTAACGTCTCTTTAAATATATTGGCAAGGAAGTGAACAAATGATTAAGAATAATTTTTTAAGATAACAAGGCATTTTGAATCGATGAAAATGTGAAAAATGAAGGATTATAAACCAAAGGCACTAGTGGATCCACATACAACCTGGATGTCCTCAGTGAGGAAAGTGACTGCCTCCCTTTTACTCACCGTGGTCTAGCTCTGCGCTCGCCACATAAACTCCCTTAATCTGGTAGTGATATACGCAGTCCAGAATCTTTTCAGGTAGCTAATCCTTCCATCTTTAATTTGATTTTCAGGGTAACAAACCTAAACACTTGTCTAGCTAAAGAGAAAAGAACTATTCTCAGTACACTATTTGTGTTCCATTAGAGTATGTAGTGTTTGTTCCTTACATGGAGTGGGGTCCTGTACACACGTATATGTTGGTATACATACACAAGCAACAGACCTCCACATACTGGGTACTTAAAAATCGGTCTTTCAACACAAGTTAGTTCAGTGTTGTGAAAAGCATTTGTATTTAAGATCTTTCTTATTTGAGTTTGGGGTTTAAGAACTTTTGTTCTAGAGGAAAAAACAGCTTCAACCCCAGCTTATTGTTCAAACTGTCCCAGTGGGATTGCTATAATAAGAACTAATTGTAATTAGTACAACAAATGTTTGTATAAGTGAGTGCTATCCTATTGCTTGAAGCTACCTGAAAGTGTTTTTTATAGTAATTTAAATAAACATTTTCCTGTGCCTTAGGAGTTCTTTGTAATTCAAACTGTTTATAATTAAGTCATTTGGATAATTTATCACCGAAGCATGATTGGATGGAGTCTAAGAATCTTATCTTTTCGTAGACTGGTTCTAAAGTAAAGTATTAAAATAAGATTCTGATGGGTTAACTTGCTACGCCAATCCTTCCATAGAATAATGCAAGAAGCAGCTTAAACTTAGCTTGAAGTTAGTAGGATTTCCTTAATAGCTGTAAGTGTAGTTTAGAATATCTCTTGATGCTTATCTGTCTTTAAATTGTAATCTTATATAATTCCATTGGAACTACTTTGTAACAACCAGAAATTTCTGTTTAAAACACAATCTTGAACTAGCTTAAAACGTTATGGGAATTTTCTAAAAAGAAGTTTTTTTCCTTGGTAAGATTTAAATGATACGCTCTTTATGTTTATTAGGGATCAGAGTGCTGGTAGGTTTTTCTGTTTCTGAAGGTTCTGTTAATTCTTTTCTGAAGCCACCTGAGCCTCTAGGAAGTTCACTCAGAGTTTGCATGTCTTCGAACAGCGGGCAGTCTCTGCCAAAGAGCACGAGGCTGAAATGCTTTAGTCTTTGATTTGTCATCTGTTGTTCTTTGACAAGTTTATCTTTTCTGCATCAAAAAGGCTTGCTTTAAGCAAAGTACTAGCATTAATGACATCCCCCCTTCAGTCACCTCTGTCCCCTAACTTTAGTCCAGGCTCCTTTAATTCACGTTCTGACTCTTAAAATCACATGGAGGTTTTAAATTTTACCTGACTGGTTTTGAAGCATTTTGTGGGCCTGAACTCCAAATAGCTTTTTAACAAGTGCTTAAACTTACTTTATGCCTTTCAGTAAACTAGGTTTTGTGAGGTTTATTTTTCTGCAAGCAGAAAAGCTAACTTAGGAAAGCTACTTTGCCTAAGTAAATCTGAACATTTCATGTCAGCACCCTTTCTAAAAGGAACATAGCTTTTATAGGAAATTGTTGAGTAGACTTTGGGAATCAGTGTAGTTAGTTTTCTTTTATTTCTAGGTAGCGCTGAAACTTGTAAGTAGAGTATCAGCTTTAAAATAATGTATCGAATTCCGATTCCCAAATTGTTAAAAGTTTTAGATTGGATTTGTGTGCCTGCTTACTTTGTGATCCTAAGGAGAGCCACTTATAAATCTTCTAAAATGTGTGATGTGCTTTCTAAAGTAAAACAGTGATATTATTCATTTAGTTAAATCAGTCATTTCGTTTTAGATCAGCCTCCTCACTCTCATCCCCTGTGTCCTCCCTGCTATGGAGATCTGTGTGTTATTATACAGGCAGAAGCATGACTTTCACATTATTTTGTTTTTTAATGGACCTCAGATACTCTAAATTGGATTAATCATGATGCATGACACATTATCATCATTGGTCAGAGTTTAGTTTAGACTCTTTATAGGGATTCTTACAAGGCTTTAACCACTGTTAGGCTCATACTGTGGAGGCACCTTCTTAACATTAGTGAATAAAATCAGCTGTCTTTGAGTTGAAGTTACAAGTGATTCATAAACAGAGCCTACTTTCTAGTCATCTATGTCTTAAAATGTTAGGATCAGGCTTGAATTGACTCAGTGTCTTTACACAAGGCTATAGTCTTAGAATGACTCCCTTCAGGGTAATATCTCATTATTTCATAGTTCTGAGTAATAGTACTTTAATCATTTTCTTCCTGTTTCCCTCTCCCCTCCAATTCCTTTTCCTACTTAACTCAGATGTTTTTCTTGCTACCCAGTAGCATTATTGCATGACAGATGATTAAATGGGTAAGGTATAATCCCTGTTCACAACTTCATCAGGAAGTCTGGGACATTCACAGTCAACTGGAGCAAAGGCCTTGAGTGCTGTGCCAGAGGACTGGGGGCATATGTGATGCAGCGCTGGATTCAGCTTGCAGAGATCAAGGAAGATAACCTTTGTATGTGTCTTGAAGGAGCAGCAACTGGCAGGTTCAGAGGCTTTCCAGAGAGAAAAAAAGACCATATCTGCAAAGACACGGGTTCTTGAAAGCACAGGTCCTTTTGGGGAACAACAAACACACTGATGGCTAGTCTGTAAGTGCTCCAGACACTTCTCCTTTCTGTGTTACTTTGAAACAAATCCATCCCAGAAATCACTATTTCATCCACAGGTATTTTAGTACTTGAGTATTTATCTCTAAAGGTTAAGAGGTTCTTTTTTAAAATGTGTAACTCCAGTGCCATTATACTCTATAAAAATTTATAGTAATTGCATACTATTAATAAGTGTTCAAAGCTCAATGTTCATAAATGTCATAAATTTCAGTTTTCTTTACATTTTCATGGAATTAAGATTCAAATAAGGGTCACACGTAACAATTGGTTGATATATCTTTTAAATTTCTTGCAATCTATGGAGTCTCCCTCCATATTTCTTTCTGTTCCTCTTTCATTTTTAGAATGAAATTTGGAATGTGTGTTTCCCCTTATTAGTAGATTACTCTGAGGAACAGTGCATATAGGAAAGACAGAATAAATATTTATATCCTTTATTTAGCAATTTCCAAATGAGGAGGTGCTCTAGCATTCTCCAAAGATGACTGGAGGGTTTTCCTTTTTTTATTATTCGTGAATTGAAATGTTTGACGTTTCAATGCATTGCAGCTATTATCTTTATTGGTGATCAAATTTTCCATTTCTACCCAGTGGGAGTCTGGCTCCTGAGTACTTTTTTTTATCTGGACAGATCTCACTTTGTTGCCCAGGTTGAAGGGTAGTGGCACCATCTCGGCTCACTGCAACCTCCGCCTCCTGGATTCAAGTGATCCTGCTGCCTCAGCCTCCTGAGTGGCTGGGATTACAGGCGTGAGCCACCACGCCCAGCTAATTTTTGTATTTTTAGTAGAGACGGGGTTTCACCATATTGGCCACGTTGGTCTTGAGCTCCCGACCTCAGATGATCCGCCTGCCTTGGCCTCCCAAAGTGCTAGGATTACAGGCGTGAGCCACTGCGCCTGGCCTCTGAGTACTTAAAAAAAAAAAATTTTTTTTTTTATCGAGTATATTTAAAGCTGTACATGTTATGAGTTACATATATGTAGTGACATAGTTACCCATTTTCCCTTCATGGCAAGAGCAGGTGTAATCTCATTTAGTGAACCTCCTGACACAGTACACTGTTATTAGCCACAGTCCCCACACCATACCTTAGATCTGAAGTGCAGAGAGCTAAGGTACAGTGTGGGGACCTACACACCTGCTACTTTGCATCCTTTGACCTACATCTCCCCATTTCTATCCCCCACCCTGCTCCAGTAACCACATTTTATCTTACTCTCTATTTCTATTCCATCTTATCAGTGAGATCATGCAATGTTTTTCTTTCCTGTCTGGTTTATTTCACTTACCATAGTGTCATCTAGGTTCATCCATGTCGTGGCAAATGGCTGGATCTCCTCCTTTTTAAAGGCTGAGTAATATTCCACTGTATACATACATACACACCACAGTTTCTTTATCCATTCACCTGTGGACAGACACTTAGGATGTTTCCATGTCTTGGCTATTATGCAAACTGCTGCGGTGAACATGGGACTGCAGGCATCTTCACAAGGTGATTTGATTTGCTTTGGGTATATTTCCAGAAGAGGGGTTGCTGGGCTATACAGTAATTGTATTTTTAATTCCTTTGGGAACCTCCACACTGTTTTCTTTGAGGGTATGCCAATCTGCATTCCCATCAGCAGTGTACAGGGTTCCTGTTTCTCCACACTCTTGCCAACACTTATTATCTCTTATCTTTTTGATAATAACTCTCCTAATGGGTGTGGGATGATATCTCATGATGGTTCTGATTTACATTTCCTTGATGGTTAGTGATGTTGAGCATCTTTTGGTCATGTGTATGTCATCTTTTGAGAAATACCTGTCCAGCATCTTTGTCCATTTTTTAATCAGGTTATGTATTTTCTTGCTACTGAGTTGCTTGAGTTCTTTTTAAGTTTCAGATATTAACTTTATATCAGATACATGGTCTACAAGTATTTTTCCCTAATTTGTAGGTTGCCTTTTCATTGTGTTGATTGTTTCCTCTGCTGTGCAGAAGCTTTTTAGTTTGATGTAGTCCTGTTTACATATTTTTGCTTTGGTAGCCTGAGCTTTTGGTGTGATATCCACATTATTGCCAAAAGCAGTGTCAAGGAACTTTTCTCCTGTGTTTTCTTCTGGGAGTTTTATGGTTTTAGGTCTTATGTTTAGGTCTTTAATCCATTTTGAGTTGATTTTTGTATATGTTGTAAGATAAGGTCCAATTTCATTTTTTTACATGAGAAACCCAGTTTTTCCAGCACCATTTATTAAAGAGACTATCCTTTCCCCATTGTGTCTTCTTCATGCTCTTGTCAAAAATTAGTTGACTATAAATGTTTAGATTTATTTCAGTTCTCTAACCTGTTCCATTGGTCTGTGTGTCTGTTTTTTGTGCCAGTACCATACTGTTTTAATTACTATAGCTTGTAATATAATTTTACATCAAGAAGTGTGGTGTCTCCAGCTTTGTTTTTCTCTCTCAGAATTACTTCAGTTATTCGAGGTCTTTTGTGGTTCCATGTGGATTTTAGAATTGTTTTTTCTATTTCTATTAAGAATGCCATTGGGATTTTGGCAGATTACATTGAATCTGTATATTGCTTTGGGTCATGTGGACATTTTAATAATATTCTTTTAATTCATAAGCATGGAATATCTTTCCATCTATCTGTGTCCTTTTTCGTTCATCAGTGTTTTATAGTTTTCAGTGTACAGGTCTTTTACCTCCTATGTTAAATTTATCCCTAAGTATTTTGATTTTTTTTTTTTGATGGTACCATAAATGGGATTGTTTTCTTGGTTTCTTTTTCAGCTAGGTTTTCATTTGTTTGGGATTTATCCTTGGCGTGCAAGGCTGGTTTAACTGTGTAAGTCAGTCAATGTAATGCATTATATTAACAGATGGAAAGACAAAACCACGTGATCATCTCAGTCAACACAGAAAAAGCATTCAGCATCCTTTATTGGTAAAAACTCTCAACAATTTAGGTACAGAAAGAAAATTTCTCAACAAAATAAAGGCCACTTATGAAAAACCCATAGTTAGTGTCATAACTGATGGGGGGAAGTGTGAAAGCTTTCCCTCTAAGATCTGGTACAAGACAGGGATGTCCATTCTTGCCATTTCTGTTCAACATAGTACTGGAAGTACTATTAAGAGCAGTCAGATGAGAAAAAGAAATAAAAGATCTCTGAATTGGAAAGGAAAAATTAAAATTATCTCGTTTGCAGATGACCTGATCCTATATGTAGAAAACCCCAAAGACTACCAGAAAACTGTTAGAACTAAATGAATGCAGTAAAGTTGCAGGATACATGATCAACATACAAAAATCTCTGGTATTTCTATACACAGATAATGACCTGAGTACTGTTGAGATGACCCTAAGTGGTATTTAATAGCTTCCTTCCAATCTAGTGTAAGAGTTTCCAGGTCCACTGTGTACATTTTCTGCCCCACACTTGGAGTCGTCCCTTTCTCCCTGATTCCTTTCTTTGTGGTAAGTGATATTTAGCGACACAGTCTAGGCGTTGGGGTTGTTCATTTCTTCCTAGATTGGTCTTCATTTGTAGGCCTTGTTACATGTATAAAACTATAATTTCTTTATGATAAAATATATCCTGAGTTTATAGTCATATTGCCAGATTAGATTTAGGACCACAAGTACTTAACCCCACTCATCTTTTATCTTTACTTCCCGACAGTAAGTTTCCTGGAATCAACAGGTTCCAGAAATAAAAGCATTAAAATATCACAGTACTCATTTGCTTATTTCCCATTATACACACAATAGTTACAGAGTAATGCCAATAACTTGATCATTTTAAAAAAAGAGAGAGAGAGATTCAGAGGGTTTGTTTTGGGTGTGTGGCAGTTCTTTTTGTCTTTATGTATTTCCCATTCAGTCTATACAGTTAAATTATTATGTTTTCAGTCATCTGGAATTTCTTTTTGTGTGGCTCTTCACCAGCTAGTTGCAGAATCAAGTTTGTTTCATTTCACTTTTAGAAATTGCTTTTTTGAATTTGATTTTGTTATATGTCCATTGACTTCTGTGTTCCATATTTTATTCACTTCGTTATTTTATACATTTATTCTTGGTTCTGTGGTTTGAACTTTGCACGGCCTTTAAGTGGAACCTGACACCCAGGATCTTTCTTCACAGTGGTCATCTCACTGTCAGACTCTGCAGGGCTTGCTGCTTACACATAATCCTTTAAAAAATACGGCTAGATTGTAGGCAGTCTTAAAAGTAAACAAAGAAAATACATCCATACTTGGCATCATTTAGGATATGTTATTTCTCCGCTACCCTCCATTCCAAAATGGAAGCGTAATTTTTCTAAACCTAGGAACAGACATTCCCATTTCAATCATGTGATAGCTGGGAAAGAGCTAACCTCTCCTCCCAGAGGCGCTCTGCAAGCTAGCGTCCATAGTGGGATGCTTGCCAGGCCCTCTTTTCACTTCCCTGCTATGCTTTTGTCATTTTTGCAAAAACTTACATGGGTAAAAGCCCACCCTCTTGGACAATCTGGGACAAAACAAAGATTTAACTATGAGATTTAACAAGAGAACTACTCATTTTATCCAGATAATGGAACTATCTGTTTAAATAGCCCTTTCAAAGTAAGTTCAGCAGAGCACTAATTTCATGGGATGCCAGTGGGTGTTTACCAAAAAGGGTTCCAGGATCAAATAAATGTGGGCCATTCTGAAGTTTAACAGCAGCCACGTGTCTCAGATGGTGATATGCATTGTGAATCAAAGGGAGGAATAGCACAGGTTTGTTTCCCAAACTTACTTAGACCATGAATCCAGCCCAGTTTTTCATAAAACAACATGCTGGCATTGGAAAAGTGCTCCGTTAGAAAGTAAGGCTGCCTCTCACTTGAACCCTACAGGAGATACATGAGACAGAGAAATGTGTTAACCTATGCCACGGGGATACATTCAGCAAAAATCTGATTATGAGAGAACTTTACAGGACAAATGATTTGGTTTCATAGACAACAATTTGCAAAAACGAGAGGGATGTTCAACCTGGAATATCAATTTAGCATATTTATATTGATATTCCAGGTTGAATATCCCTAAATCAAAAATCGGAAACTCTTCTGGTCCTAAGCATTTCAAATAAGGGATACTCAACCTGAACTTTCATGAGTTCATTATCAATAACTGAGTCCATAACTAAGTTAAAATTTCCCTGCTTATTCTAGGTTTTTTTCCAAGAGTTATATTCACCCCCTCCCTAACCCAGCCCCCAAAGACCAGGGTTTCTAAAGAGTGTAATCCTTGGATTCACAGATGTTATTTGTTGGAGAACAAAGCAGCTCATCGATGCCATTCGTCTGTATTTGGAGGAGTGTCCCATAGCCTCCCTTGTTCCTTTGCACTGTGAGGCGGATTATCCCGTGTGAGCAAGTGTGTCCTGGCCCCAGGAGATTGCTGGGTGTGCAGATAGAGGCTTGCGTGCCTGTGGAAGGCACCCGCTCTGCAACCTGGACCCCGCAGTCTTTCCACGGAGTATCTGATAGCAGATCCATCCTGTGCTACGTGCCCAGGAGCCAGTCGTACAAGGCAGTGACGGGCAGGGTGCGAAGCAATGAAAGTGGTGGTTCATTCTAACCAGAACGGAAGTCCTTATAAAAACATCTCTCCTAGTTGCTACAGTTCCAACAGAGATGCAAAATCCATGTGTTTTTTAAAAAAAAGGCAATTTTGGGGGGACCAAACCATTTTAAGATACATGAAGAACCTCTTCTCTTTCCTTTTCTCATTCTACACCCTGCCTACCTCACTCCCTGCAGTCCCCAAGCCACTCGCACACCCAACCCCCCTTCAACTAGCTTCGTTCATTGCCAGCCATGGTGCTGTCTGCTCTGGAAAGTGGCAGGAAAAGCTGATAAGGTGCCGAGGACAGAATCTCTGGTCTTATCTCGCTCTAGCACATGGTGCCGAGAGTGCATCCTTTTCCTGTCCTAGGACAAGAGACATAAACTGGCCATCTCCCGGCAGCAAGGACTTCAAACGGGGCTTGGGCCTGCCTCTGCTTTCTAGAGGAGCCAGAAAGGAGAAAGTGGGTCATGACTTTTTGAGAGTTGTTTTAGTACCAGTAAAAATTTATGTCGTCTTGTAGATCAGCAAACATAACTTCATAATAAGACACTCATAAAGAAGAAATGAGAAAGCAGTGAGGGTGAGGGCAGGGCCTGCCAACACACCCAAGGGTTGGAAGTTGCTGGGCTGTTTTGTTTGGTTAGAGCTTCACCAGGACACGTTCGGCCTGAAAGGATTAGATTTGGCTTTTTGTTTGTTGACAGATGAAGCAAGTGGTTTTAAGAGCTTTTGTGATAGTAAGAAACTGACATACATATGGTCTAGTGCAGGAGAAGAGGAGGAAAACACTGGCTTATTTTTCCTTCTGTCCTTCTCTCTTGCCAGGAAAGCAGAAATAACATTCCTCCCCAGATTTTCCTTCTGTGACATCATGAAAACAGGAAGAAGGGGGACCTTTCTTTGGGTTGCAGTGTGGGGGAAGGGTTGGCGGAGAAGGCAAAGCTCTGCGTCTCCAGCGTCTCCAGCCGTAGTCTGAAGGGAGCAGGGTGGCGACTCTGGTGACAGGTCTGGGCAGCACCATCCCGTCCCTTGCTTCCCCTTCCTCGTGGTCCCTTCCTGACCTTACGACGCAGAGCTGGAAGAGTGGGCAGCCTGAGGTCATCATCAGCCGTTGTGAGCCTCAAGAGGACCCAGTTAGCAACTTGAGGCGGGAGTTCAGTTTTGATTCTGTGTTACCATTTTTGGAAGAAATTGGTTGGCTGTACAATTCTGACAGCCAATTGCTGACATTCCAAAGGTTAATGACAGTGTTAAGAATTATATATATTATATAATGTTAAAGACCAATTTTTATTTGTTTGTTTGTTTGTTTATTTATTTATTTATTTATTTATTTATTGAGCGGAGTCTCACTCTGTTACCCAGGCCGGAGTGCAGTGGCACGACTTCGGCTCACTGCAACCTCCGCTTCTCAGGTTCAGGAGATTCTCCTGTCTCAGCCTCCCAAGTAGCTGGGATTACAGGCTGCACCACCACACCCGGCTAATTTTTGTATTTTTAGTAGAGATGCGGTTTTGCCATGTTGGCCAGGCTGGTCTCAAACTCCTGATCTTAGGTGATCCACCTGCCTCGGCCTCCCAAAGTGCTGGGATTACAGGTGTGAGCCAGCGCCCCCAGCCCAAGACCAATTTTATTCTCGAAAGCTTTTGCCTTCTCCTTTTACTGAGTGCTATGGACTTATCTAGGCTATAATGAATGCTAGAATTGTGATGGACCTTAAAAATGTAGCTGTTGATTTTCAAAGTGGATTCCATAGAGTTCTAGCATCCCCAGGGGCTTTTACAAGGGGATTTGAGGGGAGGGTTGGGACATGAGCTTTGGGTTGCCCCCACCCCGCTGCAGCCAAAGCTTCCTGAGATGTTGTACAGATTGGCCTTCTGTTTAAGATTGTGTTTGAAGAAAGTCATGTGAAAAAACTATGTTGAAAAAAGTTACTGAGGAGCCCTATTTCCCTGTCTTGCAAATGATTGCATTTGAGGCCTGGAAAGGCCGGTGACTTGTCCTAGATCACATGTTCTGTCAGTTGTGCTTCCAATCTTCTGACAGCCAGGTCATTGCCACTTATACTATCTTAAATTGAGTACCCGTTTTCTGTCCTTTGCTAGCTGATATTGTATAGCAGTGCCACTCAAATTATGGTCCATAGACAAGATAAAGACAGAAATTAAGAGTAAGCATTTAGAAGCTTTTCTAGTAGTTTGACAATATTTTAGGACTTGGGTTTTAGATGTCTTTTTTAAAACTTCATTTTTCTGCTAACTTTTTTAAC
Source organism: Homo sapiens (assembly GCF_000001405.40). NCBI lineage: Eukaryota > Metazoa > Chordata > Mammalia > Primates > Hominidae > Homo > Homo sapiens. The sequence goes on from NW_018654717.1 coordinate 2,571,596, forward strand.
TTTATAAAAATCTTGCCCTGTAATCCTGTAATGGATTCAAAATTTTTAAAGGCAAAAAAAAAAAAAAAACAAAAAAAAACCCACAAAACAGACAGAACTAATCCTTTACCCCTGATAGTTTGAGAAGCAGCATGCTGGAGGGCATTGAATTTCTGGTGGTTGGGTGGGTTCAGAACTGCAAGCAATGCTTTGTTGCCAGCGAGGCAGGTCTTGCTTCAAGAACCTTTTTGGATTCTGAACATGCAGGGAGACAGTCTTTCTTGTACTTTTTCACTTAAGTTTTCAATATATTTTTTGTTTATAAAATAAAAACTTATAGCTTGTGTAAAACAAGAGAAGAGGTTATAGGATTATATATTTAATAGCAGTAACAATTTTTATTTTTTATGAGCTCCTTGGAATTACAGTCTCAGTGTAACTGGTTAGGGTTTTTCTTGAGTAGAATTGGCTTTGTAGTTGGTTTGTTGTTGTTTAGTTTTTGTCTATGCTAAAAATAAGTTGTGCCGGTATATTGCCTTTTTTTTATTGTGATAAGAACACTGTCTGATGTATTATTTTATATCATTTACTCTTTTAACATGACTAATTTCGGAATTTTATTTATTCTTACTAATTTCGGTATCTTTTAAACATAGAATGACTTTGCTTTGCCAAATTTACTCCTAAAAATATTTCTCAAATATTTTTATTTGCTACATTGATTTCTGGTGAAAGAAAGAGTATGTGAAAATATTAGCCTTAAGTAGTTTATAAGAATTGAAAGAAGAGACTTTTTTTGTTAGTCAACTATATTCACCTAATTTACCTTTCTTTTATAAACAATCATGACTACTTAATTATTCCATGTAACTATGCATACCCTATTCCTAGTTTCAAAATAAGTATTTTATTCTCTAAAAAGACCTTATTCGGCTGGGCACGGTGGCTCACGCCTGTAATCCCAGCACTTTGGGTGGCCGAGGCGGGTGGATCACCTGAGGTCGGGAGTTCGAGACCAGCCTGACCAACATGGAGAAACCCTGTCTCTACTAAAAATACAAAATTAGCTGGGCGTGGTGGCACATGCCTGTCATCCCAGCTACTCGGGAGGCTGAGGCAGGAGAATCACTTGAACCCTGGAGGCGGAGGTTGCGGTGAGCCGAGATTGTGCCATTGCATTCCAGCCTGGGCAACAAGAGTGAAACTCCGTCTCAAAAAAAAAAAAAGACCTTATTCTTTTTAGAAATTAGAAGATTTTACATTTAATAGAATCTTCAAGAACTGCTGTGCTTTCTATAGTAAGGAGCCTACATTTGAGTTGTCATGGTTCTTCAGCAATTTTCACCTCTTCCTGTGGAATAAAGATGGAAGAGACAGAACCCTCTGGAAGCTTCTGCTCTGTTCTGTGAGAGGCCAGTGCTGGGTCTCAGCTGTTTATCAAAGCTGTTTGTCCTGCCTCTGGAGAGCAGGGGAGAGAACGATTTGACCTGGAATTATAAAATGCAGTCAATTTGGATTATTTTTAGACATCATTCACAGAAGTTGAGGCCTGTGTCACATTGATCATCTCCAGCTCTGGAGGAGCCTCGTTTATCTTCCATGGCCAGTGTGTCGGGAAAGTTTGTCACTGCAGCTTTCCGAGCCTGAGGGCCTTTCAGGGAGGCAGGAAGCCTGCTCCTCTTTCTCTTTCCTCTTTTTCCACAGAGGCTGGATGACTCTTGTCAGTGATCCTGATGTTGATTACTTGAGAAGCTGTTGCCATAGAGAACCATCCTTTTAAAACATGTTTATGTCGGCTTTTCCTAATAAGTGGCAATCGGAATAGCTGGTTAGGCATATGGGAAAAAATAAAAATAAAAAGACATAAAATTAACAGCTCTGTTACCATTGGCCTTCATATGAGGAATTTGGCATTCTGTGTATTTCTCTACTAAAGTCCAGCCAAGCTATTCTGTCCCTTCTAGTTCGTATTATCTTCTCCAATGTCCGGTGTGTCTGAGTTTGTAACTTCCAAGCGGAGTTCTGATGCCTGATATTAGAAAGGTATCTCTGCATACTTACTGGGTTGCTGAGAGTGCTCTTTGATGTCACATCACTTTTTAAACAAATTTTTTCTTTACTGTCTTTTGCTACTCAAAAGCAGGCAGCAGTTAGCAGCCTCTCTGCTGCTTGCTGACACAGTTCAGAAAGGTAGGCATTCTGTCGCTGGCAGGAGACAGAGCTTGAGGACTTTGTCAAAGCCCAGCGTCCTCCAGTTCCATACGTGTATATATGTACATGTGTGTATATAAAGGTATATTGTGTGTGTGCACTGGAAAAGCACCTGCCACTTCCAAAAGTCAGCCGTATTGTATTCACAGTCACAGAGCCGATTTTATAATACATTTATTCAGTAAATATTTACTTAGCACCTATTGTATGTACTTGTATAATGAGAAAGAAAACAAATTTTCACAAGATTTTTACTGAGGAAATTCAAAACTTTAAGGACACTGGTATTTGAAATTCATGTAATTTTTACATGTCATAAAATAGTTTTTTGTTTCCTCCTAACCATTTAGAAATGGTAAAAAAAAAAAAAAATCATTAAAAACTAGGCCCACGGCCATAGTTCACCAGTCTCTGTTCTAGAGAGAACCCTCTGGAACCCCTGCAGAGTGGGCTTCTAATACATGCCACAGGTTCTTACACCTGTTTCACATGTGCACGCACACACAATTTCTGTGTTTTCCAATTGAGTTGCTGCATAATTCTCATTCTGTTATTATATCTTTGCTTTTTAATACCACTTCAAATCACAACTCTCTTCAGTCAATGGGGTTTTATATTTGTTTTTGACTCTTGTGATACTTGCTAATGCTAAAACTGATTGTGTCTCCCAGGCAAATTCCCCGAGGCTGCTCATTGCCGAGACTTGGTGCGTTTAGCCTAATTCCAGATGTGAGCGATGAATGTCTTGAAAAATGTACAAGATTTCACACTTGAAAAGCTTTTTGTGAGTGTAAAAATAGCTGTTCATCAATAAAACACTGGATGTTTTCAGTTACATGGAAACCACGAAGGAAAAGCATGAAACCACAGAGGTTCCATAGAGAGAAGAGCAGGGCCGCCCGCCATAGTGGCTCAGGGCAGGCTTTCCAACGAACGGCCGTGAATCACTGCCTAGCTCAGCCTTCAGTGGCAAACCCATTTCAATGACTCCCTAGAATCAGCTTGCCCAGGTTGTTTTCAGCTAAGATATAATGTAGGCTGTGCCTTCACAGCTTGCTACCAGAGGCTGCTGGTGGAACTTCCATCCCACTGCTGTTCTCCAAATGAGCTGCTTACCTTTGTATGTGGTATGCACGAGAACTCTCTTCTCTTTACCAAGAACAGTTCTCTTCTTTAGCAAGAACAGTTCAGTCTCTACTGGCATTGCTTGTGTTCAACTAATCCCACAAAAAGAACGTGGCAGTTCCCATACCACACAGTACCTTGCTTTTTTCCAATTGACTTGTCCCCTCCAAGGCAACTGTGGTAACATGTGGAATGACAGAGCAGAAGGAGAAATGGATGGATCACTGGACTGAGTTTCTATTTATTGCTAAGGGCCAGGAAGGAACTGGCTGACAGCAGACGACACTCAGATGTACTCTGCAGTAGTTAGAGAAGCAGTTTGCATCACGAGGCAAGGGAAGGTGCTATCTGATGAGAAGGGGGTGGTTTCATGTGGATGGGAGGAATCTGCACTCAAAATGCTGATTCTCTTCTTACCCTCCCACACCCCTTCTGGACATTAGACCTGCCTGATGTGCAGACAAGTTCGTACTGACAAACACAAAGCATTTGGGGCCAGTGGGTGGTGGTGGGAGCTCTTCACAGCCTTGGTCCAGCTGGGTTTGGTGTCTTTGTGCCTTTGTTGAGCACTTACTGTACCTTGTTCCTCATTAGGGAGGTTGTGGATTGTATGAATACAAATGAAACATAAATGGCCCCTGTCCTCAAGAAACTTGTTTCCTTGGGAAGATGCTAGCAAAGCAAATTAAACAAATACAGAAAATAGAAGCAACAAGTTGCTATTATGGGGAATAAACGAGAAAGGATGTTCACTTGGGATTGGACTTGTGGAAGGAAGCAGTCACACACTTGATCTTCAAGAAAGTGATGCACGGGACTGTGTACAGGGGATGTGGAAGAACATCGTAGGCCAGCATAGGGAGTGACTGGGTCAGTTCATCCTGCCCCTTCTGTTGGAGGAGTTTAAAGTACACACACAGCTGACGGTGGGGTCTCCACAATCCCTTTGTTTTGAGGAGTCACACACAGTCACTTCCTACCTGAAGGGATACATGAAGACATAATTTGTGTTTGTCAGAACTGCCCCACTGAAAAGTTTGGAAAAGGTACAGAATGTTCTGTCAAACCACTCACTTGCCAAGCTTTCTTAACTTTTCACAGACTAACCCAGCACAGGCTGATGACAGACAGGCTGTGGTGGCAGTGAGCATTTGTTCATCACAGGCAATAGCCATCAGGGCTCACAACCCCAGTTGCTAAATACATTACCCTTGATCTCTGGGAGTCTACTTTGTTAACAAAGTTCATTGAAGGATTACTGTTGCAGCATGACCTCCGTGTCTTAATGTGGAAATAAGAAAGCTTCCATCATCCTGTCACTTAAGATCAGTAGTGATGTATGAGCAAGGCTGGCGAGCTGAAAGACTTGCCTTTGAAGCCCATTTCCTGGACTGGCATGTTGATCATAAGTAGGGGGATTCTGTAGTAAGGTGCATCTGCTTCTGGTACTTCACTAAGGTCTCTGTGCAAACTGCTTCATTTCCTTGCCCCAAAAGATTCTTTTGAGAATAATGGAGAATCCTCTCTATTTGGGCATTGTACTAATAATCCATCTCAGTATACATGTTTGAATGACACAAGAGCAAAGTCCTCCATGAGCCCAGAGGATCTTGCGCAGATACTCACTCATGTAGCTGCAGAGTCTCCAGATGGAGGATCCTAAAAGAAGCAGAACAGACTTTAATTCTGTAGACATCCGAGAAGAGTTGATACATGTAGCTTCAGGCATCTTTCAGGGACCGGAGAGGACTGTGGTGTATTGTAATTGATACCCGCAGGGACTCTCTGCAGGGTCAGCTTGCCTTTGTGCCCACTCTTTGTTTTTTCCTCAGTGATAATTTGGAATTGCCAGAGATGGCGTTAAGATTCTCCAGCTCTAATCGTGACACACAGTGTACGCCCATGAACCACCTGAATTGACCTGTTGCTGATGAGGAAACTGAGTCAGAGAACCACAGCAGCCACCTTTCCATATTGGCAGTGTCCAGGTGGAAGCTGTCCAGCATCTGCCCAAGAGGGCTTCTTGCCTGGGTGGAAGGTTTGGACTTGGGTTTTACTCTGTGCTTTAAAACAGTCAAACTTTTTCAAGTGAATGTACATGCTAGTTTGATAAATTATAAAACTCTTTTAAGCCTGGCTTCAGGCTGTTTTTTATTTATATGAATTGCAAACCAAAATGATGTAGTTTTTTTCTCTTTTGAAAGTACTATTTCTGTGGATATTTTTTCTGCATCAGTCAACTTAGGTGAGTGTAGACCTTAGTCTCTGGATTATGTGGTCAATTGATACATACTTTAGTTTTGGGGTGGCTTCTGAAGAGAGAGGAAAGGTGACAAGGCAGTCCATGAGGTGGGAGCTAGGAGTCGGGGTCCTGTGGTACAGGGAGCAAGGGCTTTGCACCTGGCAGCCTTAGGGCTGTCTCTCTCCTGCTGTGTTCCAGCTGTGAGACCTTCTGCGGATTAAGTGCTAGGAGTCTCACTCTCTGCCTGTGTGATGTGGAGAGGATGCCTCTCCTCAGGTTGCAGCAAGAGTTGGCTGAGATGCCACTTGATGTCAAGTGCCTGGCACGGTGGTGATAGCTGCCTTCCTCAGGACACCCAGGCCTGATCACTTTGGGTGAAGCTTCCTCAAATGATTGAGCAGGGTGATCCCATGGGCCTGGCTTTAAACTCTCAGGGCTCTGTGAACTGGGGAACAGGTGCTCCAGAGTCATCTCAGTTCAAAGCCACAAGTACTTATTGATTGGGTAGAAATTAAGGCCCACTTACCATTTGGGAAAGTCAGTCATCAAATGTTTTTGACACATGTGATGCACTCATTAGCGCTGAAGGAAGGGAGAGGACTGTGAGGCTTGCTGTGAACAGACTAGGCCAGTCCTGCTTATTTTATTAGGCTGGTGCAAAAGTAATCACGGTTTTTGCCATTAGTGGCAAAAACCTCCTTTAGCTGAACAGCAAGCATTGGAATTTGAAAAAGAGAGAGAGACATTTCCCGAATCCCTGAGCTTAAATCACATTTGGCAAGATGATTAACCATATTTCTTGGTAGTATTTTATATGGAACCAGAAGTTTTCAAGTTACTCTTAAATTTGTTTCATTAGGTTTTGGCACACAGTTAGCAAACAGACATTCTCAACGTTTATGAAGCAGTGAATGTCGCATTTAAATTTTTTTTTATTTTATTTTTTGAGGTGTATTGTGTGTTTAATGGAAATGTGGGAAAATGCAAGTTATTGTCATTTCAAAATGCTTAAAAGTAACTTGTTTTCTCAATACTTGTTTACTTTGATAGAGACCAGATGTAAAAGCATTAGTTTTCTTGAAAAGATGTATCTATTTTTATGTGATGCCATGGTCAAGAATGCAGAAGCAGGATTAGAATCTCTGCAGTGAAACTGAGTCTCCGACTTTGGTGTATAAAAGATGAGTCCTGGCCATTGCTCCTGCAGGAGTCAGATTTTCAATGTATTTTTCCTTTGAGTCCATGGTCTTGTAAAATAGGCACGTTTCTGTGATGTGGGAGGGTGGCTACCCCCGCATTAAGCAGCTCTCTCTAGCCAGTCATTGTGTGGCCAGCACTTTGCTGGGAAGAAGTAGGACTTGGGTGCTGGCCCGTCTCTAGCCTGTCTCCATGCCCTGCCAAGCCTGTGCAGTGACCCGTGCCTATTAAACTTACATCCCAGAAGTTGATGATGAGCATATGAGCATACTTACTTTCTGGAGTTACGAAGACCCGCTGAATTCAACAAGTGACTCAAAAATGGTCTTGTATTTCCTGATAATAAAAAATGTGATTAATACCAGCAATTAGTTCCGGTGATTAAAATCAGGAATTCACAAGGTAATAAATAGATGAGCAAGGTAAGGAGTCATAGGATTCGACTCAGATCTGAGTTCCAGCCTCAAAAATACATTCCAAAAGAGTGGCCCACAGACTGCAGGCTCCTGTAGTGCTGCGAAACTGTCAGTGAGACTTCTGTTGCATAAACGAGCCAGCCGTCGTCACCGAGCCTGTCTCTGTGTGGCTGTGAGGGTGCCTGGTCACCGAGCCTGTCTCTGTGTGGCTGTGAGGGTGTCTGGTCACCGAGCCTGTCTCTGTGTGGCTGTGAGGGTGCCTGGTCACCGAGCCTGTCTCTGTGTGGCTGTGAGGGTGCCTGGTCACCGAGCCTGTCTCTGTGTGGCTGTGAGGGTGCCTGGTCACCGAGCCTGTCTCTGTGTGGCTGTGAGGGTGCCTGGTCACCGAGCCTGTCTCTGTGTGGCTGTGAGGGTGCCTGGTCACCGAGCCTGTCTCTGTGTGGCTGTGAGGGTGCCTGGTCACCGAGCCTGTCTCTGTGTGGCTGTGAGGGTGCCTGGTCACCGAGCCTGTCTCTGTGTGGCTGTGAGGGTGCCTGGTCACCGAGCCTGTCTCTGTGTGGCTGTGAGGGTGCTTGGTCACCGAGCCTGTCTCTGTGTGGCTGTGAGGGTGCCTGGTCACCGAGCCTGTCTCTGTGGCTGTGAGGGTGCCTGGTCACCGAGCCTGTCTCTGTGTGGCTGTGAGGGTGCCTGGTCACCGAGCCTGTCTCTGTGGCTGTGAGGGTGCCCGTCTTTGGGGGGCAGGATCTTTCTTGTTCATGAGCCTGGGATTGGCTCGTGCCGGGAGAGCCTTGAGAAGATCCTTCACTCTGCTGTGCAGCATTTCAGCTCTTTTTCAACATTTGAAGAACAAAAAGACAAATCTCCTGAGGCAGATTTTTTTTATTTTTCTCAAAATCACCCTATGGAATTCCAGCACAAATTGAATAGTAATAGATAAAATTAAAACTGCTTCCCAAAACTCAGTTGATTTATTCTTCATGTTCTGCCTATTTTGAAATTCCAGAATTGACCACATGATTTTTTTTTTTAATGTACCCCTTGGTGAAAGCTGTCTGAGGCACTTGCCACTGAAGGCCCAATTGTCCATTGATACATATTAATATCGATTCTGCTGGAACTGCAACTGGGACATTATCTTGGATTCCACTGAGGTGGCTTTTGAGGACCACTATGTCGAGACAATACAGGGTCTGTTTATAGGTGGTTTGTAATTCAGTTACCTGCACAAGCAGAACCTTGCCAGCCAAGTTTAGGATCATTAGTAGAATCCTGATTTGGAGATTTCTTTATTCAGGAGCCGTTTCCCACCCTCCCATCATGAAAGCGTAGAACACCAGCCTCTTCTTGTGAGATAAATGAGTATGAAGGAAGAAGTTGGGTGACTATGAAAACCTAAGTTTAGCATGATTGCTTAATGACTTATTTCCAGAGTCTCTGTGGGCAGAGTTGCTGCAGACATTGATTTGACTCCGAGCATATTCCTTATAGTCTTCAACCCGAAAGCACTTCCTGCCTCACAGGCACTCCTCCTCACCTTACTGCCAGCCTCAGCCCAAATGGCGATTCCAGCATTTCATTCTTTATCCCAGCCTCTCCCCTTAGGAATTTTCTCTCGCTTCTCAAGCTTTACAGCAAAATGTACTTTTAGATATATACATTTTTCACATTTTTTCTTATAGCAGATATTACCTGACAATGAGATATACTCATTTAAAATTAAAATCCTAATCCCAGCTGTTATGTGTGAGTAACTCACATTTAAAAACAGCCCAAACACAGTCCCGAGTATACAGTTTTTGTTAGGGAAGGAGGGGGCATTTCTCTACTCCCCACCCCCAGCTGAGGGAAAGAAGCCCCCAAGCTGGCCTGTTGGTTCAGGGAGGAGGCTGAGACACGCGGAGTCTCCACTCTGCCCTCCCTTCAGGAGCAGCTGCCAGAGCGGCCACGCTCCACCTTTGGGGGAGAAAGGGTGCCCCCGGCAAGCCAGGTTCCAGGGTGGAATGCGGCTCCTGTCCTCATGGAAGGTTAACCTATCCAGATGGCGTCTAAGTTTCTAGATCAACACAGGGGCCCATGTAACCCATAATGAAGATGAAATCGGTGTCTAACAAAATCACCAAGCTCTGGAACACCAGTGTCCCTGTTTCTGATGGGAGATTCTGGGAGCTTAGTCACCACAACACTTGTTTCTAGGGAGACATTTACTCAGAATTCCATCGAGGCGGCTTGCCTGCTCCCTTCTGACATTAGCTTCTGCCTGTCATCTACCACCCCACCTGGTACCCAGCCGGAGTGTGTGGCCGCCTTGCTCCGGGCCTGCAGTTCAGGCCGACCAGAAGGGAGAGAGGCCAAAGGGAGCGTGTCACTCAGCCTTGTCTCCTAAGTGCCGGGTGTGGGTGCCGGGTGTGAGCGCCGGGTGTGGGTGCCAGGTGTGAGCGCCGGGTGTGGGTGCCTCCTGGGTGCGGTGAGGGATGAACAGTTGATGCTTACCTGCCTTTTAACTCTTCTGCCCACCATAGGGCGATGCCAGTCCCTCCACTCCAGAGGAGAACGAAACCACGACAACCAGCGCCTTCACCATCCAGGAGTACTTTGCCAAGCGGATGGCAGCACTGAAGAACAAGCCCCAGGTTCCAGTTCCAGGGTCTGACATTTCTGAGACGCAGGTGGAACGTAAAAGGGGGAAGAAAAGAAATAAAGAGGCCACAGGTAAAGATGTGGAAAGTTACCTCCAGCCTAAGGCCAAGAGGCACACGGAGGGAAAGCCCGAGAGGGCCGAGGCCCAGGAGCGAGTGGCCAAGAAGAAGAGCGCGCCAGCAGAAGAGCAGCTCAGAGGCCCCTGCTGGGACCAGAGTTCCAAGGCCTCTGCTCAGGATGCAGGGGACCATGTGCAGCCGCCTGAGGGCCGGGACTTCACCCTGAAGCCCAAAAAGAGGAGAGGGAAGAAAAAGCTGCAAAAACCAGTAGAGATAGCAGAGGACGCTACACTAGAAGAAACGCTAGTGAAAAAGAAGAAGAAGAAAGATTCCAAATGAATCCTTCCCAGCCGGGGCCTTCCGACCACTCAGCTGTCAGGGCACTGCGGGGGCAGACACCTCTGGCCTGAAGTCACAGCAGAGTTCACCCCAGAGCGCCTGGGCGCATCTTGTGGCATGCCCATGGGCTGCCGAGTCCTGCCCTCTCGCCACATTTCCCCCAAGTTACATTCCCAGGAGGACCTTTTTAATGTTCTCAATCGTGGCTCTCAGACACAAATAAATTTTTTTGTAAACTCTGAGCCCTTCAGCAAGAGAGTTTAATTATAATCATTACAAATACATGCATTCATGTAAGTGTGCACACGTGTGTGTGCATGTGCGCATCTGTGTGTGTGTGTGTGTGTCACTATCTCCGTTTGCTCTCGGTTCCCTTCAATAACAATGAATGGTGCTTTCTTCTGAAAGACTCAGCCTAATTAAAGGATTAAGAGGCAATAGCTTGGATTCAGATTGTTCTTTTTGTTCTATAGCCAACCAACATTTTTGCCAAGTAGAAATTATATGATTACATTCCCAAATCAGAGAGGTTTTTTGTTGTGTTTTGGTTTTGATGGGGAAACGCGTTAACGCCCTCCCCTCCACTAAGCAGTGGCAGCCGACTGTTCTGAGCGCTTCCCCCGCCTCTGCCAAGCTTCAGCAGTGGACAGACTCAGGGCCAATGTCATCTCTCAGCTCTCACAGGAGGACTCTTGCCGTTCCTGTGCCGAGTGTGGGTTCTCTCATATGTTTCCTTTTGGGGGTCCTTCAGAACAAATCACCTAATACTGATTTATCTGTCACATGGCTGTAAATAGTGACTTAATTGTCATGATCAGGAGGTCCTCAGAAGGCTTAAGAAACTGAGAGGCTAAGGCCGTGAAATTAAAGCCAGTCTTTGGATTGGGACTGCCTTATGAAAGTCCTTACAGCAAAAGACACCTTTCAGCTCTGCTCCCAGCAGTGGTGTCACAGCGCCATGCTTGTGCCGCCCTCGCCCGCCGCGCCTTGGCCCGTCTCCCCGTGTGCCAGCCAAACTCTCCCTTTGGGTTCACTCGGATGCCTGTAGACACTTCACACCATCCCTGGGACACAGGAGAAGAAAACGCTCAGCTGAGGTTCTGGAGTCCGGCCCTGCCACCTTCCCAGCCCTGTGTCTGCCGTTCTGCCCTGTGCGCCGCCTTCATCTCCTCCTGCTGTTCCTCTTCATCCGCGTACGCATTTATTCCCTCTTTCTCACGCTCCCCTCCTAGTTCCCAGTTTCCCTGCACCCCCTTTCCCCACGTCCCCATGTCCTCAGCCTACCATGGAGGCCTTGAGGCTGCCTGGCCCTGCTTCAGGCAAACCTGGCCGAGGCCCAGGTGGTGTGTTGTCCTCCATTTGATATAGAGATTGTGGCTGGTGACGGGAACTCAAACTTGCCCCCAATTCGGTGACCTTTTCCCCTTGATTTTAACTCTCAAGGTCACACATTAGATAGGAAGCATGGTCCCGAGATTCTTGAAATGTAGAGAAAATACATGAAGGACATTTGGCTGTAGTCTCTAAGGATGCTGCGCAGTGCTATTTGTTTGAAAAGAGACACACACACACACAGAGAAGAGTCTTATGAATATAGAGCCTGATGACTCATCTCTTGAGTTTTTCATGTCCCCCCGAGTTTAGAATCCCAGGCTAATAGAGCCTCAGCGGTTTCTGAAGTCACTTTCTCCACAGAGGGCACATGCCCAGGTTCTCTCTGCCTGTCCCATCTTGCCTGTGAAACCAGAGATCCAGAAAGAAGTGGAATGCATGGAACCTAAGGGGAGCTAACTTTCAAAAATAAATAGATGCTGATTGGTTGTTTTTTTTGGCCTTTTGTTTTAACTTCCTTTACCAGTAAAAATGAGAGCCAGGAGAATATACCAAAATGTGTGCAGGCGCATTTAGGAGGCAGGTGGAATGCATTTAGGCCAGACATGGGTGCAGGAGCTGGGTGGGAAGGCCAGAGGAGGGAGGTGCGGAAGGGAGCTGGTAGTTCCTGGAGTTAGGAATTCCAAGGCAGCTGGACTGGAAGATTGTTCACATGCAAATGTTGGTTTTTTTTCTTTTTTTTTTTTTTTTTCAGAGATAGGGTCTCTTTCTGTTGCCCAGGCTGGAATGCAGAGGCCTGGTCAAAGCTCACTGCAGCTTTGAACTCCTGGGCTCAAGCAGTCGTCCTGTCTCAGCCTCCCCAGCAGCTGGGACTGCAGGCATGTGCCACCACACCTGGCTAATGTTTTTATTTTTTCTAGAGACACGGTCTTGCTATGTTGCCCAGGCTGGTATTGAACTCCTGGCCTCAAGTGATCCTCCCGCCTTGGCTTCCCTAAGTGCTGGGATTATAGGTGTGAGCCACTACACCTGGCCCACATGCAGCTTTTACTGAGAGAATGTAGAATGTGGTGATGACTGTTTTCATAGGCCGGAGAAAGGCCTCCTGAATATTTTGTTTTTTGTTTGTTTGTTTGTTTTTGTTTTTGTTTTTAGGAGAGGGAGTCTCGTTCTATCACCCAGGAGGGAGTGCAGTGGTGCGACCTCAGCTCACTGCAACCTCCGCCTTCTGGATTCAAGTGATTCTCCTGCCTCAGCCTCCTGAGTAGCTGGGATTACAGGCACGGGCCACCACACCTGGCTAATTTTTGTATTCTTAGTACAGATGGGGTTTTGCCATGTTGCCTAGGCTGGTCTCAAACTCCTGAGCTCAAAGTGATCTGCCCACCTCAGGCTCCCAAAGTCCTGGGATTACAGGTGTGAGCCACTGCTCCTGGCCCCTCCTGAATTATTTTAATAATTGAGTGGGCAGCCAGAGAAGGAGTCACATGCTCAGCAAAGAGCAGATTTGTTCCAAAGGAGGTGGAGACTCTCTTTTCTCTAGGTACCCTCGGCTTTCATTTTTCTGTGTCTGTTTTTCAGTCCACTTGGTTTTCTGGATCTAAGTGGAAATTAGAACAACAAAACAAATACTCTGCATTTTATGCTTGATACTTTAAGAATGAGTAGCATATGATCCCTGTTTTTGCCTTGAATTATTTCACCGGGTAAAAATACTTTAATTTTAGTATTATTCAGTGCTTTCCTTGGTTCTTTCAGTTTAAGGAGGAAAATTAGGCTCCCAAGAAAATATTTGTCCACTGAAGAGACTCTTCTGTGTTGTCCTGCAGCAACCTTCTCTCCTTTTCTGTTAATTTTAATGGATGATTATTATTATTGTATGAAGTCTTGGATGCCTGGCCTTATTCCAAATACTTCAAATAAGCCAACTCATTTAGTCCTCAAACAACCCAGGAGGTAACCATTATCATCATTCCCCTTTTACGGAAGGGCCTCGCAGCCTTTTATTTTATTTATTTATTATTATTATTATGTTTTTTTTTTTTTTTTGAGACGGAGTCTCGCCCTGTCACCCAGGCTGGAGTGAAGTGGTGCGATCTTGGCTCACTGCAACCTCCACCTCCCAGGTTCAAGTGATTCTCCTGCCTCAGCCTCCCAAGTATCTGGGACTACAGACGTGCACCACCACGCCCAGCTAATTTTTGTATTTTTAATAGAGACAGGGTTTCGCCACGTTGGCCAAGCTGGTCTCAAACTCCTGACCTCAGATGACCTGCCCGCCTCGGCCTCCCAAAGTGCTGGGATTATAGGCGTGAGCCACTGCGCCCGTCTCTCAGCCTTTTTATAACTAGACTGATGCTCTTCCCAGAGGCCCCGCGATGCCCCAGCCCGCTGTCTACTGTAGTCACAAACCCGCGCCCCTTTTCCTCCATCCTTGCCACAGCCAGTTCCACCTGCAAGCCTCCCTATTGCAGATGCTCTTCACATGTCATTGTTACTCTTAACTGGGAATGGATTTGAAAGCAGCAGGCAAACTGCAGAGTTTCACAATTAATTTGAGTTAGTTATGATTCGGATGAGCTATAGAAAATACTTTTGAGTTATGCTGCACATTAGACATTCTCAGTGGATTTTCTTTTCCAACTTGGTCAAGAGGTGGGTGGGAAATTGGGTGAGTTGGTTTCTTAAACCCTGTTTGCAAGTCTGAAAAAGAATGTTTTCAACTTGTAGAAAATACTGATGCTTTTGAGAGATGAAATCCCAGTGAGCATCTCTTTCCTAGCGGAGGTCATCCCTCTGCCTCCCTCCTCCTCCACCTGTTCACTGACTGGCAGGCACACGCTGAGACCTGTTTATTAAGAAACAGTATCAGAGAAGGCTTTCGGCACAGTCTGTCCGAGTGATCTCAGCCCTTGGATCAGCAGGCAGCAGCTGTACGTTGATTGGAGTAAGAACCTCTTCGTCACCGCCCTGTTTATCTCGCTGGTTCTGCAGCTGCTGCGTTTCGGAGCCTGTTGTGCTGGAGGGCAGGGCAGGAGGTCAGGTCGGGTGCTCGGTGTGTGATTTTATAGTGCTTGGTTATTAATGAGCAAATTAGTACCGTGTCCTAGTAAAGTCGATGACTAAACTCCTTGCATAAAAGTGTCCGATCTATTTAGGAAATACTGAATATACTGCAGTGACATACACAAAGCCTTCATGGAACCAGTAAAAGGGAGGAATAAGCCAGACAAAGATGGCAGGTAAAGAAGGGTGGGTGGGGCCAGGCCTCTCCTGCTGTGGACGAGTGGGTCGGGGGCTGGTGCAGGGTGCGTGAGGCGCACTTCCTCCCACCTCAGCTGCCTGTTGTGCAGGCATTAGCAGTGAACTTTTAAGGAAAGCAGCAGTGAAGTCTTTAGCTAGTGGGGAGAATTTTGTAATCAGTTATAGCTGAAATTTTCTGTTTGTATGTTCTGTGTTGAGTTTC
Source organism: Homo sapiens (assembly GCF_000001405.40). Lineage (NCBI taxonomy): Eukaryota > Metazoa > Chordata > Mammalia > Primates > Hominidae > Homo > Homo sapiens. The sequence continues at coordinate 2,586,599 of NW_018654717.1, forward strand.
CTTAGAAAAAGGTGCGTGGGTGCTGAAAGCAGTTATTTGTTCTGAAAACATTTATTGAACACCGACTCTGGGCTCCAGGCCAGTTGACAGCAGAGTGACTGACGCATTACAGAGCCTACCCACTTTCAAGTTCTACAAATGTGTGTCATTTAGAAGGTACTGCCGTGTCCTGGATTAATCTCAGTACATTTATGCCCGGGACGCAGCCTCCTCCACCGTGGCTAGCAAGCGTCCTCTCCTCTTTGGCATTCATGGATGAGCTGTGAGAAGCTCTTTGCCAGCTCATTTGACTTGAACCTGAGGAGGAACTGTGTACACTTAACAACATTTCTAACTCTGTGATAAATTCGCCAAATTATAGTATGTGCCTTCCTCCACATAGAATGCATTAGAAATGTGTTTTGCCTACGTGGAATGGCTCTTAACAGGTCAGTCTGAAGATAAAGCCCAGCTTCCTCCCGCCTCTCCTGTCTCTAGAGGATCTGCTGAGTGTGCAGATGGGGTGCATAGAGATGGGAGAGGAGAGGTGGCCTCCAGGTGGCCTCCAGGTAGCCTCCACCCACTAACTGGGGACGCCCCTCGAACCTGGATGGAACAAAAACAGGTATCAACGCACATTTGTTACATGGAAAACTGCTGAAGGCAAACTCCGACTCCGGCCTTCAAACCTTAGAGAATCAAGGTCTTGAGCAATCTAGAGTGACCCCAGCACCTTGACGGAAGGAAGCACCCTCATCTTCACCTTTGTGAGGTACGTCGCTGCCCCGGTGAGTAACTGCATCTCAGACCGTTTAGTCTCCTTCTCCAACTATGTCGACTCCATGCAACTCCTAAGCCTCCGCCTTTTCTGAATACTCCTTGGCTCTTGCTCCTTCTGCGGTCAGCTAAGTGTGGGAAGATGGGACACCCTTGAGTGTTTCTGAGCCGTGGGTTCTGTCCTCTCACTATCCATTTTCTGTATACATCTGCATGGCCGGCGTTTCTGCTGCTTTCTGTGTGATTCTCAGGTCAGCATCTCTGTCCCCACTAGTCTCAAGCTTTAGTCCTGCGTCTCCAGCCGACCGTCCAGAGGGCCTATCACATTCAGTGGGTCTAAGAGGAACCCATCCTCTCCAGGTTGCCTCCTGCCCCCCGTTATTATTATGGGCACCCCACGCTCTCGTTCAGTCTCACCCCAACATCAAGAGGCGTTATCAGCAGTCCAACCTAATCAAGTGTCTGCCACCACTGTACACTAGGTAGGTCCTCACCTTCAGGAAGCTCCCAGCTCGACACCCCACTGTCTGACTCCTATCTGGACAGTGCTGCCCTGCACCTCCCATCGTTCCCTCGGTAATGCCGCTCCCCCGGACCTGCACTCCCGGCTCTGCCTCCTGCCTGCAGTCCCGCCCCTAGTGCATATCTGTGGCTCCGACCAGGCTTCCCTTCTCCACCCACTGGCTTCAAGACCCGCCACAGGTGTCATCCACTTCTCCAGCCTGTCCTGATCCGGCCCCCAGAAGCAATCTCTCCATTTTCTGAATTTTCGTAGCGTTCTCTGTGCTCATCAAAGTCTACTTGTGTTTTGGGGTATGTCACTTTCCCCATTCAACCCTAGGACCTCTGAAGGGAACCTTCATGTTTGTATTCCTATAGCACCAGGACAGTGCCAGGCACAAGGAAGGTACAGCTTGCTCGCTCGCTCGCTCTCTCTCTCTCTCTCTATCTCTATCCCCCTCTTTCTCTCTCTCCTCTTTTTAAAGTGGAGACAGGGTCTTGCTTTGTCACCCAGGATGGAGTACAGTGGCACAATGAAAGCTCACTGCAGCCTTGACCTCCTGGGCTGAAGTGATCCTCCTGCCTCAGACGCCTGAGTAGCTAGGACTGCAGGTCCATATCACCATGCTCAGCTAACAGGATTCTTAAATGAATAGAAATGAGCAGACCACACCCAGGCAAGAACCTGTGTTCTGAAGGCCTCAGGTATATCCCAGGACGAAGGTGTCTGAACAGGGATGCTCTCCTGTGGCTATACCCCACCCCCTGCACTTGTGGTTCCCTTGACTCCCTGCACTGCATTCAGTAGATGAGACCTCATCACCCACCTAGCTTGAAAGCTTGATTCTGAATTCGTCTGCATGTCTCCCTAGGTCTTCCTTGTAACTGTCCCCTGGCCACTGGGATCTCAGCGGACTCATTCCCAGGGCCTTGTTTTCAAGTCTTCCTTGACCAAAGGGTGGTTGTAGGATTAAATGAACTGTGGCTCAGCAAAATACCTGACAGCAGGCGTGCAATGCATTTTTCTTCTCTCCCTCCACACGTACAAGAGGAGAAAATGAAAAGGAAGTGCTGCGGAGGATTTTTAGGGCAAGGAAATTATGATCCTAGAATGCTGGACACATGGCGTCGTATATCTGTCCAAACCCATAGAATGTGCATGTGAACCGTAACATAACTGTGGCTGTGGGGATGATAATGTGGCGATGTAGCTTGATCCATTGTCACAAATGTACCACTCTGGTGGGGGGTGTTGGTAGTGGAGGAGGCTGTGCCTGAGTGTAGGAGAGGTGGTACATGGGCATTCTCTGTACCTTTTAATTTTGCTGTGAACCTAAAGTGGTTCTAAGAAAATAAAGTCAATGCTGGACACGTTGGCTCATATCTGTAATCCCAGCTGTATTCATTTTCATGCTGCTGATGAAGACATATCCGAGACTGGGAAATTTACTAGAGAAATTTAATTGGACTTACAGTTCCATGTGGTTGGGGAAGCCTCACAATCATGGTGGAAGACAAGGAGGAGCAAGTCCTGTCTGACATGGATGGCAGCAGGCAAAAAGAGAGCTTGTGCAGGGGAACTCCCCTTTTTAAAACCATCAGATCTTGTGAGATCCATTCACCATCACAAGAACAGCACAAGAAAGACCCGACCCCATGATTCAATCACCTCCCACCTGGCCCCCCCCCCGCCCCAACACGTGGGAATTGTGAGAGTTACAAGATGAAATTTGAGTGGGGACACAGAACCAAACTATATCATCAGCACTTTGGGAGACCAAGGCAGGAGGATAGCTTGAGGCCAGGAGTTCAAGAGTGGCCTGGGCAATAAAGTGTGACCTCCAACCTGGGCAATGTGGTGAGACCCCATCTGTTACAAAAAATAAAAATTAGCTAGGCGTGGTGGCACACACCTGTGGTCTCAGCTACTTGGGAGGCTGAGGTGGGAGGATCACTTGAGCCCAGGAGGTCGAGACTGCAGTGAGCCATGTTTGTGCCATTGCACTCCAGCCTGGGTGACAGAGCAAGACCCTGCTTCAGAAAAAAGAAAGTCTTTTTCAAAAATGCCAAGTGCTCCTCACGTGATACTAGGGAACCCAGTCCTGGTCAGGAGGGTAGCTTCCATCCTCTCTCCGATGAGGGACTGGCACCAGCAGGCCCCGTCCTCTGAAGAGCCATCCCTAAGGCTCCTGAGCCACTTTTTACCTGCTCCTGTGACTGTCACCCAGGACCAACAGGCTCCAGGATGTGCCACAGGAAGGTGTGTCCAGGTCATCCTGGAGACAGCAGAGTCCCAGGGAGGTTCAGGGCTTGCCACTGGAAGTGGTAACCTGTGCAGGCCCTGGGGCAGGACTGAGGTGTGGGCACAGTGACTCAGACTGCTCAGGTGACAGGCTTCAGGTCCTGCCCTTGCCCAGGACTCCTAGGCAGCCCCAATAGAGCAAGTTAATTGCAATTTAGCCTGGAGGGATTACAAAATCCTGCTGCGATGGGCAAGGCCCTTGCAATCTGCGATGAACAATTGATGTTAACTGAACTGGAAGAGGGACAATCGGAGTGTATTCGGGAGACATGAGCCAGTCGGTCTTCCAAATCAGGGGACCCTTCCCAGCATTCATCCCTGAAACAAGCAGTCCTGCTCAGCACAGCCCCGTAAGAGCCGCATTCTTACGCTCCTCATTTTGTAGGTGGAGAGACAGACTCAGAGTCAGTAAGTACCTTGGCCAGGCTCACCAGTTCATAAAGGGGTGGCAGAAGGGTGTAACCTCCATCACCCCAGGCTGTCCCCCGCCCCAGGACTAACCCCTTTTCATCCTAAAGATGTGATGGGGACTATGTTTGATTTTTGTTTTTAATAATTGAATTTCTTCTTCGTGTTATTTAGTCCATTTTGGCATGTAGTGTACCTTTGTGCCAACTGCAGTGTAATTCATGAGTTAGAGGAGAGATATAGAAAATGCTGCGGGAAAACACCATCAGGTGTGTTCATTCAGCCATTCGTTCCACAAGCTTCAGTGGTGAAGGCTCTGTGCTAGGGGCTGGGAATACAGGTGTGAAAAGACATGGTCCCAGTCCTCAAGAGCTCACCATTTAGCTAACTGTGTCACTAAAGTTGGAAAAACAAAGCCATGTGCCTCCTTTGGATAGTCACAATTTTATGTATCCAAATTCAAAAGGACGCTCTCAGCCTTAAGAGGGTTTTCAAGCCAAGGAATGCTCATTTGGTGTCCAAGGGCAGTGAAACCTCTGTGCGTGGATGCACGGGTGTGAAAGCTCGGAGTTTAGAAGAAGCTTGTGCCCGAGTACATTTTTATCCTCACAGTGAAGTTCAGGAAAGATGACTTTGAACCCCTTTGCTGGGGTTTGACTTTTGTGTTTTGTCTTTTGAGTTTTGCTTCATGGACCTTGGATTTTAGAACTGAAAGGAAGCTTAGAAATTTCACCAGAGAGGTGCAAAACAAGGCAATGATTTGATGCAGAACAACCGCAGACAGAAGAAAAGGGGTGGGTGGCATCTTGTGACCTCTCCCTGGGCTGGGGTCTTCTTCTGGCTCGTTCCTGAGGGGTGCCAGGCAGCAAAGACCACTTGGCTGCAACTCTACTGACTGTGACACTATGTGAGTCTTGAGTTTCGGGAACCCCAGTCCCTGCATTTTTCATTCCTAGTGTTTGACCAGGATGGTGGGAAGAGGTTATGGTAACCAAAGAGGCTACCTGATATGTATGTCTCGTTATCATTACTAATCCTTTATTGCGCTAGATGTTTTAGAAGTATTTTCTAGACCCGGTGCAGTGGCTCACACCTGTAATCCCAGCACTTTGGGAGGCTGAGGCGGGCAGATCACGAGGTCAAGAGATGAAGACCATCCTGGCCAACATGGTGAAACCCCATCTCTACTAAAAATACAAAAATTAGCTGGGCATGGTGGTGCGTGCCTGTAATCCCACCTACTCAGGAGGCTAAGGCAGGAGAATTATGTGAACCGAGGAGGCAGAGGTTGCGGTGAGCTGAGATCACACCACTGCACTCCAGCCTGGTGACAGAGCAACACTCCATCTTAAAAAAAAAAAAAAAAAGAGAAATATTTTCTAATTTGTTTTCAGAGCAATGTATAGGTAATTATGATTACTCTGATTCTGGGTATGAAAAAAAATGGGACTCTGGTTGATTGACATTTTCTCAAGGTTACACAGCTGGCAAACAGCCAGGTCAGGACTGGAGCCCACACCTGCGTGACTCTAAAGTGCCCACTCTTCTGTGCTGCAAGAGCCTCCCAACTATTCCTTAGGGTCATTATGTGAACATGTTGTGGGGGAAAGCACAACGTATTCATCATTCAGGGCTTAGTTCAGCAGCCACCCGCTTCCCTGACACCCTGGTCTGGGCTGGATGTCCCTCTTCTGCACTCCTGGAGTGCTGGGTGCATGCTTATCCCAGGAGCAGCTTTCCCCGCTCTGTATCCCAACACCTGCTACTGTCTGTCCCCTAATTCATGTGTAAGAAACATTTTTAACAAATAAATTTGACAAATAAATGATGAAATGAATAAGTGAGTAAATGAAATTATTTCCTCTTATTTCTCTATTTTTAGGCACGTGGGGCCTTTCAGGGTGGTAAGTGGGCACCTGCAGGCCATAGGAATCTGTCTACTGCTCAAGATTGCATTTATAAAATCAGACTTATTAAAGTATAATTTACAAACAATAAAATGCACCACTATTAAGTGTGCGATTTGATCACTTTTGAGAAGCATATGCAGGTGTGTAATGACCACAACTACTGCGATATAGAACATTTCCATCCACCAGTAGGTTTCCTCAAGCCCCTTTACAGTCAGTCCTCTCTCCCACATGCCCTTGCCCCTTGCAACCACTGATCTGCTCTTTACCATTATAACTTTATTGTTTCTAGAATCTCATATACATAGAATCACTCCCACTTAGCATAATGCTCTTGAGATTCAGCAATGTCCATGGTTTTTATTGCTAGCTAGCTTCCATTATGTGGATAGATAACAGTTTATTTACCAGTTGATGAACTTTCGGATTTTTTTGCAGTTTTGGACTCTTGTGCATAAAACTTCTACGAACATTGAAATACAAGTCCTTCTTTGGGCATACACTTTCATTTCCCCTGGAAAATGCCTAGGAGTGAACAGGTTGGGTCATATGATAAACGTTTGTTTAATTTAGAAACTGTCAAACAGTTTTCTAAAAGGTACCACTTTCCATCCCTGCAAGAAGTTCGTGAAAGTTCTGTGTGCTCTGCAACCTCCCCAGCACTCGATATTCTCAATCTTTGAAGTTTTAGTCATTCTAAAGCATAGCGGTATCTCATTTTGCTTTTGGTTTGTATTTTCTTCTGGATAGCTAATGATGCTGAACAGTTTTTAAATACGCTTATTGGCTCTTCTTGTATCTTCTTTTGTCAAGTGTCCAAATCTTCTGCCCACATTTCATTGCATTTTTCTCTTATTATTGAGTTTTAAGATGATTGTTCTATAAAGAAACCTCTAGAATCTACCTAAATCACCTCCTTGAACTAATAATGGATTTAGCGTGCTTACAAGATACAAGAACAACACACAATTTTTTATACTTTAGTGAACTGTTGAAAATAAAAACTAAAAGCACAATATTTGCCTGGCAAGGTAGCTCACTCCTGTAATCCCAGCACTTTGGGAGGCCAAAGGAGAAGGATCAATTTGAGGCCATGAGTTTGAGACCAGCCTGAGCAACATAGTGACACGCCGTCTCTACAGAAAAGTTTTAAAAATAGCCAGGCAAAGTGGCATGCACCTGTACTCCTAGCTGCTCAGGAAGCTGAGGTGGGAGCATCACTTGTGTCCAGAAATTTGGGGTTACAGTGAGCTGATTGCACCACTGCACTCCAACGTAGACAACAGAAAGAGACCCTGTCTCAAAAGAAAAAAAAAGCACAATACCGTGTACAGTCACTTTTTAAAAGATTAAAATACTGAGGACATCAACAAAATGGGAGACCAGGAAGCTCCAGGCCCTTATTCTCCCATAAAATGTCAAATAAACAACTACAGACTGACTAAAATCACTTTATAGGAGCTCTAGAAACCAACCAAAGATCTGTAGCAACCAAGCGAATGCCAATCAGGAAAAAGCCACACTCAGAACGGTAGGAAATTCAGTGTTGTTTTTACTTGCCCATGCCTCACCCATGCAGTGAAGGCCAGAGGAACAGGACCAATTTTTGACTCTGTCCCTTGGGCCAGAAAGAGCAGGGTGGAAATTGTTTGTATAATTCTCGCCTATCTGTGGGATGTCCAAGAAACCAGCATCTGTCTCTCCTGCCTCAGATGGAAGGGTAGCATAGTTTGGAGCTTAGGCTGGAAGCATCAGAAGGAAGTGGGGTGTACCATGATGTGTGAAAACTGTAGGGGGACTGTAGATCTGAAGACAACTGTGAGCAAGAGATGATGGGCAGAGGAATACAATAGGCCATCTAAGGCTCTGAGAAGAAGCTGAGGTGGGACGCTTTGGAAAATTAAGACATTTGAAAGCAGCCAGAAGAAATGGGGAAATACACACACATAGGCCCAGGTAGGATGCATGCCCAGAAGACCTGAGCAGCCCTTAAGCCTTTACCCTGGGCTGATCTCTAGGTTCAGGGGCTTGAGAGTAAATAACTCTAGTCTTCAACAAGTGGAAGAGGTGTGCTTCAAACGTCCATCTGATTACAAGGCATACAGAGACACAGGCAAACATGGCCTATTCAAAGGAACAAAATAAACCTCCAGAAATAGTCACTGAGGAAACACACAGAGTACTTACTAGAAAAAGGCTTTAAATGACCATCTTAAAAGTGCTGAAAGAGTTAAAGCATGGGCAAAAAACTAAAGGAAATCAGGAAAACTATATATATAGCTATATATAGTTATATATATAGTAATATATATATAGTGGTGAAAATAAAAATTAAAAAGCACAATACTTGCCAGGCAAGGTAGTATATATATATATATATATAGAGAGAGAGATATATATATATATATATAGAGAGAGAGAGAGAGAGAATATATATATATATATATATATATATATATATACATACACACACACACTATATATATAGAGAATATATACATACTATATATAGAGAGAATATATATATATACTATATATATAAACAAAATTAGAATATAAACAGGGAGATAGAAATTATATATTTAAAAAAGAATTAAATTCAGGAGCTGAAAAATACTTAAGGGAATTCAAAAATTCACCAAAGAGGCTTAACTGTAGCCTAGAACACAGGGGAAAGAAAGCAGACATTGAGTTTGAACACCAGTTATTTGAAATTATCAAGTCTGAAAACAAAAAGGAAAGAAAAAAGATGATAAAAAATAAAAAAATGAGCCTAAGGGACTTAAGGGACCTGAAGAAGTAGACCAATATACACATTATAGGAATTCAAAATGGAGAAGAGAGAAGGGGATAGATTATTTGAAGAAATAATGGCTGAAAACTTCCCAATTTTAAGGTAATACATGGAGATAAAAATCCAAGAAGCTCAAAGATTTTCAAGTAGGATAAACCCAAAGAGACCCACACCAGGATACATTATAATCAAACTGTTAAAAGTCAACAAATTTTGAAAGCAGCAAGAGAGCAATAACTTATAATGTACAAGGGATCCTCAATAAGACTACCTGTGGATTTCTTAGTGAAAAAAACCTTACAAGCCAAAAGGCAGTGGGATTATATATTTTAAGTTATGAAGTGGTGGGGGGAACTTATCAACTAAGAATTTAATCTCTCGCAAAACTATCCTTCAAAAATGCAGGTGAAATTAAAACATTTCTTGATAAACAAAAGCTGAGGGAGTTTATTACCACTAGACCTACCCTACAATAAACACTAAAGGGAGTCCTACAAGTTGAAATATAAGGATGCTAGACAGTAACTTGAAGCCATATGAAGTATAAAGTATAAGGGTAATACATGGAAAAATATAAAAAAGTTTAAATTATTTTAATTTTGGTTTTTAATTCTTTTTATTTTTTACAGGATTTGTAAGGCAACTTTATTAAAATAAATACAAATCTATAATAATGGATTTAGACTGGCCACAGTGGCTCACACCTGTAATCCCAGCACTTTGGAAGGGTGAGGCAGGTGGATCACCTGAGGTCAGGAGTTTGAGATCAGCCTGTCCAATGTGGTGAAACCCCATCTCTACTAAAAATACAGAAATTAGCTGAGCATGGTGGTGTGCACCTGTAATCCCAGCTACTCAGGAAGCTGAGACAAGAGAATTGCTTGAACCCAGAAGTTGCAAGTTGCAGTAGGCTAAGATCGTGCCACTGCACTCCAGCCTGGGTGACAGAGTGAGACTCCATCTCAAAAAAAAAAAAAAAAAAAAGGATATGTAGTATATACAAATGTAAGTTGTGACACCAGTAACACAAAGCGGGGAGTGGAGGGAGGATCTATAAAGGAGTAGAGTTTTTTTAATGTTACCGAAGTCAAGTTGGTATCAATTTAAGGTGCCATAACTCTAAATGTTATATTTAATGTCCACAATAACCACAAAGAAAATATCTAAGCTAGGTGCAGTAGTTCATTCCTGTAATTCCAACACTTAGGGAGGCTGAGGCAGGAGGATTGCTTGAGCCCAGAGTTCAAGATCAGTCTGTAGAAAAAAAAAATTATCCATGCATAGTGGTACATGCCTGTAGTCCCAGCTACTTGGGAGGCTGAGGTGGGAGGATTGCTTGAGCCCAGGAGGTTGAGGCTGCAGTGAGACATGACTGCACCACTGCACTATAGTCTGGGCAAAGAGTGAGACTCTGTGTATGCAAAAAAAGAAAATGAGAAGGGAATCAATATGTGCCACTACAAAAAGTCAACTAAACACAAAGTAAAGCAGTAATGGAAACGTGAGGGGCAAGAAAGCTGTAAGATATACAGAAAACAACAAAATGTCAAAAGTAGTGCTTTCTTATCACAAATTGCTTTAAATGTAAATGGATTAAATTCTCTAATCAAAAGACATAGAATGGCAGAATGGATTTTAAAAAAATAGAATCCAACTATGTGCTGTCCTCAAGAGGCACACTTTAGATCTCATGACAGAGACTGAATGTAAAAGGATGGAAAATGATATTCCATGCAAATAGCCAAAAGAGGGGAAAAGTTGGCTATAATTTTAAATACAATAGACCTTAAGTCAAGACACTGTTACATGAGACAAATAGGGACATTAAATAATAAAAGGGTCAGTTCACTAAAAAGATAGCAAAAACATAAAAAGTTAAATTATGTTTTTGGATTATGTTCTTAGATTATGTTCAGTTAGAACATAGGAAGTTCTAATGTTTGTACACAAACATTAGACCTCCAAATATATATGAAGCAAACATTGACAGAATTGAATGGAGAAATAGCCCTGCAATAATAGTAGGAAAATTCAGTACCCACTTTCAATAATGTATAGAATATTGAAGATCAGTAAGGAAACAGATGACTTGAACAACAGTATAGACCAATTAGACATGAAAGACATATACAGATCACTCCATCCAACAACAGCAAACAGATTTTCCTCAAGTATGTATGGAACATTCTCCAGGAAAGACCGTATTTTAAGCCACATAACAAGCCTTAATGAATTTTCAAAGATTGAAATTATACAAAGTATTTTTTCTGAACACAGTGGAGTGAAACTAGGCAACAACTGCAAAAGGAAAACTGAAAAATTCACAAATTTGGGGAAATTAAACAACACATTCTTAAATGACTATTGGGTCAAAGAGGGAACACAAGGGAAACTATGAAAGATCTTAAGACAAAGATGAAAATACAACAACAAAAACTTACACAGTAAAAACAGTATTAAGAGGGAAATTGATGGTATAAATGCTTACACTAAAAAAGAAGAAAGGTCTCAGATCAGCAACCTAATTCTACACCTTACAGATCTAGAAAAAGGAGAGCAAACAAAACCCAAAATAAGAAGAAAGAAGAAAATAAAAAAGACTGGAACAGATACAAATAAAATAGAGAATAGAAAAACAGTAGATAAAATCAACAAAACCAGGTGTTGGTTCTTAGAAAAGGTCAATAAAATTGACAAACCTTTAGGTAGATTGACTAAGGAAAAAGAGAAAATACAAATCAGAAATGAAAGCAGGGACGTTCCACCAATTTTACAGAAATAAAAAAGGTTTATAAGAGAATAGTATGAACAAATGTATGGCAACAAAATGAATAACCAAGATGAAAAGGCACAATTCCTAGAAATACACAGCCTACCAGTACTGAATATGAAGAAATAGGAAATTTGAATAGAGCTACAACTAGTAAGGAGATTGATTTCATAACCAAACACCTCCCAATAAAGCCTGGGATCAGATGGCTTCACAGATGAATTCTGCAAGGTATTTAAAGAAGAATTAACACCAATTCTTCTTAAACTCCTCTGAAGGTTGAAAAGGGGGAAACACTTCCAAATTCATTCTATGAGTTTGGCGTTGCCTGATACCCAAGCCAGATTAGAACATAAAAAACTACACAATTGCATCCCCTTTGAATATAGATTTTAAAATGCTCAACTAGCAAACAAAATTCACCAGAATTTAAAATACTGCTGGGTATGATGTCACATGTCTGTACTGTAGTCCCTAGCTACTTGAGAGGCTGAGATGGGAGGATTCCTTGAGTCTAGGAATTTGACACTGTAGTGTGCGATGATCACACCTGTGAATAGCCACCATACCCCAGCTTGGGCAACAACATAGTGAGACCTCATCTCTAAAAAATAAAAAATAAAATACTAGCAGACTGAATTCAACAGGCTATTACAAGGATTCTACACCATGATCAGGTATGATTTATTCCTGAAATACAAAGAATGTTCAACATGTAAAAATCAAGGTAATTCACACATTAAAAGAATTAAGGAGGCCGGGCGCAGTGGCTCACGCCTGTAATCCCAGCACTTTGGGAGGCCGAGGTGGGCGGATCACGAGGTCAGGAGATCAAGACCACCCTGGCTAACACGGTGAAACCCCGTCTCTACTAAAAATACAAAAATTTAGCCGGGTGTAGTGGTGGGTGCCTGTAGTCCCAGCTACTCAGGAGGCTGAGGCAGGAGAATGGTGTGAACCCGGAAGGCGGAGCTTGCAGTGAGCCGAGATCATGCCACTGCACTCCAGCCTGGGCGACAGAGCGAGAGAGACTCCGTCTCAAAAAAAAAAAAAAAAGAAGGAGAAAAATGTAATCATCTCAACTGATGCAGAAAGAGCATCTGATACAAATCAACATTCTTGATTTAAAAACAATTAACTGGAAATAAAAGGAAACTACCTTAATATACTAAAAGCCAAATATTTATATAAGCCCCATAGCCAACATCATACTCAGTGGTAAGAGACTAAAAGCTTTTTCTCTAAAATCAGGAGCAAGACAAGGATGACCACGCTCACCTCTTCTACTCAACATAGTACTATAAGTTGTACCCAGAGCAATTAGGCAAGAATTGGGGGAATAGAAAGCATTCAAATAGGAAAGGAAGACATAAAGCTATCTCTATTCACAGGTGACATGACCTTATAGTGTAGAAACCCCTAAAGATTACACACACATACACACAATAAGAAATCTTCTGCAACTAAGAATTCAGCAAAGTTGTAGGACACAAAATCGACATGCAAAAATCAGTTGCATTTCTATTCACTAACAAGCAACAACCTGGAGAAGAAATTTAAAAAATTTCCCTTTACAGTAGCATCAAAGGGGTAAAATACTTAGGAATAAACTTAACCATGTAGATGAAAGACTTGCACAATGGAATCTACAAAATGTTACTGGAGAAAATTAAACACACAAATGCATGGAAAGACATCCCACATTCATGGCCTGGAAGACGATATTGTTAAGCTGTCACTACTACCCAAAGCAATCTACAGATTCAATGCAGTCCCTGTCAAAATCCCAATGTCAGTTTTTTATAGAGATAGAAAAATCCATGCTGAAATTTTTATGGGACGTCAACAGTCCTTGAATAGCTAAAACAATCTTGAAAAAGGAGAACAAAATTAGAGGTCTTACACATTCTTTTCAAAATGTACTACAAGCTATGGTGATCAAAACAATGTGGAAATGGCTCGAAGAGAGACATAGAGCCCAATGGTATAGGAATAGTCCATAAAGAAATCCTTACATTTATGGTCAAATGATTTTCAACAAGGGTGCCAAGATGGTTCTATGGAGAAAGGACAGTCTTTTCAACAAATGTTGGGAAAACTGGTGCTAGGGTTTAAATGTGTCCCCAGAAGTTTATTTGTTGAGATTGTAATTGCCAGTGTAACAATATTAAACGGTAGGACCTTTAAGAGGTGGTTGGGTTCTGAGGGTGGAGCCCTCAAGAATGAATTAATTCTTATGAGAGCAGATTCTTATAAAAGTAAGCTTTACTTGATCTTGTGATCTGTCTTGTGCTTGCTTTTGCCCTCTGCCTTTCTGCCATAAGATAACCCTCACCAGATGCCAGTGCAATGCTCTTGGATTTCCCAGCCTCTAGAACTGTAAGGAATAAATTTATTTTCTTTAAAAGTACCCAACATGTGGTATTCTTTTATAGCAACAAAAAAATGAACTAAAACCACTGGCTATCCACATGCAAAAAAATAAATTTGGACCTTTGCCTTACACCGTATACAAAAGTTAACTCAAAATGGATGAAAGATCTAAATGTAAGAGCTGAAACTACAATACTCTTAGAAGAAAACACAGGGGGAAAATTTATGACATCAGATCTGGCAGTGTTTTATTGGACAGGACACCAAAAGCACAGGCAAAAAAAGAGAAAATACATAATAAGTTGGAGTTGTCAAAATTAAGGATTTTTTTTTTTTTGAGACAAGGTCTCGCTCTGTTGCCCAGACTGGAGTGCAGTGGCACAATCTCAACCTCCTGAGCTCAAGCAGTTCTCTCACCTCAGCCTCTGAAGTAGCTGGGACTGCAGGCACATGCCATCACACCCAGCTAGTTAAAATTAAGAACCTTTGTGTATCAAAGGGCATTGTCAAGAGAGAGAAAAGACAACCCCTGGGATGGGGGGAACTATTTGTAAATCATATATCCAATAAGGGATTGATATTGAGAATATATAAAGAACTCCTACACCTCAACGACAACAACAAAAAATGATTTAAAAATGGGCAAAGTACTTTAATAGACATTTCTCTAGAGAAGATACACAAATGTCCAATAAGCATGTGAAAGGATGTTCTACATCACTAGTCATTAAATGCAAATCAAAAGATACCATTTCACACCTACTAGAATGGCTACTATCAATAAAAGTGTTGCCAAGGATGTGGACAAATTGGAACCCTTGTGTATTACTGGTGGGAATGTAACATGGTGCAGCCACTATGAAAAACAGTATGACAATTCCTCCCAAATTAATTACCATGTGATTCCACTTTTAGGTATATGCACAAAAGAAGTGAATGCAGGGACTTGAATAGATATTTGTACGCCTATGTTCCATAGCAACATTTTTCACAATAGCCAAAAGGAGGAAGCAACGTATGCCTCTATGGACTGATGAATAAATTAACAGTGTGGCATATACATACAATAGAATATTATTCAGCCTTCAAAAGGAAGGATATTCTGACAAGTCACACAAGAATGAGTCTTGAAGACACTATGTTAAATAAATAAACCAATAAAAAAAGACAAATCCTGTATGACTCCACATATATATATATTCCCTAGAGTGGTCAAATTCATAGAGGCAGAAAGAATGGTAGTTGCCAGGGTCTGGGAGGACAGAGAATTGAAGAATTATTCAGTGGGTGCAGAGTTTCAGTTTGAGAAGATGAAAGAGTTCTGGAGGTAGAGGGTGGTGATGGTTGCACAACAGTGTGATTGTACTTGATGCCACGGAACTGTACATTTTTAAATTGTTAAAATGATAAATTTTGTGTATTTTGCCACAATAAAAAAATTAAATACTTAGGTTTACACCTAATACGACCTGAATAGGATATGTATGTGGAAAACTAAACAATGCCTTTCACATGCTTACCTGCCATCTATATATCTTCTTTGGTGAGATGGCTTTTGACCATTTTAAAATCAGTAGTTTATTTTCTTATTGGATTTTAAGAGTTGAGTTTTAAGAGTTCTTTGTTTATTTTGGATAACAGTCCTTTATCAGCCATGTCTTTTGCAAATATTTCCTCCCAGTCTGTGGTTTGTCTTCTCGTGCTCTTGATGCTATTTTTCTCAGAACAGACGTTTTTAATTTTAATGAAGCCCAGCTTATCAAGTTGTTCATTTATGGATCATGCTTTTGGTGTTGTATCTAAAATGTCATTGCCAAACCCAAAGTCATCTAGATTGTCTCCTATGTTATCTTCTACAAGTTTTATAATTTTGTGTTTTACATTTATGGTGGATCTTAGCTCACTGTAACCTCCACCTGCCAGACTCAAGCGATCCTCCCACCTCAGCCTCCAAGTAGCTGGGACTACAAGCACAAGCCACCACATCCAGCTAATTTTTTGTAGAGACAGAGTTTCACCATGCTTGTGTTTTACATTTAGATCTATGATACGTTTTGTGTTAATTTTTGTGAAGGGTATAAGTGTCTGTGTCTGGATTCATTTTTTGATTGTTTGTTTGTTTTGCATGGGGAGGTTCACTTGTTTTAGAATTATTGAAAAATCTCTTCTTTCTCCGTTAAATTGTCTTCACTTCTTTGTCAAAGATCAGTTGACTATATTTCCATAGGTCTGTTTCTGGGTTTCCTATTCCATTCCACTGATACATGTGTCTGTTCTTTCACCAATACCACACTGTCCTGATTACTATAGCTATGAAGTTAGTAAGTCTTAAAGTTGGATAGTATCAGGCCTTCACTTTGTTCTTCTTCAATATTTTGTTGGCTATTCTAGATCTCTTGCCTCTTCAAATAAACTTTAGAATTAGTTTGTCAATATCCACAAAGTAACTTACTAAGATTTTGATTGAGATTGCAGTGAATCTAAAAAACAAGTTGGAAGAAACTGACATCTTAATAATATTATCTTCCTATCCATGAAATGAGAATAGCTCTCCATTTGCTGAATTCTTCTTCGATTTCTTTCATTACAATGTTGTAATTTTCCTCATATAAATCTTGTATAATTTATTTTGTTAGATTTATAATTAAGTATTATGGTGGGTTTTTTGGTGCTGATGTAAATAGTGTTGTGTTTTTAATATCAAATGCAAATTGTTTATTGCTGCATACGGGAATACAATGGAATTTTGTATATTAACCTTGTATCTTGCAATCTTGCTATAATTGCTTGTGAGTTCCAGGTGGTTTTTTTGTCGATTCTTTGGGATTTTCTACATAGGCGATCATGTCATTTATGAACAAAGACAATTTTATCTTTTACTTCTCAATCTGTATACCTTTTATTTTATTTTCTTGTTTTGTTGCATTAGCCATCTTCTAACACAATGTTGAAAATAGTAGTGAAAAGGATTACCCTTGCCTTGTTTCTGATATTGACAGGAAGGCATCTAGGTTTTCGCCATTAAGTGTAATGTTAGCTGTATCATTTTTGTAGATGTTCTTTGTCAAATTGTGAGTGTTCTTCTGTTTCTTGTTTCCTGAGATTTGTTATCATGAATGGGTACTGGATTTTGTCAAATGCTTTCTCTGTATCAATTGGTTCAGTTTATCTAGGTTATCAAATTTGGGGACATAGAGTTGTTTATAATTTTTTATTATGTTTTAATGTCTATGGAGTCAATAGCTATTTCTTCTTTTATTTCTGATATTAGCAATTTCTGTCTTCTCTCCCTCTTTCTTAGTTAGCCTGGGTAGAAATTTAGCAATTTTATTGATCTTTTCAAAGAACCAGCTTTCCGTTTCAATGATTTTTTTCTATTGATATTTTGTATTTAATTTTATTGACTTATGATCTAGTTTTTAATATTTTATTTTATTTTGCATACTTTGAGTTTAATTCACTCCTCCTTTTCTCATCTCCTAAGGTGTAGGCTTACACTATTGACTTTAGTTATTTCTTCTTTTCTAAAGTACGCATTCAATATTATAAATTTCCCTCTATGTACTGTTTTCTGTACTTTCCATGAACCTGGATAAGTTGCGTTTTCATTTTTGTTTAGTACAAAATATTTTAAAATTTTTCTTGAGATTTATTTTTTTGACCCATGTGTTATTTAGAAGCATGGTGTTTAATATCCAAGTGTTTGGGGGATTTTCCAGCTATCCTTCTGTTATTGGTTTCTAGTTTTACTTCATTGTAGTCTGAGAGCATACATTGCATGGCTTCTCTTCTCCTAAATTTGTTTAAGTGTATTTTATGGCCCAGAATGTAGTCTATCTTGGTGAATGTTCCATGTGAACTTGAGAAAAATGTGTATTCTTCTGTTTTTACGTGAAGTAATAGATAGATGCCAAGTACAGCTAGTTGATTGAAGGTGCTATTGAGTTCAGCTATGTCCTTACTGATTTTCTGCCTGCTGAGTCTGTCCATTACGGAGAGAGAATGTTGAAGTCTTCAACAATAATCCTGGATTCATCTATTTCTTCTGGACATCTATCAGTTCACTGCATGTAGTTTGATACTTTGTTGTTAGGTACATATACATTAAGGATTGTTATGTCTATTTGGAGAAATGACCCATTTATTATTATGTAATGCTTGTCTTTATAGCTGGTAATTTTTCTTGCTCTGAAGTCCATCTGAAATTAATATAGCTACTCTAGATTTCTTTTGCTTAGTGTTAGCGTAGTATATCTTTCTCTTTTTACTCTATCTGTATCTATATATTTAAAGTGGGTTTTTTCTAGACAAGTTATAGTTAGGTCTCATTTTGTTTTGTGACAAGTCTCTTACATTCTCTGTCTTCTAGTTGGTGTATTATATAGTTTGGATATTTATACCCACCCAAATCTCACATCGAGATGTAATCCCTAATGTTGGAGGTAGTGCCTGGTGGAAGGTGATTGGATCATGGGGGTAGATTTCTTGTGAATGGTTTAGCACCATCCACTTGGTGCTGTCCTCATAATAGTGAGTGAAGTCTCCTGAGACCTGGTTGTTTAAAAGTACGTGGCACTTCCCCTCCTTCTCTCTCTCTTGCTCCTGCTTTTGCCATGTCATGTGCCTACACCCACTTTGCCTTCCACCATGATTGGAAGCTTCTTGAAGCCTCCCCAGAAGCTGATGCTGCTATGCTTTCTGTACAGCTTGTAGAACCGTGAACCAAATGAACTTATTTTCTTATTAATTACCCAGTCTCAAGTATTTCTTTACAGCAATGTGAAAATGGCCTAATACAGTGTATTTGGAACATTGACACTTAATATGATTATTGATATAGGTGAATTAATATGTACTATATTTGTTACTGTTTTTCATTCGTTGCCCCTATTCTTTGTTTCTATTTTTGTCTTTCACTCTTTTTATGCCTTTTGGGGTTTTAATTAAGCGTTTTTTAGATTTCATTTTTCCTCCATCCTTTAATTACCTTTTTTTTTTTTTTACTTTCTTAATGGTTGCCCTAGAGTTTGTAATATACATTTTACAATTAATTCAAGTGTACCTTCAAGTAACACTGTACTGCTTCACAGATAGTGTAAGTACTTTATAATAAAGTATTTCTGACTTCTGCCTCCTGTCTATCATTGCTGTCATTCATTTCACTTATCCATAAGCTATAATAATCACTGCAATACATTGTTATTTTCATTACTTTGAACGAACTGATTATCTGTTGGCCAGGTGTGGTGCCTCTTGCCTGTAATCCCAGCACATTGGGAGGCTGAGATGGGAGATCACTTGAGCCTAGCAGTTTAAGACCAGCCTGGGCAACATAACGAGACCCTGTCTTTGCAAAAAATAAAAAAATTAACCAGGCGTGGTATTGTACACCTGTGGCCCCAGCTACTTGGGCTGCTCAGGTAGGAAGATCACTTGAGCCCAAGAGATTGAGGCTGCAGTGAGTCATGAATGCACCACTGCACTCCAGACAGGGTGACAGAGTGAGACCCTGTCTCAAGGGAAAAAAAACAAAAAAAGAAGAAGAAGAAAAATAAAAATACGTTTTAATTTTGCCTTCACTTATTCCTTCTTTAATTGTCTTTCTCCATGCAGATCTGAGTTTCTAACCTATATAATTTTCCTTCACTTTGAAGAACTTCTTTTAACATTTCTTGCAGGGCATATCTACTAGTGACAAATTCCCCCGATGTTTTATTGATCTGAGAAAATTTTTATCCTCTACTTTTAAAGGATAATTTTGCTAGATACAGAATTCTAGGTTGGTGGGGTTCTCTTTGGACGCTTAAATTTTTTCATTCTACTCTCTTCTTGCTTGTATGGCTTTGAAGAGATCCAATGTAATGATTATCCTTATAGGATAGTTAGGAAGATGATTTTTTTCCTCTGGTTTCTTTCCAGATTTTTTTCTTTGTCTTTATTTTCCATGACTTGGATACAATATGCCTACATGTCATTTTTGGCGTTCATGCTATTTGGTGTTTTCTGACTTTCCTGAATATGTGGTTTGGGAAGTTCTCCGTCATTATTGCGTCAAATATTTCTTCTGTTCCTTTTGCTCTTTGGTCTCCTTCTGGTATTCCCATTGTGTGTATGTGATGTGTAATTGTCCCACAGTCGGTGGATATTCTGTTCCATTTTTTTCTCAGTCTTCTTTGTTTTTCAGTTTGGAAAGTTTCTACTGGCATATTTTAAAGATCATTGATTCTTTTTCAGCCATGTCTAGACTACTAATAAGCCCATCAATGGCGTTCTTCATTTCTGTTACAGTGCTTTTTATTTCTAGCACATCTTTTGGATCCTTTCTTAGAATTCTCGTCTCTCTACTTGCATTACCAATATGTTATTTCATGTTGTCTACCTTTCCATTAGAACCCTTAGCATGTTAATCATAGTTATTTTAAATTTCCAGTCTAATAATTCCAACATCCCTGACATATCTGAGTTTGATTCTCATTCTCTGTTTCTCTAAACTGTGCTGTTAGCCATTTAATATGCCTTGTCATTTTTTGTCATAAGAGGAACCTGGTACTGACTCCTGTGGACGTTTCTGCTCACGGGTTTGTTGTGATTCTCGGTATCCACCTTTTTGTCTCTTCAATCATAGGGTGGTGGCTTGCTTTATGACCTGAATTATTTGATGGAGCTAAGAAGACTTGTCAATTTTCAGTTTGTTCAACTTTTTCTCTTGTTGTTAGGATGGGATTAACGATCTCCAGTCTCCATACATGCTGGACTGGGTATAAAAAATCTCATCCTTTTACCTTTAGCTAATCTGTGTCTTGTATTTAAAGTGGATTTCTTTAAACCATCATATAACCATATAGTTCTATCCTGCTTTTTCTTAAAATCCAATCTGACAATCCCTGCTTTTAAATGGAATATTTAGGCCATAAACATTTAGTGTGGTCATAATTATGGTTGTGTTTTAATCCAACATCTTACTATTTGTTTTTTATTTGTCTCGTCTATTCTTTGCTTCCTTTTCATCTTTTTCTGTCTTGGATAGATTTGATTAATTGAGAATTTTATTATTCCATTGTATATACCTCAATGGCATATTAGCTCTTTTTAAAAAGTGGTTGCTCTAACGTTTACAGTATACATCTTAAATGGTCAACCTATCATCAAATTATGTTATACCACTTCACATATATATACAAGAACCTAACAAAAATATATTTTCATTTCCCTCCTCCTGATCTTTGTGCTATTGTTGTCATAAAATTTTACTTCTATATATGCTGTAAATTCAAAAATATATTATTTCTGCTTTAACAACCAATTATATTTTTAACAGATTTTAAAAATATAAAAAAAGTATTTTATGTTCACCAATTCCCTTGTGTGTATCCAAATTTCCATCTATATCACTATCCGTTGCCTCAAGGACTTCCTTCAACATTTTCCATGATGTTGGTCTGCTAATGAATTCACTCAGCTTTTGTGTGTTTGGAAAGTCCTATTTGGCTTTTATTTTATAAACTAATTTTGCTAGGTGTAGAATTCTAGGTTGAGTGGTTTTTAAAATTTTTTCTTTCTGTACTTTAAAAAATGTTATTCCATTGTCTTCTGGATTGCATAGTTTCAAGCATGAAGTCTGTTTTAGTTTTTATTTTTTCCTTCTGTATGTAATGTGTCCTTTTCCCTCTAGTTGCTTTCAAGATTTTCAGCAATTTCATTATGATGTGCCTTAGTATGGTTTCCTTTCGTTATTTTTTTTTTTTTGGTTTTTTTTGTTTTTTTTTTTGGTGGGGGATTGTTGGGCTTTTTGAATCTGTGAATTTATAGTTTCCATTAAATTCAAAAAACATTAAGCCATTATTTTCCCAGATATGTTTTTCTAATCTCTCCCTTTTCTTCTGAGCCTAACTACTTTTATGTTAGGCCACTTAATATTGTCTCACAAGTTGTTACTTCTATGTTAATTTTCAGTCTTTTTTCTGTTTTTCCTTTTGGATTGTTTATATTGGCATGTTTCTTGTTTACTAATATTTTATTTTGCAATGTCTTATCTACTATTAATCCTCTGTAGGGTATTTTGTATCTCAAATATTCTACCTTTCAAATTTTGATTTGGCTCTTTTTTTTTTTAGATCTTTTACATCTTGTTTTCAAGAACTGTGATCTTGTTTTCCTCTACCTTCTTGAACACAAGGAGTATATTTAAAATAACTTTTTTAACATCCGTATCTGCCAATTCCATCATCTTTGTCATTTCTGGTGCTGTTTCTATTGACTGATTTTCATCCTGGTTGTGGATTGTATTTTCCTATTTCTTTTTCCATCAGACAGTAGTCTTCTGAGGATACTACCTGATGTCCCATGTATTAGGAGGTCTTTCCACCTTGTCTTGTGGGAACAGAAACTCTTTCTGTCCTGGTATGAGCTCAGGAAATTATTCCACCTAATTTTTTTCCAGTGATTCTTTCCATAGCCTTCGGATTTTTTTCACATACATGTGCAGATCATTGTCAGGCAAAAATTCAAGGAGACCTCTCTTTAGATCTCTGAAGCCTTCTGTCTATGCAGACTCTTCTCTGCTTCATCCTCTCTCAGCTCAGAACTTTGACTTTTCAACTCAGCAACACCCTGGTTTCTGTTTTAGTTCCCCTTCCCTGCATCATGGCCTGGAGACCTTCTCCAGACAATGATCAGGGGCACGTATTGGGTTCACCTCATTTGTTTCTCTTTTCCAGAATTACTGTGTGCACTGTCTGTTGTGCAGTGTCTGAAAACTCAGACATTGCTTAGTTTTGTATTGGTTTAAGGTGGGGGGTTAATCTGATCCCTGTTACTCCATCATAAGCAGAAGTGGAAGTTTTTATAATTTAAAACTTACTTTCTTATATGTGATGTTGTTTGTTTGGATCCAACTTCATTTCAGTCAAGCCCTAAATCCCATGGATTATGGGCTTAATTAAGCAATGAATGATATTTTGGAGAGAGCCTTGAATGGAGTCATTTTGCCAGGTCTGTCACTCGCCACCTGTCATTTCATTTCTATGAGCCTCAGTTTCCCATCTACACAATTAGGGTGATAATCAAATACCTTCCCAGCTTACCTTATAAGGTGTTTGAAAATGAAATGAGATGGTATGTGTAAGAGCACCTTAAAACTTATATTTACACAGGTAAACAAGACTGTGATTAGTACTGCTCCACATAATATGTGAACTAGATCCAGTGTCAGAAACGTAGGGGATGACGGCTATTAAGAAGCCAGTTGAAGAAGGGCTTAGAACCCATTTTCTCTACCTGCACTGAAATTCTTTTCAAAATATCCTTGACAAATCCCTCTGATCAAACCCTAAAAATTCGAGTTCCAAATATAGACACATCACTCATTAAGCTTTTTTTCAAATAGAACTTCAATGCCCAGCTCCGGCTCTATCCTTTAAATTGCTTTATATTTCTAAGTACATCTTGTGCCTCAGCATTCTCCGTCTCAAAAATGAAATTACTATACTCCTATTTCTATTAGTTTCTTTTGAGGAACTTTGAAAAACCTTTCAAAGGTATGGCATTGTGTAAGACTTCGTTTAAGTGTGTGGAAAAAGAAGGTGCACTTCTTTGCCCTGACATTGGCCTTGGGGTGGGAAAGAGCGTTATGAGTTACAAAGGTAGCTACTTTGTCTGTTATAAACCTCTGGTGTTCTCACTTCCACCATCTCACACATACACATACCTCATGGTTTTAAAACACAGCCACAATTCTGTGACACTCCCCACTTTAAGAGGTGGAGGGCTATATTTCCTCTGGTTAAATCTAGACATGCTTGTGACTGCTTTGACCGACAAATATTGGTTAGAGGTGATGTTATGTGACTTCTGAGCCTAAGTCTTAGAAGGCCATTTAGGCTTTGGCTTGTTTATGGGAACACTCATTCTTGGCATCCCAAGTTGACATATCAGATTTACTCTGAGGCCACCATGCTAAAAAGGAAGCCAAAAATATATGGAGAAGCCATGTGTAGACATGCCACAACTTAGCCCAGCCTTTGAGTCACCCCTCCTCTGATGCAAGACTTGTGGGTGAAGAAGCCTCCAGATAATTCTAGCTTCTGGCCATTCAGGTGACTTCTAGTTGTTCACGTCTTTCCAGACTCAGACACAGTGAAGCAGACACAAGCCATACTCAAATTTTCCATTAATGTACTATATTTTAAACCAGAATGGTACTCAGTCCCTGCTCTTAGGGAGCTTACAACTTAGTGGTAGGGAGCCTTAGAAATATCAGGACTCGCAAAGCCTGTTACTCGATCTGAGTGCTGCTTATGTGGTGTGTTCACCTGGCTAAAACTCCATGCACTTCTCTGTAGATACACATTTTATCTTACAAACAAAACTTCTCTTCAACACACATTTTATCTTACAAACAAAACATAGTAGTTTGAAATCCACACATTAAAGCAATCTCATAATCTAAACAAATACGAAGTATCTTCAACTTCTCA
This sequence comes from Homo sapiens, assembly GCF_000001405.40. NCBI lineage: Eukaryota > Metazoa > Chordata > Mammalia > Primates > Hominidae > Homo > Homo sapiens. The sequence goes on from NW_018654717.1 coordinate 2,610,888, forward strand.
CACTGGAATTGTTGGCTGATGACAGAATTCTCTGTCATGACATCTCTATTTAGGCTGTCTCATCATTAGCCTGATCCTATTTACCCAGAAGTCAGACGTGTGTACAGAGGTCCTAAGAAAAAGCTTATTTTCCATGTTGTATTATTATGGGTGGTTTCTAATCAGTTTCACTTCTTCATCTTAGACATTTGGAAAAGAAGAGGCAATAGGATAAAAAGAAATAAATATCCCCTTAAACCAACTGCTAATTTATCTTGTAGTTTGTTAATTTTTCTATTGAAATTTGTCTGAAAGTCTAGCTTCTGACCCATTAAATAAAGATCATTTCTATGCAGTAATCTGACACACCTACCCCCTTAAAGGAAACCTGATAATTGTTCAGAGTGGAGTGGAAGAAAGTTATTGTAGAAAAAGGGTGTTCTTGGCTTGGGACTCACGTCCCTCAGTGCTAGGGAGAAGCAAACACAAATCACAGACTGAGCATTAGATTATCTCGGTGCTATCCAAGTGGACAAAACGTGACAAGTCCTTCATCTCTCGGGGCCTCACTGAGGCTCCGGATCCTGTGAGTTAACCAGTGAAGTGACTTGCTAAAATGTGCGCAGACAGTAGTGGCAGGTTGGACTGGCCTTGTGGCTTCTGGTTCCAAGTCAGTGTTCCTCCCACCACGGAAGTTTTAGGTATTATCCGCTGGAAACATGATTCATCAGAGACAAGTGGTGGGTTAGGGGTGCTCACAAGCGTGTGTGTACAGGGGGGCCGCTGTAGTAACCAGGAATGCCTGACCCGGGGAAACTGTACCTTAGTAATTTAAGCAACTACAAAAAGGTTTTGATATTATAAGGGGTCTACACTACCCACATCCAGGAGCATTCTAGTCTGAAAACAATATTCCTTGTTCCCTAGGTTCATATGGAAAAGCTACTGGACCTTAGATTCTGTGAAACTGACGTAATGTCCTTGTGTTCTGCCTGCTTCAGTCAGCGCAGTGAAACTGCAGGTGTACATCTTAAATACCTGCTCGGTGTGTGTGTGTGTGTGTGTGTGTGTGTGTGTGTGTGTGAGACAGAGTTTTGCTCTTTTTGCCCAGGCTGGAGTGCAGTGACACGATCTTGGCTCACTGAGACCTCCGCCTCCCGGGTTCAAGCAGTTCTCCTCCCTAGCCTCCTGAGTAGCTGGGATTACATGCGCGCGCCACCACACCTGGCTAATTTTTGTATTTTTAGTAGAGGCGGGGTTTTACCGTGTTGGCCAGGCTGGTCTCGGACTCCTGACCTCAGGTGATCCGACCGCCTCGGCCTCCCAAAGTGCTGGGATTACAGGCGTGAGCCACCGTGCCCGGCCAATCCCTGCTGTTTTAATCACAGTTATTCTGAATTAGGAACTTGGTGGGTTTCTCTTCGATGACTATGGAGAGATTTCCGTGGGTTGAACAAGGAACTCCACTACAGCGTCTTGTAGAAAACCCGAGCTGCAGATTCCTGGACCCCGCACGGCGCGGGAGGCGGGGCTGGCAGGCCTGGCCGGGTCTCCCCTCTCTCCAGCCCGCACCTCGGCCGTGGCCAGCAGGGTTTGGCCCCTTGCTTTTCACGTTACCTTGTTCAGGACACGCCTTAAACTGAAGGCACCCTGTGGATGAGGAAAGGCGCAGTGGAACTTCCAGAGACCAGGCTAGAGGGGGCGCAAAGCCAGGAGGCGTCGCAGCGGCTGGTTAGAAGCACTTCCCTCGAGCTGGGGCACTACCGGGGCGCACAGGAACCTGGTAGTCCAGGCGTGAGGTCAGGAGCCGTGCGCTGGGGTCTGTGCCAGCCTCACCCGCCTTGTATGGGAAATGGCTCAGTCCTAAAACTCTGGGCCTTCTGCTTCGAGGGTTGTGTGGAGGCGGGGATGAGCCAGTGAATGGGAACCTGCTTTGCAAAGACTGCCAATCAAGTACAGACAAATCAGCGTGATCAAAGATGGTGATGATAATGACTTCAACCTCTAGCCTGGTGTGAGGATCTAAAAGCAACCACAGAACACTTGCACCCAACGCCTGCGGGCGCTGCCGCGGGCCTCCGGAGCATGCGCGGTGGCTCCGCCCAAGGCAGGCCGTGGGCCCGGGACGCGCCTGGTCCGGTTCAGAGCTCCGGGTTCGCGGCGGGTTCGGAGCAGGTGCCAGGGGTACCGTGGCGGGATTGCCCTCTCCCTCCCCCTCCTTCTCCCCCTCCCCCTCTTCCTCCCTCTTCTCCTCCCCCTCCCTCTCCCCTTCCCCCCAGGGCAGCTGAAATTCTTCCGTTTGGAATAGAATAAGAACAGCTCCTGGAGAGGAAAGTTGTGGAGGCCCGACTTTTTTTTTTTTTTTTTTTTTTTTTGGTTTTCGCCCACTCACGATTTCATATTTCACAACTCAGAAAAGTCTACTAGGAGCTTTTACAAACACTGTGTCAGCCACCTTGTATTATCCCCATTTTACCGGTGAAGAAACTGAGGCCGATAGTAGTTAAGTCAGTTATCAAAATACAAGTGAATTGCAGGAAATTGGAATTGGGGATTTCTGGCTTCGGGCCCTGTGTCCTTGGAAACCAGTGTTCACAGAACTACCGAGCTAAACGGACAGAGAAGGGGGTCGGGGAGAAAGGAGGGAAGGAAAAGAAAAGAAAGAAGGAAGAAAGAGAACATCTTTTAAGAGAGTGCAGTTCAGGTGACTCACGCGGGAGGAGTGAGCTGTGGTGGTGCCGCCAGGCCGGCTGCGTGGAGCACGCGCGGTGTCCAGTGCGCCCCGCGTCACCACACCCGGCCCTGCCTCTCCGCCTCTGCTTGGCGGCCCCTGCAGGAACCCCCAACCGGTCCTGCTGCGGGTCAGAGCCCCGCAAGATCCGGCCCGGTAGCCCTGGGCCTCGACCTTTCTCCTCCAGGTCTTCCAGGGTCCGCGCCGTGATGATTCGCCGCACCTAGCCTCGACCCAAGAGCCGCTGGACCCACCGCTGGCCGCGGCCCCGAACCCAGCGCTGGCGACAGCAAGTGTCGGGATGCCAGGGCTGGCGCCCTCCCCCTCTAGCTCAGCCCTCCGAACTCCAGGCTTTGGGGTCGCGTAGGGTCGGCGCGGAGCTCTAGGACTGAAGGTCGCAGTGACCAGAGAATCGGCGAGGTTATGGAGACCCCGCGTCCCTTGGCGTCGCCTGCACCAGGGCGCGCTCGCTTACAGTTGCCAAGGTGCATAAATGCGTCGACGCAAGGGAATGAAGGAATGGAGCGAGCGAGCCCGGCTACCGCGGTGCTGACAATTTCCAAGCCCCGGGCGGCGCCCGCGTCAGCGCTGGGAAGGTTAATGTTCACCTCCTGGACAGCCCAGGCTTGCAAGCTCGCTGCAGAGGAAAAGCAAGAAACTAAACAAGTGCAGACAATAATCACAGCACGTATTCTCTGGCCCCGTCCCCGTTGTTTTCTCTGTTGTTGCCATCGGTGTCTGGGATCTAACTTGACCATTCCGTGTTCCCTGGGGAGGGCGCATCTTCCTAACCTGGTGCCCGGGCGCGGCCCCACGGCTTTCGCGCTCTGCTCTGGGGCCTTGCAGGGAGGGTGCTACGGGCTGCGGCCGGGAGTGGGGACGCCCGTCGTCGGGAAGGGGGCGCTGTCCCCTCGTGGCCTCCGACCCTGCAGAGCACTGCCACCGCCCTGGAGCTCAGTAGGGTCAGAAAGTGTCGGGGACGAGCTCTTCCCGGGATCCTCCGCCGCCGCTCAATCCCCCCGTGGGACCCTCTTTCTCCCCTTTCTCAAATAGCTCCCTTCTCCTGGCCGGGCGCGGCCCTGGATCCCACGAGGCGCACTCTGGCCTAAGGGTTTTGCTGGAGGCATATGCGGGAAAGGGGTTGGCCAGTGGAAATGGCCTGGGCTTTGCAGGGTTGGGAAGTCCGCCTAGATGGAGGACGCACTCTCTGCAAACGGCCCCAGGTGGGTCCCCCGCCGCTTCGCCTCTGGTTCCAGGATGCTGCCCCAGCGGTGGGCACCCTGTTCTCTGCTCGAGCTGCGCAGCGCGCGCCCCGCCCCACACCCTTGTATTCCCGGCCCACCAGTGCAGCGGTTGGGGCGCACCGGCCTAGGGTGCTGCTACTGAATCCTGGCTGGAAAAGAGGGGCAAACCCAGCCATCTCTTTTGTGCGGAAAGCTAATTCTCGGATGAAAATTGTCCCCGGCTCTAGAGGTAAAAATTAGGACGTGAACACAGAGACGCTGCAGTTCACCTTACACTTGCCGGGTCTTAGCCGTCGGGCCCGTTGCATGTTGCATGCAAGGCATCGGTCGCTGCGCGCGGGGACATTGAAATCCGGACTCAGGCTCACGGGCTTCATGCCTAGAGTTATATTAACATCAAGCATCACAGGCAGGGTTGGAGCTTTCTCTGCATTTATCTCACCGAATCTTCACAACAGCCCCGGAAAGTCAGTCTTATCATTGTCCCGTGTTAGGATTAGGAAAAGAGATCCAGAGAGATGTGACTTGTCCAGAGTCGCGCGTTCAGTCACCTGAACACTAAGGTTCTGACTCCGGACCCCACGGCACCCCCGCACCCCCACAACGCTGCCTCCTTCCAGGATCACCTCTGTGGAGCCCCGCACATGGGTGGCGCTCAGTAAATTTTAAATTCCAGGATCTAGTCAAACCTGCCGACTTTCATTCAGTAGGTGTCTGAGCTATATTTGCTCACTCATTCTGCAGGCCTTGAGCGCCTACTGTGTGCCGGCGCTTATATGAGAGCGCGGGAACAGAGCTCCTCACAGGGGGCCGGGTGACAGGGGAGCTGCGGTGAGCGCGGCCGAGAGATGGCCGTGAGCTCCCAGCCTGCAGTCCCCAGGCTGCACGTGGGCCCGGCGCGCACGGTCGGTCTACACCAGGGTGTGCAGATGAGGGAAACTGGGGGAGTTCGCAGGTCGCAGCGCAGCCAGGGGGGGACGCGAGAGGGCGGGAGCGACTCCACTCGGAGAAGCGGGACTGCCAATCGGAGGAAGAAAGAAAAAATATAAGGAGAAAATTCAGGGTGAGAAGAGCCAGAAGTGAGGGAGCTGGAGGCCTGGACCCGGAGACTGGGTGCGGGTGGAGTGAGAGGAGAAATCAATCAGGTGGCTGAGAACCAGAACGACGGCCTCGCCCTCCTGAGAGCCAGGGGCGGCGGGGGCGTCGAGGAGTCTTGGGTGAGCACTGCACAGAACCCGAGGCGGGATGCGGCCCCCAGCCCCGGCTCCGGCCGGCCTCTGTGGCGGCCCAAGTTGACTGGGGCTGCGGTGGCCGAAGCCCGGTCATTTTCGAAAGGAATGGCAGTCGGAGTATTAAGAACGGCTGCTCTGAGGGGTTCATGGTCAATGTCTCTCACACCCAGGCGGGCTCGGCGAAACCTGGTTGGGTTGATTTTCTGAGGCCACACGCGCAGGGAGGGCGGTGGAGTCTGGCCCGGGCAGGCAGGGGCTGGAGCGGGCCTCCAGCGCCTGCCTTGCGTCTCTGCGGCACCTGCGGGTCCAGGGCAGGGGGCGGGAGGCGGCCCGGGGCAGCCGGGCGCAGATCCCCGGGCGGGCCCTGGCGGCGGAGGGGCGGGCCGGGGGCAGGCGCGGGGAGGAGGCCCTCCCTCACTCCCTCCCTCCGTCCTCCTCCCGGCAGGTCGGAGCGGGGACCCGGCGGCGGCCCGGGACGCAGGGAGGGGACCCGCGCCGACACCGAGGGAGGGGCCGCGCCGCCTTGGAGAGTCATTGGAGGACGCGGCCGCCCGAAGCTGATAAATCAGGGGCCGGGTCGCGGCTGCGGGCCAAGTTGGACGCCCCGACCCGTGCGAGGGCCAGGTCCGCGCCTGCCCCGCCAGGCGAAGCGAGGCGACCCGCGTGCGGCCATGGCTTCGCTGCTGGGAGCCTACCCTTGGCCCGAGGGTCTCGAGTGCCCGGCCCTGGACGCCGAGCTGTCGGATGGACAATCGCCGCCGGCCGTCCCCCGGCCCCCGGGGGACAAGGGCTCCGAGAGCCGTATCCGGCGGCCCATGAACGCCTTCATGGTTTGGGCCAAGGACGAGAGGAAACGGCTGGCAGTGCAGAACCCGGACCTGCACAACGCCGAGCTCAGCAAGATGCTGGGTGAGTGAGCGCGCGGCCGAGCGGGCTGGGGGCCGGGGGCGGGCGGCGGGCGGCTGGCGGCACTGCAGGGCGGGTGCGAGCGCGGAGCCTGGGGAAGACCCGGCACGCGGGACGAGGGCCCTCTTCGTGCCCGCGTGGCTGGCCATCTGCGCGAGCGTGGGTGCTCGCGGTGCCCAGGATTCAGAGCGGGGGCACTTGGCGCGGTCCAAAGTGAAACCGCGCGGCGGGCAGGGAGGCTCCTCTGCTGGGACAGGAGCGGAGATCGGCGCCCCAGGGGGCGGGGAGACGGGGCAGCGGCCAGGCCAGGACGCCTGGCGACAGGGACCGGCGTGCATGGACAGGGCAGGGACGGAAACGTTTGAGGCTGGGTGGAACAGGCGTTTACTAGGAATACCGAAGCGGGAAAAGCCAGCATTCCCTGGACCTTACAATTGGGCCATGTCAGAGGAAGGCTGTCACAGATGAAATTATAATTAACGAATATTCCCGAAGAGAGACCCTGAGGAACGAATCCTTGCTTTAACTAAACAATTAAGAGGAAAACAAAACAAAAGAAAAAGCTTACCCAAATAGACTCGATTCGTTCATCTATTGCTCAGTCTCGAAGGTGTAGATAACTTGATTCGGATGCTTGGGCTGTCCTGGAACCCGCTCTCTTCCTGAGCTGTCCCCGCAGGGACTGGGGACACGGACTCACGAGGTCCAAGAGGTCCAGAGTGAGGCTGTTAGGACACACCCGAACAACCGGAGTTCCTATGGGGGTTTCTTTTTTCTCCGGTGTCGAGCTGAGTACTTTTCAACCCTGCCTTCTTTGCCTTTCGACGAGGTTTTTATTCGTTTTAATCGGCGAAAAACTTTCAAAGCACTTGGTGCACGCAGCGGGAGACAGGCCCTGTAAGAAGGGCACCCGAGGCCGGCTCTACCCTTCCCAAACCCCACCCGGTCCGGAACAGAGCCCTTCCTTTTTTCGTCGGAGTTCAGAGCTCAGGGCTCTTTCCCGAGGCGGAACTTTGGGGATAGGACTGACGCCCCTCTTTCTGCTGGCTAAAGCCGCAGGCCCGCAGAGGGGGTCCCAGGCCGAGCCCTCCTGCGGTTTAGCTGCTGTGCAAAGCAGTTGATGGAGTGCTGGTTGCCAAGGGCCCAGCCTGGTGGCCGGCTGCACCAACTCGCCTTAGTGGTCTGGGGCCTTCTGGGGCCTTTTCCCTCAACAAAAATAGTAACATTTGTATTTTACACAGTGTTGGCATAAAGACAAATGTGTTAATATGTACAATAATAAAACATTTTATTTAACCTGTAAGTTTATATTTTTCTTCAGATTTTAAAAGAAGTGAAAATATGTTTGTTGTGGATCCCCAAACTTTTTTTTCCACGGACCGTGGGCACTGTGCCTGTTGACCCTGCCAACAGGGGGAAGCAAGCCCCTGCTGTGACCGTGACAGAGGAGGAATTCTGTGCAGGCCTGGGCCAGGGAATGGGGAGGAGAGAGGAGCATGGCTCTGCAGAGTTGGGGAAGCCTGCTCCCAGGAAAGGGGCAGGGACAGGGACACAGGAGACAGATGCTTCCTGCGAGTTGGTCCCCGTCGGGGCCTGCACTTCAGCTTCAGGAGGTTACAGTTCATTCTGCAGAAAAGACACAGATTCCTTCCTGCTGAGCCATGTAGCTCCTGGCACTGGGTGAGGGAAACCGCAACACTGGTGCTTTTCACAATATGGACTTGTGCACCTGTTAGTAGGGGGCAGCAGGATGATCCCCTCCACCTGTGTGACATTTCCTTCTCAGCTCTTTCCTTTCTGACCTGAGAGGAAAAGGCTGGATATGCGAGTCTCAACTTTTTCCACTATAAACCTTCCAAACCTTAACATTAAAAATGTGACCTAGTCACACTGGAATTTAAAATATATTATGAATGAGAAAGTGCATAAAGAGCAGTAGACCTTTGGTAGCATTTTTAAATGAACACGTATTTTATTAGTTATATAACATCCAGGTACATTTAAAAGCTACGGCCACATTTTATACTGAGACCACAGACAGAGTATGGGGTGCACCTGCATCTTGGGTCACTTGCCACAGCTTTGTAGCCTCAGCCACAGGCTGGGAACTGATGACCAGCCCTGAATCTGCAGCTCCTAACACTTTCAAGTTGCCCTTTTGAGTGACAGCTAATGATGTTAATTGAAAGCTCCATGGAATTTCTATAAATTTTCTCCCAATTGGTACAATGCCCTTAATCATTGCCCTCCCCTGGCTCTGAGCCCCTGGCCCAAGGAGCCAGTCAACGGAGGCACTGAGGGCTGCTGTGTGCACGGCTCTGCACCTGGCCCTGTGCAGAATGTGCTGAGTGGAACACAGGGCCCTTTCCTTAGGCCTTAACCTCTAGGCTAGCGGGTCTCAAACTTCAGGACACATTAGCATCATGGTAGAACATGTTAAAGTTGTAGAATCCTGAGCCCACCTTAGGAGGTAGCAAAGCAACCCAAGGGGTCCAGAAGCCCCCCACCCCTAGAAACCACTGCAGAAGGGTGTGCAGTGCACACTGATAGATGAGGGAAGATGCCCCGGGAACTTGAAAAGCAACAGACAAGCAAGCAATGGTGAATAGAAGATCAAGCGCAGCCAGCATATTAGCACCAGTGGGTTGCAAGCATGGAATAATTTTTAAAGAGAGAGTTTGGAGCTGGAGAGTGTCACAATATCTTTATTTTATACTGAAGAAAATAGAGACTCTGGAAAGTGCAGGGAATGGCTTCTGCATGGAGATCTGTGGCTAAGCAGGTGCCCTGGCACCGTCAAGGGTCCCCAAAAGATGGCTGGCTGGAAGTGACGGTTTGCATGTATATGTGTGTGCATGCATGTGTCTGGGTGTGCGTATATGTGTTGCAAGCAGATGCTAGCATTCTGGCCTCAGTCATCCAGCAGGGTTCTATTCGACCTTCAGAGGTAAGGAATAGGTATTTGTTAACCTAAGTGAGAATCTCTGATTTACTGACATCTGTGAAAGTATTGACTGAGCCTGGGTTCCCTCCCAGAAAGGGCTGTGAGATTTATGCCATAGGTAAGTATGATAGTATCTCTTTAGCCTGCACTAATCAATGAAGGCAGAGATTTTCATGAGAATACACAAATGTTTAGAATGGACCCTGGAAGGGTAAAAAGAGCCCCAATCAATATCGTGATCATTAGATATTTTCTTCCCGTAGCTGACATATGGTCAGGTGGGCTTTTCACTGGGGACCCCGCATTGTAGTGTGGGCATGCTCTGGCGGCTTTTATATGAGAGGTGATGCTTTCTGTGTGCACCGTGCACGATCTGGCTTTCTGGATGCAAGCAGAGGGGTTGATTTCGCTTCACTGTGCCTGCAGGATCTGGGCTGGGAAGAGGGTGCAAGAGATGCCCGTGTCCTCTGTGGCTGAGAGGGGGAAGGGAGGTGTGTGTGCATGTGCACGTGTGTGTGCACGCGTGTGCATGTGCGATGCCTGCGGGGCACAACACTGAGCATGGCCTCCTCTGCCTTGTGTGAGCAGGAAAGTCGTGGAAGGCGCTGACGCTGTCCCAGAAGAGGCCGTACGTGGACGAGGCGGAGCGGCTGCGCCTGCAGCACATGCAGGACTACCCCAACTACAAGTACCGGCCGCGCAGGAAGAAGCAGGCCAAGCGGCTGTGCAAGCGCGTGGACCCGGGCTTCCTTCTGAGCTCCCTCTCCCGGGACCAGAACGCCCTGCCGGAGAAGAGAAGCGGCAGCCGGGGGGCGCTGGGGGAGAAGGAGGACAGGGGTGAGTACTCCCCCGGCACTGCCCTGCCCAGCCTCCGGGGCTGCTACCACGAGGGGCCGGCTGGTGGTGGCGGCGGCGGCACCCCGAGCAGTGTGGACACGTACCCGTACGGGCTGCCCACACCTCCTGAAATGTCTCCCCTGGACGTGCTGGAGCCGGAGCAGACCTTCTTCTCCTCCCCCTGCCAGGAGGAGCATGGCCATCCCCGCCGCATCCCCCACCTGCCAGGGCACCCGTACTCACCGGAGTACGCCCCAAGCCCTCTCCACTGTAGCCACCCCCTGGGCTCCCTGGCCCTTGGCCAGTCCCCCGGCGTCTCCATGATGTCCCCTGTACCCGGCTGTCCCCCATCTCCTGCCTATTACTCCCCGGCCACCTACCACCCACTCCACTCCAACCTCCAAGCCCACCTGGGCCAGCTCTCCCCGCCTCCTGAGCACCCTGGCTTCGACGCCCTGGATCAACTGAGCCAGGTGGAACTCCTGGGGGACATGGATCGCAATGAATTCGACCAGTATTTGAACACTCCTGGCCACCCAGACTCCGCCACAGGGGCCATGGCCCTCAGTGGGCATGTTCCGGTCTCCCAGGTGACACCAACGGGTCCCACAGAGACCAGCCTCATCTCCGTCCTGGCTGATGCCACGGCCACGTACTACAACAGCTACAGTGTGTCATAGAGCTGGAGGCGCCCCGTCCGGTCAGCCCTCGCGCCCTCTCCTTCCTGTGCCTTGAGTGGCAGAGGAGCCGTCCAGCCACACCAGCTTTCCTCCCACCGCTCAGGGCAGGGAGGTCTGAACTGCGGCCCCAGAGCCTTTGGCCTAAGCTGGACTCTCCTTATCCGAGTGCCGCCTCTATCCCCTTCCCCACGTTCCAGCCCCTGCAGCCCACATTTTAAGTATATTCCTTCAAGTGAGTTTTCCTCCAGCCCCTGAGAGTTGCTGTCTCCCAGTGGAATGTTCACTGACGTCTTTTCTTGGTAGCCATCATCGAAACTAATGGGGGGACAGACTTGATAGCCAAGGTCCCTTCTGGTCCAGTTTTCTGATTTAGGGTTCTCTCAAGATTAATAAAGGAAGATGGGGAAATTTGACTCATTAATGAGCTCGCTAACCTACGATCTGGTGATAATTTTGTGTGCACAGCCCAAGGACCACGAGGCTTTCTGCACTTTCTGCACCCCCTTCCAAAGTGACCACAAAATTTCAAAGGGACTCATACAATTTGAGAAAAAACAGTCAACCTGATTTGAGAAATTAACCAGTATGGCTAACTATATCACAGAAAATGGGATTGAGTTAAAACTATTTTATTTTAAATATACATTTTAAAGCAGTTCTTTTTTTTTGTTAATTTGTTTATTATACACACACTTCAAGAGAATATGCACAGTCTAGGCCGGGCACGGTGGCTCACGCCTGTAATCCCAGCACTTTGGGAGGCCGAGGCATGTGGATCACCTGAGGTCAGGAGTTTGAGACCAGCCTAGACAACATGGTGAAACCTTGTCTCTATGAAAAATACAAAATTTGCTGGGAGTGGTGGTGCATGCCTGTAATCCCAGCTACTTGGAAGGCTGAGGCAGGAGAATGTCTTGAACCTAGGAGGTGGAGGTTGCAGTGAGCTGAGATTGCACCATTGCACTCCAGCCTGTGCAACAAGAGTGAAACTCCATTTCAAGAAAAAAAAAAAAAAAAGAATATGCACAGTCTGAATGTATACCAGGAGTGTGAGAGACACATGCCCACTTCATGCAACTCCTAAACTCAAAGTCTAAATCAGATATTTTTATTAACAATGACAACTTGTTGCCAACTCCCTGTTTCTAATGACCAAAGACCCAGGGTACCTAAAAGGACTTTGCAACCAAGCAAAGTCACTGTCTTCAAATCTGGATACACACTTTCCCCTCTGTAGATTCAAAAGGTGCTTCCTTCCCGGCTGTCTCCAGCTTCCTTACTCTCTTTTCTGGGATTTCTTTTTCTCTTCTTTCTGCTCTTCCTCCACTGCTGAACTGCTCCCTAACTGAAACAGCCCCTGACTTAGCCCAAGCATGCTTCCTTTAGCTGCTGTGAGAATTTGTCTTCCTCACCAGCCAGGTCCTCAGGCAAAGTCCTCAGCCAGTGCTTTAGAGCAACTTCCCGCAAATCAGAAACTCACTGTGATTCCAAAAATGTTTCTGAGCCCTGGACCCCTGCCCCCAAAATATTTTCATCTTTCCCCCAAACCTCCTTTAAAGGAGCATGCATAACAGTGTGCTGAAAGACAGTTGTTGGTTTTTTGATTTTAGCATATTATTTCCTGTATGAAATATGTTTTATATAATCTCCTATTATTTTTATCTTATGTTTTGTATTGTTGATAAATCCTTTTTGTCCTTCTAAGATGTCCTATTGTAAAATCACTTATAAGGTATGATTACTCTTTATGCTATTACTTTATATGCCATTTGGTAATAAATAGTAAATTGTTGATGATATGATTGACTGATGCGCAGTCCAGAGCATGTATGAATAATCTCATAAAACAGTATCACAGACATTAAGCTAAACTGTTTCGTTTTTTTGAAAGAACAACTCATACTTTGGAACAGTTGTCAATATTAATTTGTTGCAAATATTTAATTTAAATAAACATTTTTGTACCATGACTGTTCTATCTTTTGAAATATAGTTTTGCAAAAAGAAAAGGTTTCCAAGCAAGACATAAATGTTACATCGGGTGCTACTTGTGGTATTGATCAACATGTTTTCTACATCGACTTTTTTATTTTAAAAAGTTGTTATCTGGTAGGGATGGTTTATTTTATTTTATGAGTTATGCTAAAGAGATAAATCCAAATTTTACGCATTGGAATCTGCTGTTTTTATTGACAATGAAAGAAAATGTCAACTCATGACCTACATGTAGAACAATTTTCTCCTTGTGACGACTTTACACTCGTAAAGTGGAATGAGGTGACTATGAGGCTGTCTGAAGAAGGAAAGTAAGTTTTGTCTACTCGTTTGCTTACTTAAAACTGTCACAGCTATTTTTTTTTTTTTTTGTATTTTTAGTAGAGACGGGGTTTCGCCATGTTGGCCAGCCTGGTCTCGAACTCCTGACCTCAGGTAATCCACCCGCCTCAGCCTCCCAAAGTGCTGGGATTATAGGCGTGAGTGTGGTGGCAGGTGCCTGTAATCTCAGCTACTTGGGAGGCTGAGGCAGGAGAATTGCTTGAACCCAGGAGGCGGAGATTGCAGTGAGCTGAGATGGCACCACTGCATTCCAGCCTGGTCGATGGAGTGAGACTCTGTCAAAAAAACAAACAAAAAACTGTCACATTTTTTTTCTTCTTTTTGAAATAATCTCGAAACACACCTGTGTTTATGGATGTGCTGTGGAAATATGTCACAGGCTCTCAGAACTCAATGGGACATTGTGGAGAAGGCAGGAGAGCACACAGAGTAATAATGAAAGGATGCAAATCTAGTGAGGGTTAGGAGCAACATCCCAGCCAAAAAGCACTGGAAGAAACTGAGGATGACTCAGTCCCTGTGCAGGTCACCTCTGTCTGGCTTTTGTCCATGGGCAAGCAGTTGTAACTTGCTGGAGTTAAGGGCAGCTGTGTGTTTTCCCAGGCCCTCTGGGCCAAGGAGTGAGTCTTGGGAGAGCCCAAATGGGCATGCGTGTTCCCTTCAGTTCTGATCCTAATCTGTAGTCATTACTTTAATAGCACTTTATAGGTGTGCAGAGCTTTACGGAAAGTTTTATGGGCTGTTTCTCATCCACATCCCCAGGTGGGGCCCGTCATCCACCCACCACGTTGTGCAGGAGGGGACACAGAGGCCCGGGGTGGGCGTTGGCGAAGGGTGGCTGGCTCGTGTGCCATGTTACCTGTGTTTTAGCATCGTCAGATGTGTGTTGGCAGCACTCGTCGGTCTCACTGCTGGAGTTGGTGCTGCCTGACTTTCCCCACTTTACTATGGCATGGAGTCATATGAGGTCCACTTCATACCCATCATGGCCCAGGGAAAGAAAGAAAGAGGAAAGGATATCATAGGCCAGAGTCAGATGACGCTGAAGACCTTGCTATCCAGGCCGGTGGCTGCAGCTACGGCCCGTGCATCTGCAGTGTCACCGGCTGCCTGGAGCTCCTGTCTACCAGTGCCTGCCTGCCACGTCAGCCCGCCACTGCCTCATGGGCATGTTTCATTCCAGGACACACTGTGGGGGCATGGTTTCTGTCTCTGGGAGGGCAGGAAGCAGGCTGACAACCAGGCCGCTCTTCCACTGTGCTCAGCTACGGGTGAGACAGTCGTGCCCAGGAGCCAGGGGCATCTTTGAGTTTTAGTTGCCCATTCTGGCACATCGCTGCCTCTGGTGCAAAGAACATGTCTTGCTTTAGCCAGTGGGAATCAATGGCAAGGCACAGTTAGAAGTTCCTTTTCTGAATCCTATGTGCTGCAGTTCCACACTTTTCCCTAAGGTCCCTCAGCGCCGGCTTGTTGCCCAGGGCACACAGGTAGCACCAGGGTGGGTTCACTGTGGCTCCCACTCTGGGCCCCTAGCTGTGCAGGGTCCTGGGAGGGGCCTAGTCATGCGTTCACATGGCCACTGGTTTGTAAAAACTTTGCAAAAAGGAAAATGCTTTTGTATTCTTTAGGAGTTCCTCACCCCCTGCCCCAATTGTGCAAGCCTTAAACCTCATAACACTGGGCTCAGCCCCCGTGTGAGCACCCCTGTGATTGATCCCGTTCTTTCCAGAAGCTTCTCACGCAACCCTTGCCTGTTGCAGTGTACCCTACCACAGGGAAGCCTATGGGGCCAGGGAAATCCTCGCCTTCTCTCTGTTCCTGTGTTTTCACCAACGCTAATCCTTGATTCCCTGACCTGGGCGACCCTCACTTCTGTCACCATCTGGTGACATCACACTCACTGTCCTAGTCCAGCTCAGACACGCCCAACCTCACTCGGCAGAGCGGCCAGTCACTCTCCTCCCCAGGCGTCCTCCACAGGACTCGGGCAGACCTTGGTTACTTCGCTCACTGCTGGCCCTGGAACCATCCGCCCTGTGCACTCTCTCCCGCGGGTGACCCACAGAGGCTGCTGGACAAACAAATGAATAAATATATAAATTAAAAAACCACCTGGGATGCCCTGTAGGTATGCTGTTAATCTTGGTGGTAAAGACCTGAATGAACCCTTCTGCGTCTCTAAGTTTAACTCCCATTTCCTTGGAAACCAAGACCTTGGGTTCTTTGTGTGTGTCCTTCTTGGGGCTCTGAGGCTGGGTCTGATGTGGCCATGACTATTCTCCTGCACCTGCTGGAGTGTAGCCTGGCAGAATTGGGGTGGGATATGGGCACGGAGACATAGGGAGAGCACTCCTCTCCTGCCCCAGCGTGGAGCAGCAGAAGAGGGCTGAGGGCAGAAGATTGCTGTCATCCATCTAGTCTGCCTTTCCTTTTGAGGAGGCTGTGCTCCTGGTTTCATCCCAGTGAAAGGAATTTGGAAGGGATGGCAGGGCAGGGGGCGGGGGCGTTGGGGGCGCGGGGAGGGGGGAAGGAGGGAGGAAGGAAGGAAAAGAAGAGAGAGACATCTATATGAATCTACTTAGCTGTCTGTCTATATATCTATCATCTATCCATCCGTCCATTCACCCCATCTCTCTCTCTGTCTTTCCTTCTTTAATTATCGTTCCATACACTCCTTAATCCATATACACCCATCCATCAATCCAGCCAGCCATTCAGCTGTTCATCCTACCTTTTTCTTTCTCTTTATTTCTTTATTTCTTCCTTTCTCTCTTCTCTTTTCCTTTCTCTTTTTTCATTTTCTTTCTCTTTCTTTCTTTTCCTTTTTTCTTTTTTCCTTTCTTTCTCTCCTTTCTTCCTTCCTCCCTCCCTTTCTCTCCCTCCTTCCTTCCTTTCTTCCTTTCTTTCTCTCTCTCTTCCTTTCTTTTTCTTTCTTTCTCTCTTTCTTTCTTCTCTATTCATCCATCAACCTACCCACTCATATATCTGTACATTCAGCCAGCCAGCCATATATCCTCCTACCCACCCACACCTCCATTCATCCATCCCATACCTTACCTGCCTTCTCACCCACCCATCTATTATCTATCCATCCATCCACTCTCCATCCATCCATTCATCCATCCATCCATTTACTCACTGATATTTCAATTCTTAAAAGGGACATATAATGTTTGTTAGAAGTATAGAAAAAAATAACATCATAAAGAAAAAAGTAAGTCATCTATTGTCCACAACTTAGAGACACTAATGGTAATACTTTGGTTATATATCTATCAAGCCCCTTTTTCTTTTTTTGATGTAGATATAATGCATATATACATGTCTTTTGTAATAGACATTTTATCCATTAATATTAAATGAACTTTTTTCTATGCCATTAAATTCCATTTTTCTGCAAAAGATGTTCTCTTCCTAGTTGAAAGATTAATATAAAAAAACTGTGGGGGGGGGGGCGGAAAGAAAAACCACCCACTCCATGACCTTTTTTCAACACACTCATGTTTGTACACTGAATTCCCTAGTCCCACATCCATGCACACATAATTGTACATGCTGTGAACATTGTGTAGCTATAGAGGCCACTTGCATTCAGCTTTCTCTGTTCAACATTCTGTTGTAGAAATTTTACCACATTCATATCCATCTTCATATTTATCATTTTTGATGACGCAGAATACCACACTTAATACAGGGGTCTTATTTTACTCGACCATCCCTTTGCTATCAGATCACTAAATTGTTCCTTTTTTGCCATTATCAACAGCACCGCAGTGAACATCTATTGGTTTGCACCCACAGCTGGATTCCCATCAGGGAATCACTGGGTCTAAGCACATGAGCATATTTGCAGGCTTTGCTTCAAATGGTTCGTTGGTTTCCCAGAGTCTGAACTGATAGTCGAAGGAAAAATGACTCCTTTCCATTCCCAGAATGAATTCACTTTTTCTTAACGGGAAGAATTAAAGTCTGAAGACTATTTATAAGACTGCCTTCAATCTGACCGGGCTCCGTTGCGTCACTTGTCCTGGCACCTCTGCCTTCTCCTGTGCTTCCTGACGGCTTCCAATAGCAAATCGGGAACATCCATTTCCCCAGACACCACCGTGAATGACACACTCTTCCTTGGCTTCTGACCCATTTCTACTGCTGTCAGCCCAAGACATGTGAAAGTGGTTTTTATCCTGAGTTTAAGCGTCAACCACTTATATGGGGCAAAGTATTGCTCTATGAGTTACCAAGGCAACTGGATTGGTCCTCCCAGGTGTCCCAGGTGCATGCGCCCATGCTGCTGGCAGCATCCGCAGGTTGCTCAGAGCTCCTGATACAGGGGGAGGATGCCCGAAAACAGTCGAGACCTGGGGGCATGGTCTGGCCCTACCCATCACTGGATTTTAATTGGGACTTGGGTAAATCCCTGGACCGGTTCTGTCATCTAAGGAGGTTATGAGTGGATTCATATGCATTTTAGAAATGGCAGAGCTGTATGTGAATGCATAGGAGGGCTATTGCCTATTTTGGAGTTCTTGAGACCATTTGGATGTTTTTAGGCCTGGAGGCAGATACTAGCTTGAAAAATCCAGAGCCACGTGTTCAGCGATTGTCACATGGTATGGATTGTGAGGGAGAAATGAGGGGAGAGGACCCCCCGAGTAAACTTAATGTAGACTATAGAGGAACACTGTCAGTTTCCTTCTTTGGGCGCAAAACTGGGATTGAAAGAGACCATTTGGGTCCTTTTTTAGCCTATTCTCCTTCCTCTAGTGAGGATGTCCTCTTTGCCATTCTTGGTAGATGGGCTTCTATTTGGCTGGAGAATCCTGAAAAGAAAGAGGAATTGCTGGCCGGGCGCGGTGGCTCACGCCTGTAATCCCAGCACTTTGGGAGGCCGAGGCGGGAGGATCATGAGGTCAGGAGATCGAGACCATCCTGGCTAACACAGTGAAACCCCATCTCTACTAAAAATACAAAAAATTCTCTGGGCTTGGTGGTGGGCGCCTGTAGTCCCAGCTACTCCGGAGCCTGAGGCAGGAGAATGGCGTGAGCCCGAGAGGCGGAGCTTGCACTGAGCGGAGATTGCGCCACTGCACTCCAGCCTGGGGGACAGAGCGAGACTCCGTCTCAAAAAAAAAAAAAAAGAAAGAGGAATTGCTTTCTATAAGTTAGTCTAACAAGCTTCATCATCCAAAAGTCCTTCCTTCCGTCTCACCTAAGTCCCTCCTGCTGCAGTCCAGGTCCATGTCTGCTGACGTCATCTGCAGAGGTTGGAGCAATCCTGGTCCCTGCTGGCTGGCTGCACCCTTCTTTCCCCTGGGGACTGTGTTTGAGCCTCGGGTAGGGCCTGTGGTTTCCTCTAGACCCCCTCTCTGGTGTGCGTTCCCCTTACTTAGAGGCCGAGTGTCGCGTGGATGTGGGGGTGGGAGGGAGGAGATAAGGCTCATTATACAAAGAATGGGAGAGGAAAGTGGGGTTTCAGCAGGGGATGAGACGGGGTGCTCTGCGGGTGCTTCTGGAATGTTCTGCATGTAGGTGTAGTGTGTAGTCATTTCTCAGAGGCTCATGCTCATTCCTGGCTCAAATGGTGTTTGGTTCCCCATCCCTGACCACTGTCCTTTCTTATGGTTACTCATCTCCATCTGTCTGAGTGGCTGTGGGGTGGCGTGGTTCTGGGACAAAGTTGGAGGGGGGACGATAAAACGTGGACAATATTCCACCCAGAAAAGTCACTGGCTTCTGATGAATGAAAGGTCTGCAGCCTCCAGGGGCCTCAGGGAGGCTGGTCATTGGGTTTTAGATGTTCCGATGTTGACACCTGTGAGGTAAGGCTGTGATTTCCAGGCCTGAGAGGTCGTGCAAAGTGGGTGGGTGGCCAGAGGCATCCCTGGCTTCCTGCTTTCTCAGCACAGTAGCTGGTGTTCCCATCCTATCAGAGAACCCGAGAGGGCTTCGTAGCTCCTCCATCCCCATCCCTGGGAGCCACAGAACTTTCTTTTTCTTCATTCCTTTCCCTGAAAAACAGCAGCACCGGCTCCCACAGCTCAGGGCACCGTGAAAGTCATGGAAAGCATGAAACATCATAAGATCTGCAGGAGACAGGAGACTGTAAGGGATCCATCCTGTCCTCCCATCAGGCCATTCGGAGGCATCCTGAGGTAAACAGCAGAGTTGCATTGGTGCCAAAAAGAACCGAGGCTTGAAATTAGAAGACTGTAATCCTTAATCAAGCTCTGTAAGCTTGAAAAATAAAATCACTGACTGTTTAGGCTGGCGGGAGTCACTGTCAAGCTCAGATTTGATGAAAGAGGAAGTGGAGGCCCAGACAGCGAATGGTGTCCTCCCCAGGGCACAAAGCAGAGAGAAGTCGGTGAAGGATTGTGGGGGGAGCGTGGGTGGTAGGGGGAGAGCTGGGGAAGTGGGATCTCCCGGAGCCAGGGTGAGGGCACAGGGCTGCGGAGAGAAGCCCCCAAGGCCGAGCTTTTGGAAGGGCTCTGCTGCATCAGGGTCTCAGCAGGGGGCAGGGGCTGGCAGCACAGCTCCAAAGGTGTAGGGTGAAGCGGGGAAGGGGCCGGGAGTGCAGGCGGGAGGGGATATCGAGGCTTAGGGCTTCCATGTATTTAGGAGTCTTCCCAAGGCCTTTGCTCTCATGCTGCTTGTCTCTGTGGGTACTGGCCCAGGACAGCAGGGCTGAGAAGAGGCTCCGGAGGAGGGGGCGTTCCAGTGTGCACCTGCAGGCCCACCGTGGGAGGGAACAGGTGGTGGCTTCCGACAGCCCGGGCTGGCATAGATGGGTCCAAGGAGCCCACCCCGACATCCCCAGCACCCTAGGCCCTTCTGTCGGTTTTCTGCCATACTGTGACCAGGCTGCAGGGCCCTAGTAGGCGGCGGGTGTCCCAGGGCGCCTGGCAAGGCAGGCAGAGCTAGGGGCAGCAGACCCAGCACACAGCACTCCAGTCTCCAAGGAGGAGGAAGGCTCGCAGGAGGGGCCGGAGAAGGCCGAGGAGCAGTGGCTGCTGAGTGTTTTCCTGCCCATGGGAGCTGCTGTGACCAGGAGCAGGAGGATGTGGCTGGAGCCCAGTGTTTCCTGCCTGATAAGCCGGCCCCTCCCTGCAGAGCCCCGGCCGCCCTACCTTCGCGCCTGCTGAGAGCCCTGCCCAGGGAAGGGCTGGCCCAGGAGGAAAATCACTTCTCCAGATTAGCTCGCTCCGGCCAGCCTTCCTTCCCCACCCTGTCCCAGCAGCCACAGGAAGCCGGCAGGGGCCCAGCAGCCCAGAGGTCCCTGCCTCGGAGCACTCAGCCTCTCTGAGGGCCCCACCACCCCGGTCCCCCCAAGACTTTGGTCTTCTTGCTCCAAAGTCAACGATTTTCAAGGATAGCAGTGACTGCACATCATTTGTCTTTATCAGACCCCCTGCCTGGCATTTGGGCTTAGAAAATTGGTCACTTTATTCATGAAGACTCCATGGACCAGCCTTTTTCCACCTGGTCAGTTGCTGTCTCTGTGGTCACCTTGGAAGGACATCCTCTGAGCTGAGGTTGTGGGCTTTGGATGCAGGCTGGCACAGAGAAAAGGCAGGGGCTGGCATCCCAGGACCCCAACGCCACCCTGGCTCTGCCCTGAGCTGTGTGGCCTGGATGAGTTCCCACCCCTCCCTGAGCCTCGCTGCCCGTCTGTTACTGGAAGGGCTGAGCCACATGGGAGCTCAGGGTCTCCCTCCCTCCCAGAAGCATCAGGAATGATGAGGGGTGCTGGCCACTCCCAAGGGCAGCCCAGAGTCCCGATTCCCGCTGAGGAAGAGGGCGGCGGCTGGAGGGAGAACTCCCCCTTTTCAGTGTCATCTTGGGCTGACCCTCTGGTTTTTCCACTCTCTGTCCTGCCCCTCTAGGGCCAGTCTCCTGCCCTGGGGGATTGGGATGTGTGGCTCCAGCTTGGGGATGGGAGGTGCACAAGATGGAGGGACAAGAGAGGAGGTGGTCAGGAGGCCTGTGTCCGGGAGAGATGCCTGCAGCATCTGCCAAGTGCCCTAGCTGTGAAATAAGGACCGAGGTCCTGGGAGACTAGAAGCCTGCTCAGAGGCACTGTCGCAGATGTGAGCTTCCCCAGGCCTGCGCCAGCTCTCAGACAAGCCTCCTGCCGCAGCACAGCCTCCGATGCGCCCCGGGCCCAAGGGACTCCCCTCAACCTGTAGGTGGGCCCCACCTTCCCTACAGACCTGCCTCCCAAGCCCCACTGACACAGGCACTCCCGCCTTCCTCAGGGAGCTGGCTGTTGGTAACAAAAGGTTCATGAAGGGGGTGTTTACTGGCCAGGAAAGATGAACCTATGCTTGCCTTGGTGACAACACTGGCACGTGTGTCCCCGAGAGCTGACTGCACAGGCACGTTGGAGAACAGGCTGCAGCTCTGCCGTTCGAATCTGCGAGGTGCGGCGTCACTTCAGGATTTCATGCCACCCTCCCGGCAATCCTGACGCAGACATGCTTCTGTCCTTTCACAGGTGGCAAAGCTGATGCTAAGGCCGGGTGAAGTGCCGAGGGAGGCCACACAGCTGGGTGGGCCGGGTCTCCACCGATGGAGCAGCACACACGGCTGGGGAGTGGGAGCCTGGCCCCCAGCTCCCCTAGCCTCCCCAACTCTCCTGCCCCGGTTCAGGCCCAGGAGGGGCGGCCATCACTCGGGCTGCTCCTGGACGTGAGCCTCCCCCATCAGCAGCTAAGCCTGGGGTCCTGAAACAGCTGGTGGGTGGCCCAGAGGCAGGTGGGGAGTTCTCTGTGTAGTGAGACCATCTGCACCCAGGCGTCTGGCATTGGGCTGCCCCTGCTGCCTGTGTCTCCCGAGCATGGAGGGGCGGGTGAAGGAAGGTTGGGGTCTATTTAGGCCTTTTCATCTAATGCTCTGTGGGGCTTTCCACTGTGTGACCTTGGGCAAGTTGCTTCCCCTCTCTGGGGCTCAGTAAATTAAAAGGCAGGACTCGACAGTTTCCAAGAGCTGGAATATTCCTGGTTCTCTGAGTCTGTGAAAAGGGAGAAAGGAAAAGGGGAGGGTCCCCTCCTCTCTGACCCTGGCCTTGGCATGGGGTGGTCTCTAGGGAGGTGGCAGCGGGGGAGTGACCTGGGTGGGGGTCCCACTGCACACAGCCGTCGCAGGGTGAGCCTCAGGTGCTGTGCATGGCTGGGCTGGAGCCACAGTTACTGCATCCAGGCAGGGAACACCTCCCACGACACCATCTCCATCCTGCCTCAGCTGCCCTGGGCTGCTGCCACACCTTCTGTCACCAGGCCATGGCAAGGGGCCCCCAGACACCTGGCCTGGCCTTGTTCCCATGCATAACTGGCCCTGGCCCCGCCTCCTAGGAACTCTGCCCTGCCTTGCCCACATCACCCGATCCCTCCACCCCTCCACCCTGGGTGTTGGACTGGACGGGATGGGGCAAGAGTCCGCTGTCATCTGAGCCCAACCTTGTGGATCCTCATGTAACCCTGGCACTCAGGAGCGCCCTCCCTGCCAGGCTGGGCCTGGTGTGAGGCTGCTGCTGGTCTCCTGTGGGAGGCAGGGGCTCGGTGCCCCATGGACTCCCAAATTCCATGCTTTGAATCCTAACATGACTGTCCGCCCTAGACTGTCACCCCATCACTCACTGGCTATGACCCTGAGTCTCCCCTGTCCCATCCGGCTAGAGAGATGATGCTTCCAAAAGATCTAACGACGTTTCCTTTTTACTTAAAAAGTTTTATCTGTCCAATCCTGCCAATAAGATAAAGCTTAAACTTCACAGGGGGACATTCAAGGCCTTTTATAATCCAGTCCCAACTTACCTGGCCCTCGTCACCTTATGCAGTCCCGATGACACACTGTGTGTTCCAGGCATGGCCAATTTCCAAATAGGATATGTTGCCTCATACCCCAGTGCTTTTGCATAAGCTGTTCCCTCTGGAATACCTTTCCCCACACCTTTTCTCCGTGGGTTCCTGCTCCGGTCTCAGGACCCAGCACAGTGTTCCCCCTCTCAAAGAGCCTTTGCAACAGCCCTCCACCCACTCAAGCCTACCCTCGCCCGGTCCCCAGCCATGTAGTTTGCAGGCCCATTTTCTGTACCTTCTCACAAGCCTCTCACATAGCTCTCACAGTGTCATGATGCAAGCTCTGTTTTTAAGTCTGTCTCCTCCCACTAGTCTGGAAATGTATTTATCTGGGAAAGGCATTTTATATATCTTTCACGCCATGGGGCCTGCCAGGCACATAGTAGGTGTCCAATCAATGCTTGTTGGAGGGTTGAATAGCTACCCAGGGTGCAAACACTGACTGGTCCACCCTCTGCTCAGCCTGTGATCTTAGACCATTTGTTTCATTTCTCTGTGGCTCAATTTTTCTGTCTGTAAATTGGTCCTGCTTTTGGCCAAGAGGTTTCAGATTACGGTGATAGAAGCAACAGGAATGGCTTAGGAGAGGGCCGAGGGTGAGATGTTAATTCCTAATACAATTGACTCTCGATGATCCCTGGAAAAGTTTAATTCTTCACTGGATCCCTGCCACTTCCTGGGCTGTGTCCGTACCCCACCCTTTCCATCAGTCAGGAATGCTATTTGTAACACTGTCCTCACCAAAGTGTGTGATTAGGAAGAAAATATGTGACACATATGGACACACACACACTTCACAAAATCTGGCTCTCCTGTTGACCCCATTGGGACAGGTCCTGGTGGGGCTGACACTGATGATTCATGTTAGGATTTATCTCAGTAAGGAGTAGGCTGCTCACTCTATAGTAATAAGGGTGCTAAGTTCTCTCTGGAAGTAAAGTGGCCCTTCGGTCAGTTATTCTTCCAAGCCCAATTACAAACCTTTTATTTTAAACATGTCGTGTAGGTACACGTAGGAGACTTGTAAGTACAGAGACACAACGAAGAGAAAGCGTGCAGCGGGAGATTCCCCTATCGTCTCACTGTGCAAAGGCATCTTTTGTCAGTATCTTGTTGTACTGCTTCTAGATTTTTTTTTCCAGATGTGTGTGCTCATGTAAATAACTTTCTTTTAGAATGTTGGGTTTGCATTGTTTTGGAAACTTACTTGCTTTTTTTTTTTTTTTTTTTTTTTTTTGAGGTGAGAGGGTGTGATGGTTATATTGAATGTCAACTTGATGGATTGAAGGATACAAAGTATTGTTCCTGGGTGTGTCTGTGAGGGTGTTGCCAAAGGAGATGAACATTTGAGTCAGTGGGCTGGGGAAGGCAGATCCATCCTTAATCTGGTGGGCACCATCTAATCAGCTGCCAGCACATATAAAGCAGGCAGAGAAACGTGAAAAGGAGAGATGGGCCTAGCCCCCCAGCCTACATCTTTCTCCCGTGCTGGATGCTTCCTGCCCTCAAACATCGGACTCCAAGTTCTTCAGTTTTGGGACTCGGACTGCCTCTCCTTACTCCTCAGCCTGCAGACAGCCTGTTGGGGACCTTGTGATTGTGTGAGTTAATACTTAATAAACTCTTACATTTATATATATAGAGAGAGAGATAGAGAGAGAAAGAGAGAGAGAGAGGAGAGAGAGAGAACCCTGACCAATACAGAAGGTCTCGCTCTTGTCACCCAGGCTGGAGTGCAGTGGCGCCATCTTGGCTCACTGCAGCCTCGACCTCCCAGGCTCAAGCGATCTTCCTACCTCAGCCTCTTGAGTAGGTGGGACTACAGGTGTGTGCCACCATACCTGGCTAATTTTTTAATTTTTTGTAGAGACGGAGTCTTGCTATGTTGCTCAGACCCAGGTCTTGAACTCCTGGACTCAAACAGCCTCCCAAAGTACTGGGATTACAGGCTTGAGCCACTGCTCACTTTCTAAATGTTAAGTTCTGTTATTCCATTGAATATCCGTTTCCAAAGAACATGTTTCCCATTCTGCTCACAATCATCCGATCCCCTCCCCACCCAGCCAGTCAGCCCTGGTTGGAAAGGCCTCTCTGGCAGCCTGGGACATAGGGATGCCCACTTTCAATTCCATGCTGGGTACCCAGGAGGGAAGTGACTTGTCTGAGGGTTACAGAGTGAGTCAGCAGCTTGGCCCCAGCTACCCCGAGTGCTGGGAACTGGCCCCGGGTTGGCCTCAGCCTCTGACGTGTGCCGTCTTGCTCAGGGCGGAAACCTGTCTTCCTGGGGAGGAGGGGCAAAGGCCCCGGGGTGCCCCTGGCCTGGAGATGCCTCCCTTTGCTAGAAACTGCACAGGAGGCTTGTGGTGGGCATTTTCCTAAGTGTGTCTCTCCTGTCCAGCTGGATTGTGGCCCTGCAGCATGTGGTCTTCCTGGTTCCTATGCCCCAAGGTGGAGCCCCATCCAGCTCACTGCTGAGGGGAAGGGAAGTGCGATTCAAAGGGGAGCGACCTAGGCCCAGTGCGCAGCTCCTCCACCTTGTTAGCTGAGACCCACATGAGTCACTGCATTCCCCTGAGCCCCGGCTTCCTCATTTGGAGGAATTGGGATCCTGAGACCCCCTCACCCAGTGGAGAGGTGCAATGAATTTCACACTGTGGTCAAATGACTCAAAGCAAGTGCTTGCTCCATAAATGGGCACTTTTCCTCCTGCTTTGTCCTGTCATTGCCCATCTTGGAATCTCAGAGGCTTCCTACCAACTGGACCGGAGCTCGGAGTCTCAGCCTCACATTCAGGGCCCTTGGCTGCATTCCCCCATTAATGATTGTTGGCACCAAGACAGGCTTGGTAGAGGGCATGTGACACCTTGGTAAGCACGTGGCGAAAAGACAGTAGGGCGCGCTGGGCAAAGGCAGCTTTGAGACAGGTCTCTGAGTTCCGATTTTGAACTTGGTGCACAGAAGCTCCCCAATTGCCCCCTTACACAGAAATTCTGGAACCCATGGCTTCCCCTGGCTACCCCCGGCAACGTGTCTCTGACCACTGCCTTTAACTACCTTCCAATCTCCTTCTGCAGTCAGCCTCTGCTTAATTCAGGGTTGGCCCTGCCCAGCCTCCCTCCCAGGCCCCCTGTCCCCAAGTCCTGACTCTTCTGTGATGGGGTTCTGCCTCTTTGTTGGGGGGAATGATCTCCTTATGGATTGAGTGTGGGATATTTTGGCCTCTGGACTTGATCAAACTCCTAGAAGAGTAGAACATTGATCAGTGTGCAGGGTGATTTAGGGAAAGGAGTGGATGGTTAGGTCTGCCGGGCCTGGGGTAAACTCCAACCAGTTACTTAGTATCTAGGGAACAACAGAAATTACCCAGTTCTTATCCATAAAATGAGGATAATGAAATGAAATGCCTGACCCATGGTAGATACTCAATATCAAGAGAGAGACTGCTTTCATTATATTATTTTGTATCCTCCTCTGTGCCTCACGCATTCCAGGGCTTCCACAAATGCTCATGAAATGTGGAAGCTGCCCACTATCAATGTGACAGCCAATGTGACCAACTGGGTCACTGTGAATGGCTGGACCATTGAAAATGACTGGATCAGTGTGAATGACCAGGTCAATGTGATCAACTAGATCAGTGTGATCAACCGGGTCAGTGTGATCGAATGGAACTGTGTGATTGACCAGGTCTGCATAATCGACTGGATTAGTGTGAATGACAAAGTCAGTGTGATCGACTGGGTCTGCATGATCAACTGGAAGAGCGTGATCAACTGGATCCATGTGATCAACTGGATCTGTGTGATTGACCAGGTCTGTGTGATTGACTGGATCAGTGTGAATGATGGGGCCAGTGTGATCAACTGGGCCAGTGTAATCAATTAGATCAATGTGATTGACTGGATCAGTGTGAATGACTGGATCAATGTGATTGACTGGATCAGGGTGAATGACTGGATCAGTGCAATTGACCAGATCAGTGTGATCAACTGCATCAGTAAGATCGACCGGGTCAGTGTGTTTGACTGTTAGTGTGATTCACTGGGTCAGTGTGATCGACTGGATCAGTGTGATTGGGTCAGTGTGTTTGACTGAATGAGTGTGATTGACTGGGTCAGTGTGTTTGACTCAATGAGTGTGCTTGACTGGGTCAGTGTGATCACCTGGATCAATATGATTGACCAGGTCAGTGTGATTTACTAGATCAGTGTGATCGACTGGATTAGTGTGATCGACCAGGTCAGTGTGATTGACTGGGTCAGTGTGATTGACTGGATCAGTGTGATTGGCCAGGTCAGTGTGGTCGACTGGCCCATGACTGGCACCAAAGCAGGCCAGCCTTTGGCCTGCATGAAGTGGGCAGTGCCACCCAGCGGCATTTTTGGACCCGAGTCTGAGCTCCTTTTCCACGTTGACAGCCTCACCCTGTTTATAGGGTCCCTTCTGTGCCCAGTTTCTGAAAAGTTTTCAAAAACTCCTTACAACAGTTTGGAGTGTGGCATTTTGGGGGATGAAGATTCACGAGGAACCCAGGAGGTTGAGTTTCCTATGGGAAAGGCCGCAGTCTTCACATGCCTTAAGCTTGCATTGAGGTGTGACATGGGGGACCTGGGTGGGAATCCAGACCCTGTGTTGCAACCTGCACTGCCAATAACCAAGACAGTGACTTTGGACAAATCCTCTTCTTCCCGTTTTCCTTTTCCTCAGCCAGAGGTGGCTGAGGTGGGTTACCCCTAGGATTCCAAAGCTCTAATATTTTAGGACCCCGAGGTCACAAAACCTTCTAGTCTCAAATAAGTTATCAAATTAATATTTTATTCTAAAATTTCAGGGAGAGTAGTAGTGACTATTTGGGTTGAGGGAAGGTTACCGTTGAGTAATGGCTGGTTGCATTAATTAATTGATTTCTCTACTTAGTTGTTTATTCAAGTCTTCCTTAATGTAGTGTTCTGTGCCATTGTGGCAGGTTAAGAATGGCTGAAAATGGCTTGTCACTCCCTGAGCTGAGAGGTGTGTCTTATTTTCCTACCCTCTTTCCTCTGGGCCAGGCCTTAAACTGCTTTGAAGTGATGCTCTGCCTGTTCTGACCCTTTTCAGGAAACTGTCAGCTTCCGTTTCCTCCTTCTTAGAACCCAACTGCCATGTTGTGAGGAAGCCCCAGGCAGCCACATGGAGAGGTCCATGTGGGAGGGAATCAAGGCTCCCCATCAACAGTCTCTGTCAACAACCAGCATCAACTTGCCACCACAGAGGCCAACTATCTTGGAAGTGGGTCTTTCAGCCCCCTTTGGGCTGCCCTAGCTGATGGCATGTAGAGCAGAAATGAGCTGTTCACATGAACCCTGCCCAAATTGCAAAATTGTGATTGTTGTTTTATTTATTATTATTATTTTTTGAGATGGAGTTTCACTCTTGTTGCCCAGGCTGGAGTGCAGTAGCACCATCTTGCTCACTGCAACCTCTGCCTCCTGGGTTCAAGTGATTCTCCTGCCTCAGGCTCCTGAGTAGCTGGGATTACAGGCACATACCACCACACCCAGCAAATTCTTATATTTTTAATAGAGACAGGGTTTCATCATGTTGACCAGGCTGGTCTCGAACTCCTGACCTCAGGTGGTCCACCTGCCTTGGCCTCCCAAAGTGCTGGGATTGCAGGAATGAGCCACCATGCCTGACTGTGATTGTTGTTTAAAGCCACCGAGTTCTAGGATAGTTTGGTATGCAGCAATAAGTAACTAACACAGACAGAGCTCATGCTGGCATATGGGAACACAAAGATGAAGTCCCGTGTCTTAGCCTAGGTTTCTCCTCAAAAACAGAACCCGACACAGGTTTACTTATAGTGTGGGGTTTCTTTGGGAAGTGATCCAGCAGTAGCAGGAATGAGGACCAAAGACAGAAAGAGAAGAAGGAAAAGCTGATATGAGGTGTAGTATCCCTGAGTGGTCCACCACTGTGATTGACTGGGACTTGGTCTCTCTGGGACCTTTCGAGGAACATAGAGCTATAGCTCAGAATTGTACCCCTAGTGGGGTGTGGTAGCTCATACTTGTAATCCCAGCACTCTAGAAGGCTGAGGCAGGAGGATCACTTGAGCCCAGGAACTTGAGACCAGCCTGGGCAACAAAGTGAGACCCTGTATTTACAAAAAAATGCAAAAAATTAGCTGGGAGGTGGGAACTCAGTGTCCAGAAGGAACCCCTGGCTGCAGACACAGTTCCCCTTTTCAGAGAACTGTCAGCTTTTGTTTCCTCCTTCTTAGAACCCAACTGCCATGTTTTATGGAAGCCCAAGCAGCCACATGGCTGCCAAGCAGGCACATATAGGGAAAATCAAGGCTGTAGTCCCAGCTACTTGGGAGGCTGAGCTGGGAGGATAGCTTAAGTCCTGGGAGGTCGAGGCTGCAGTGAGCTGTGATCTCGTGCCAGTGCACTCCAGCCTGGGCAATAGAGCAACACCTTGTATTAAAAAAAAAAAAAATGTCCCCCTGAGGGAGAAAGGGAGGAGCAGTTGGTCACGGGCTCCCACCTCCCATTGGCTGGGTCATTCTATGGAATGCTAAGCTCCCTGCACCCCCAGGATGTGCAGGAGAAGACGCCATGTTGGCTCCTGATGGTGCCCCATGCTATGACATCAAAGAAGTCACAGGAGAGGAAGCAGCAGACATTTGGCATAGACTTGAGATGAGTGCTGGCCATATGCAGTGGGAGGAACCTATGTGGAACAGTTTTCTCTGACCTTGGCTGGAATCAGAGGTGAGGCCAAGAAGGTAGGAGGTGACTCACAGAGGGGTTGGGGGTGACAGGGACCTTTGAAGACCTTGCAGACTCAGGTTTCTGCTCTGCACATGAAGCCACCTGGCTATAACTGGCTGAGTCTGAAGGCAGGGGTTCCTTCTGGGCAGTGAGTTCCCACCGCCACATTCAGAGTCTGAATGTGAGTATCCCCAGGACACCCATGACGCCTGGCTGGTACTGTCCTGGAGGCAGTTGCCACTCGCTGGTTAGTGCTTCCTGCAGAGTCCTGGGCAGCGCCAGCCAACTTTTACCTAGAGCTCTGTTCTTTTGCCAGAAAAGTTCCAAAGCCTTCGTCTACCTGTCTAGTCTAAACCCATTCACATCAACATCTGAGGCATTTGGAGTCCTCGGGAAAAATACACTCAGGCCGGCTGACTTGAGAAGCCCTGGGCAGTGCCACTTCCTCAACTTTGTGGGTCAAGGGAGGTGAATTTCCAGATTCTGTTGGAAACCTGAAACCCACAGCAAAGCCAGCCTCCTGAGAAACACTTCTGAAATTTTGGGGCCTGGATAACACAGCCTCATGGTATTGGAGGTTTGGATTAGGTTTAGAAACCTATGTTTCAGTTCCCAGGTGCTGGGAGCCATGTTCTTAGAATATTAAGCAGGAAGGACACAGGGTTACCTTGGTTCTCATTTCAAAAATCTGGGCCCTGGGAAAAACATGTATTCTCTCAGCCTTTTGAGTAGGTAGAAAAGCACTTAACAGGAAGCACCAGAAAGCCCTCTGAGTTCTTTGGGGGACACATCTTAAGCAACACCATGAGGCACGCTGATGATGAAATGTTCATGGGTGAGAGTCGGACTCAGTGCATTTTAGTAAGGCCAATGCCCTCCTGAGCCAAGTCAGAGGACATTGCTGTTGGGGCAGGCATTTTCTGAAGAGGGCACTATAAGGATGGTTAACTTCTGTTTTGTTTTGCTCAAATTCCTCATTTGACTTTTCGTGTGCAAGTTCTCAGAGAAGAAGTTCTGCTTCTGAGTCCGGAATAGCTTTCCATCCAAGAGTGGACACTGTGGTCTCCCTCGGAGTCCAGAACAAAAGGGTAGCTCGTACCCAGGGGCCATTACACAGGTGGGCAGGGTGACGGACTTGCCCAGGGCCTGTGTCCTTGGAGGCAGTGGATGGGGCAAGAGCCCTCATCTGGGGGTAAAAGATGTGCTTCTGTCTGGGGTTCTCCCACTGTTAGTCAAGTGACCTTGAGCAATCCTTCCATCTGTCTGAGCCTCAGTTTCCTTGTCTGTCATGGTTGAAGCATTCTCTGCCCTGCCTGTCTCACTGACCTCAGTCAAATACTGGGTATGTGCGCATCGGCTCCCACAACCAAACGCTGGAAGACGGGTGGAGCTGCCTCCAGGGTTACTGGATTAAGGAAGCAATCTCTCAATCAATCTCTCCTCTCTTTTGCTTCCCTTTGCCTGTTGGCTTCTTTCTCTCAACGCTGGTATCACAGCTACAGGCTGCTCTGGCCTCCTGCAATCCTTAGAGCTTCAAAACCAAAAGGAAGAGAACCCCAGCAGCTGTAGAAAGAAACCCCCCAGAATCACTCATCCTGGCTGGGGGTGTGGTGGGTGGGTTGAGGATGGGATACTTTGATTGGTCCAGCTTGGGCCATGTGCCCATGTCTGCTCCAATCACTGTGGCCCAGGGCAGTGGAGCACGATGATTGGTCCACTTGGGGAAAGGCTCACCCCGTGGCCAGGGGACGCACTGTGACCGGGAGCCCGCATCAGAAACACCAGGCTGCCCCCACTCCTTTAGGGCACTGATGTGTCTTTTCTGTGTCCTTACATATGTGACCCATCCCAGTATCCGACATGCAGTAGGCACTTTCTACATGTCTGTGGAATAGCGTTGACAGTGAGGTTTCTGACACTCCAGAGTTACTTGAGTTAGATACCTGCTTCTGGACTTCACAGCACCCATCCCTGTTCCCAAGTACTGCTTATGTTCAATTGCTTGTTAGTGTCCTGCATTAAAACGTGAGCTCCTCAAAAGCAAGGACCTTGTCTGGCTTGTTTACCGCCGGGTCCTCCGTGCCTGACAGCCTCTGGTACAGATAATTGGTCAATTAATGTTTGTGAAATGAACATCAACTGTGTGTGAGCCTCAGTGTCTTGACAGAAGGAGCCTGACTCTGCCCTTTCAGGTCGCCCAGCGCCTTCTCCATCCCTCTCCATCCTCACTTCCAGTTTCTGATACTCTGAGTGCAGTTATGACTTAATGTATGCCCAAGAGCCAATTCTAAATACATTTCTGGCCTTAGGTTCTGTTGTTTATAAACACTAGTGAGACCATTGCTTTGACAAAGGTGCTAAGATCTACAAACATTTATATTTGTGTAATCATCTTAAAAATGAGTACTTTTTAATGTTGAACTTCTTAAGTGAAGTTCAAATAGTATTTGCAGTAGTGAGAGGTGTTTCATCTGCACCAGAATGAATTCTCAAAAGCTTTACTTTGCCAGAATTGGATGAATAAACTGAACCATTATTGGAATTGATTGATGTTTCAATCGATGCATCTGGTGACGCTAAAACTGGCGTTGTTTCACCATATGTTATGTGAAATTCTACTGAGATGCTATCCAGTGAATGACCACTGCTTTATTTTCAGCTTGCATATAAGAAAACTTAGAATACAGAGCAAGCTCGATTTTAAACTGCCACCTGCTCAGTTGCCCCTGTGCATGTTAAATTGTGGATTCCAGATTCTGGACAGGCTTCTTCTACATTTTTTTTTTTTTTTTTTTTTTTTAGGTGGTGTCTTGCTCTGTCACCCAGGCACTGGCGTGCAGTGGTGCAATCTTGGCTCACTGCAACCTCCACCTCCCGGCCTCAAGCGATTCTCCTGCCTCAGCCTCCTGAGAAGCTGGGACTACAGGCACGCTCCATCAAGCCTGGCTAATTTTTGTATTTTTAGTAGAGACAGGGTTTTGCCATGTTGGCCAGGTTGATCTCGAACTCCTGACCTCAGGTGATCCACCCGCCTCGGCCTCCCTAACTGCTAGGATTACAGGCACGAGCCACCACGCCTGGCCTGGATAGGCTTCTCAAAGTTCCTATGAACCTTTGAGGTAGCTGCTGACGCTTTTTGAGCAGATTTCTCGGTAGTCAGTGGCATTGCTGTGGTTCCTGGCAGATGGTAGATGCAGAGAACAACTTTGTGCATGTTACAGTTTCGTCATTAACTTTCTTAAAAAAGAGAAAGTCATTATATTTACATTTTCATTACTCAGGCACTTTCCTTTTTTGTTGAGTTCATTGCTACCAAAAGGGTTTATTGAAAAATGAAAATGCAGTGGCAAACAATAAGATAACTAAATCGCTGTAGCTTTGTAGCACGTGGTAAGTGGCAAAGTCAATGCAGCAAGGCCATGGGGACTCCCCTCCGTGAACTCTTCTTCCTCCCAGCTCCTGGACATACTGCCTATGTGCCTGGCTTGTCTCTCTCACTTTTCCCACTGACCCCAGAGCCTGGTGGCTTCATGCATCTTGTGGTTGTGCAAGTGGCTGAGGCACTGAGCAGTTGGTGGGAGCAGAGGTGCCGCGTCCTTCTCTCAGCACTACCACCACGGGAAGAGCTGGCTCTCCTCAGTTACTCATGTCTGCCTGCATTTCAGTGCCTCAGGAATGGCCCGGGCGCTGTTTTTGAAGGGTTCCACTGAGTCAGGAGAGTATTGGGAGGGAGAGGCAGGTCAGCGCTCTGCCTCTTCCAGTTGCAGCCTCAAGTGTAGGTGAGAACTTGCTCACCACACACCCCATGTGCCTACGCACCAGGAGAGTCCCACACCATGACATGCAGTCATGGCAGGAGCTGAAGCAAAGGTGGGGAGCTACCTACCTCCCCCAGCTTCTTTTAGAGCAAGTCTTCAGCGAACTCCACTAAACAATGCAAAGCTGGGGTGCACGCCAAAGCAGGCCCAACACTGGGATAACAGGAGTCACCCAGGACAGACCCAGAGAATGCAGAATGTATGGTCCCTTTATCCACAGGCTCTAGCAGGTATTCCGGTTTCAGATGGATTTGAGGACAGTTTCTCAGTTTGGGGTCTCCACTTCTGGGTGGTGTGAGAGTTTAGGCCTTGCATGAGTAGGGGGCATGGGTGGGAAGTCCACTGTCCCACCGTTGTCTTGGTGTCTACCCAGTGTCTGCTGTAAGACGGTGCTCCCTGCTGCTGCCTCAGGTGGGTGGGAGGGAGGAGTTTTCCCGTGGGACCACCCATTTGCTATTCTTAGCTTGAGACAGAAAGCCCAGTTTTGACTTCCACAGAGGATGAGGCCCGAGGCCCGAGACCTTTCCTCCACTCGCTGCTGTGGCTTCCCTCCACATTTCTGGCCCTGTGACTCTCCCAACTCCTCCCGACCCCTTCATAAATACAGCTCAGCTACACAGAAAATATATGTCTACCATGCACCACACCCGGGACTCCTGCAGATGCCAGTGGGGGCTGAGGGAGGAGGGCGGCTTCTCACACTGGCTCAGGACTCCATCACCTGAAATGCAATTCTTCCCAAGGCCACTTCATTCACTTGTGGGTTTGGAAGGCCTCGAGATCCAGCTGGGCCTGTCCTCTCCTCCAACCTTGCCCCTCAGATGATGCCAGGCCGCCAGGCCTCCTCTGCTTATCCTTGAACAAATGCCACCAAATAGTCATGGAAGTCATGTGGAAGTTAGCAAGGAGTGGGTCTCTGGCACGTGGCTTGGGTAGAAGCTGTACCCACTTGCCCCTCCACCAGCTCCCACACGCACATGTGAGTACACCCATCCACGCTGGCTGTGAGGGTTTCTGGGACCCTGGTGAGGCCCTAGACAGAATCCGATGGCAGCTCTCACACTTCCCTCAGGACCATAATGGTTTCATCCATACAGTAGATATAGTTGTTCACAAGTGTTTATGGAATGAAAGAGGAAGGAAGAAATAAAAAATTTAAGAAACTCCCTGAACCTCCTTCCTCTGTCCCAAGAGGTATTAGGCAGTACATCAAGTTTCTTGGGGATCAACACACCTGGCCATGGCATCAGGGTGAGATGGGAGGAGAGTCTCAGGTACAGCTCCCAGCAAGGCTGCCTCACCTGCTGGGGGGTCCTGTGTCCTGGACTTCTCTGCCAGGGCTGCAGAGGACTGCTCTGCTCCTTCTGCAGGGCACCCTCGCTAAGTCCCCCAACCCCCTAAGGCAGCTGACTCTGCCTGGAAACACAGACACCAGGCACACCTCAGGTGGCACAAACTAGAAAGTAGGTGGCAAAGGAGAGATAGGCGGGATGAGCTAATGACATGAGCCTGCCTTATTGGGCACAAGGGGTGCAGCAGGCAGATGGCAGAGCAGGGCAGGGGCAGTCTCGGGCTTGGGAAGAGGCAGTACATGGTGACCCCCTCACTGTTCTGATTTTGAGGGCCACAGTCACCTGTCAAACCAACAGCTCCAGGACGTGTGCCGCTATTTGCATGAGAGGCATGACGCCCCTGGGAAACAGCACGGAAGCAGGAGGCTTCTGCTCTCTGCTGTGTGACTTCGAGTAGGTTATTTTCCTCCTTGAACCTTGAAACCCTTGACACATGGGAATAGCAAACCTCACCTTGTCTTTCTCCTAGGACGTCTTAGTGAGAGAGGACCAGAGACACCATCCCACAGCACCTCTACTCGACAAGATAGAGAGCTGGGGCCCAGAGATGAAAGGGACACAGGCAGCATCACACAGCAGATCCACAGCAAAGCGGGCTCCAGGCCAGGTCTCCGACCTCTGGGACAGCACCTGCCCCCTGCCTGAGTCCAGACAGTGCAGATGCTCCTGGGAGGAAGAGTTTTCTAGAGGGCACATGGCTCTGGGTCCTCTTGTGGGAGACCTGCGGGCTGGACTGCATGCAATGAAGCCTGTGGTGGAAATGTCAGGAGGAAGAATCCTAGGATACATTCTCCTTACATGGCATGGGATTCCGCAGAGGGCTTTGCTGGTGTGTGGGGCACCCTCACTCTTACTGGCTTGCCCCCATGGGTGGCTCCATCTTCAGCGGAGCTCAGGCTTGTCAGCATGTGAAAAGTACCCCCAGAGCAAAGCTCTGTGCTTAGCAGAGGTCCACAGCCATCTCTTGTCACTCAGAGGAAATAATTTGGATTGGATTTTAGGTGGTAGCAGGTAGTTTCCAAGACAGAGACCAGATGATGGCATGGGTTTGTTTCTTTTAATCACAAGAAGTCTCTCTGTGGGTGCTGAGCTCACCGTGCCGCAAGGCTCATGGTTATGGGTGGCTGGTCCCCAGTCAGTCTCGTGTGGCAGTCGGGACCTTCTACTTCCTTGCCTTCGCTTTCTTTCCTTTGCTCGCTCTTTGGGGCTTCAGGGCTTCCTCCTGGCCTGCGTGGCTGGTGATGGGGGGCGGGATAGGGGTGGGGGCGTTGAGGTTCAGAGTCTTCTTCTGAAGCTTCAGGTCCAAGATGGCGAATGTGTTCTGGATCTGGCGCTGCAGCAGCTCCTGCAGGAGCTCCATCTGGGTGTGGACTGCCTGGCAGATGAGGCTCTCCAACTCCTGGAAGGAAAGGGGAAGGCCGATGAGCAGGGCTGGGGAGCCTCGCCGGATCCAGTTCTCAACTCAGCCCCTGTTGCAGGTACGAGAATGTGTCCACTGTCCATCCGTCTCACCCTGCCCACGGGCCGTGGTTGCCTGGACCTCTGGCTTCTGGTTGACTTCAGCCAACTAGGGGCGGGAGGTCTGAGGGTGGGGAGGTCCTCATCTTCTCCTGACTGGCTGTGGCCTGGCCATGGCCACGGACTATGGGTAGTCACATTCCCTGTCCCTCAGCCCTTGCCTATAACTAAA
Source organism: Homo sapiens (assembly GCF_000001405.40). NCBI lineage: Eukaryota > Metazoa > Chordata > Mammalia > Primates > Hominidae > Homo > Homo sapiens. The sequence goes on from NW_018654717.1 coordinate 2,647,250, forward strand.
GCTCTCTTTTTGGATTCCAATAGTCATTCCCTCCCTTTTCTTTTCTTGCCTAGAGTGACGGCCAGGCTGTTTGAGTGTGTCATTTGTTCTGGGCCCATCGGCCAGTGCCATATTTCCTATAGACCCTACCTCCTGGTCAATGCAGGCTCCATCTGGATACCCTGGGCCCCCACCATCCTCATTCTCACCTTTCAAAGTTCTAGTGGTAGCTTCATGGGAGGGGACAGGGGAAATTGCTTCAGAGAGTGGGTGTGTCCTCCACCCAGCCAGCCATAGGAAGAATGGAAATGCAGCCACTGTCCACCCATCATGTTAAACAGGAAACCCTGTTGGTCAACTCCATCAGAGTTATAGCCCACAGAGCCTGGATACATGGACCACGTAACTGTGTTTCTCTAGGTTCCTTGCCCGAGCAACCACACAGCATAGGAGCTATTGTCAGGGGACACACTGGAAGCAACTGGTTGGATGTAGTGCATTTCTTTGAGATCTTGTATTCACTTAAAAGATATGCAAAATTGTGCATTTGCCCCAGAATATCCTCTTGTTGTTTTTGTAGAAAACAACATTATTGGGGAAGGTTGTGCTATAAGAGAATGCGTGGTGTTTTTTGTTCTATGCCCTTGAGTGCCCCATCTCAGGTGCATAGCTGGGGCACACAGTGTAGGAGGCTCTGGCTCACCAGCTCCACCAGGCAGGGGCCAGCAGTGCCATGCTGGAGGCTGGGCGGCGAGCTGGGAGGAGCAGGCAGGAACAGCTGTGGGAAGTGCAGGGCAGTAGGGGCCACTGTGGCCATGCCCCACCCTGCTCCGTGTGCTAGAGCAAGGTCCCTGCAGGGGGCCAGAGACATAGACTGTTGCGTGGGTTTTGTTGGGTCTTTATTGAATGTCTTCGTGAACTAAGATCACATGGCCCCCTGATGTGCTATTTGTCTGGAGACTTATCCTTGGATGAGCACCATCCAGGCTGCTATGCTCATTGCTCTTTAGAGATTTTCGTGTGTGTGTGTGTGTGTGTGTGTGTGTGTGTGTGTGTGTGTGTGTGTGGTGTGTGTGTAACCCTAAAGGAATACTTCCCAGGGCCATTTGCTCTTCAGCTGATGATTCAGAAATCAAAATCCCTTGGAACTCACAGGCCCTGCAACTCCCCCACTCCAATGCCTGAAACACAGGCACATACATACACACGCACATGCAAATACTTGTCTCTCAAAGTATGTTCAGAGATGATGCAACAATGATGACTTCAGTGCCTATGTATAGCTAAGAAACTAATGTAGGCTTGGCCAGGCCCTCAAGAAGTCAGCTACCCTGAGGCTGGGGTCGTCATGGTCATTGAAGAGCTGGTCGTGGGAAATGCTGGCAGCTAGAGCCCCAGTGGTCTGGCAGAACCTCCAAGAGGGCAGCCCAAAGTCTGAGATCCAGGCACCGGATCCTCCTAAGTCCTCCCTGGGCCCCAGCTCCAGCCTTTGTCTCCCTGGTCACATGACCCTCCCCAAGCTGTCCCCATGTCCCTGCCTCCTCCATCTTCTCCCCCATCCTAGGGGCATGCCGGCTCTGGATAATCTGCAGCAGTTCCAAAGCTGGAGTCTTTTTCCTGCCTCTCTTGGTGGAATCTGTCACTGACCAATGACACAGAGGAAGGAACTTAGACTTCAGGGTCAGCCAGGCCTCAGTCCAAATGTGAACTCTACCATATGCTAGCTTGGTGACCTTGGCGAGTTAAAATGTTCTCTGCGCCTCAGTCGTCTCATCACTAAAATAGGGACATGAATTTCTACCTTTAGTCTACCGCGAAGCTCGTGGTAGACTCTTGATTCCTCCCTGCATCTCTCCCCCTCCCCTGTGTGCCACTGAGGAGCTCCCATCTGCAGTGACTCCAGCCCTGGCTGGTGTCTCTGCAGGCCCAGGTGCCCACCCACGGCAGGGGGGCAGAGCCTCACCTGTCTCTCCAGGACCTGGCCGGGCTGCGCAGGCGCGGCGGCAGCGAACGCCTTCTGCAGCGAGTTCTCCCGCTCCAGGCGCAGCGCCTCTTTCAGGAGCAGCACGTCGGCGCGCTTCTGTGCCTCGGCCTCCGTCAGTGTGGCCACCTGCTGCTCGTGGATCCACAAGTCCCTGTCCATGCCCTCGGCCAGCGGGAGGGGATGGGGTGGCATGCACACCTCCAGGTGGGCAACGGTCAGGTCGACCTGCTGGTCCTGGCCCAGGACATACTGGTAGAGTTTGTAGTGGCGGATGAAGGTGTGGTGGAAGTAGTCACAGAGGGCCAGCAGGTGGGTGGTGTTGAAATGGCCCCGGTAATCTCTAAGCTTGTTCCCCAGGATCGTCACAGCCTCAGTAATGGAGCAGCCTGTAGGCACAGGGGCCAAGAACAGAGTGGGAGTGGGACAGAGCTGCCCTGCCAGGCAGTGGATGTGGGCTCTGCACCCCGACAGCCTGGTCACAGAGCCCATGTCCCCACTGCATTTTTAAAAAATATTTATTTCTATTTATTTTTTTTGAGACGGGGTCTAACTCTCACCCAGGCTGGAGTGCAGTGGTGCAATCGTAGCTCACTGCAGCTGCAGCTCGCTGCAGCCGCCAACTTCCAGGCTCAAGAAATCCCCCTGCCTCAGCCTCCTGTGTAGCTGGGACTACAGGTACATGCTACCAAACCTGACTAATTTTGTTTATGTTTTGTGGAGATGAGGTTATCACTGTTTTGCCCAGGCTGAACTCCTGAGCTCAAGCGATCCTCCTGCCTCGGCCTCCTAAAGTACTGGAATTACAGGTGTGAGCCACCATGCCGGCCCTAACTGCAATTCTTATTACCATGCATTAGCTTTTGAAAGGTATCGAGTGTACCACGTTTCTTTTTTTACTTGCAGTAACTTACACTTATCCCATTTATTTCTTATATGATTACCCCAGTATAATCATGTAAATGTGATTATATGATCTCAGTATAATCACATTATCATTACCAGTATTTTGTCTTTTTTTTTTTTTTTCGAACTCCTGGGCATAAGCTATCCTCCCACCGTGGCCTCCCAAAGTGCTGGGATTACAAGAGTGAACCACCACACCTGGCCAGTATTGTGTCTTTTGATGCCTGTTTTAAAGAGTTACTTTCGCTGTGCTTTATCTTGTTTCTACTTCTAACTCTTTAGGAAGGAGATGAGAATGTAGAAAAGGAATTCCCATAAGAGTGGAGTAGGAGGCAGTGGGGCGTGATGGCTCACACCTGTAATCCCACCACTTTGGGAGGCTGAGGCCTGTGTATCACTTGAGGTGAGGAGTTCGAGACCAGCTTGGCCAACATGGCAAAACCCCGTCTCTACTAGAAATACAAATATTAGCTGAGTGTAGTGGCAGGTGCCTGTAATCCCAGCTACTTGGGAGGCTGAGGCAGGAGAATTGCTTGAACCCAGGAGGTGGAGGTTGCAGTGAGCTGAGATCGAGCTACACTGCACTTCAGCCTGGGAAACAGAGCAAGACTCCATCTCAAAAAAAAAAAAAAAAAAAAAAAGAAAAGAAAAGAAAAGAAAAGAAAAAAAAAGAGTGGAGCAGGCAGTGATTGATTGATACCCAGGCCACTGCTGTGCTGGTGGCTCATGTTGCAGAGTTGGGAAAATATTATTTACCCCATGCAAAGGATTGGCTCTGAGGGCAGCACCAAGGGCAGTGCTCCTTGTGGGGGTGACCCATCTCCCCACTTCTCTCCTCCTCTCCCCTTCACTCCTCCTGCTCACGACTCTTTCAGGTGCTCAGCACAGTGGTCAGAGGCAGGGCTCTCCCATCATCTGCTTGGGTCTTGACAGAGGAGGTGGTTCATGAAGGGTCGTGACTGAATTACATGCCTACCCTGGTGAGCAAATGAGCAGACACCAGGCAGAGAGATAGGCAAGTCAAGGGCAGCAGAAGAGCATGGCCCAGGCGTGGAGACCTGGGTTCTCGCAGACACCGTCCTGGAAATGTACTGTGGACTTGGCCAAGCCTCTTCTGCTCTGTGACTCAGTGTCCCCCTCTGAAGAATGAGGGCTTGGGCCAGGCGCCCACCAGATCATGTGCTTTGGAGAATTCCACAGTTCCTTCTGCCGACAATGAAAGTAACATGCTGTAGGCAAGGAGCCGGGCTTTTCCCCGAAGTAGGGGACCTGACTTGTCCACAGACTCCTTCCTTTTCTCTTCCTTCATGTGAGCCCTCCATGGGGCCCTATGCGGTTTCCCCACCCCCAGCTAGAGTGCTCCATGCCCCTTCAGCAGGGACTGTCTCAGTCTTGCCCACGAGGTTGTTTTGAAGTCTCCCCACCCCCCATTCCCTTCATGTTTCCTCTTGGCTGGTCACTGAGGCTGTCTTGCTCTGTATGGAAATATTCACCTTGAATCTCCCCAAAATACCCAGGGGGTGGAGACATCATGGTCTTGGGAAAATATTAGCAAAAGGGGCACCACTCCACTTGGAGCCATGTTAGGATGTGCTGGGAGTGACGCCTGGATTCTGGCAATCTCAGCCTCCAGGGGGAGGGAAGGAGGGACTGCTCCATCATGCAGAATCACAGACTGGAGGCTGTACTTCTCCTTTCTGTCATGGCAAACCAGCAGGCTTGGAGCCCAAGGGTTACACTCCTCTCGGGAGGGTACTGGGTTTGGAGGTCTGAGATACTCTGTCTCTCTTAGATATGACACGGGCCTTTTTCTCTCAAATGTAAAATTCAGAATAGTGATACTGACTTCACAGGCTTGTTGGAAGGGTCAAATGGGGTAAGATGTCCAGCTTCGTACAGAGCCTAATACAAGCCAGCAATCAATAAATGCTGTAGAAAGAATTTATTTCTACCTTTGCAAAAAAAATCTCTCCATTCCCCTTCCCCTCCCCCATCCAGCCTTCCCTCTATTCCTTCCTTCCTTCATCTCTGTCCATCTTTCCATTCATCCATTCTTTCACCCACCCATCCATCCATTCATCCATCATCCTTCCACTTATCCATCCATCCATCCGTCCATCCTTCCACCCACCCATCCATGCACCCAACCATCCATCCATCCATCCGTCCACCCATCCATTCGTCCATCCATTCTTCCATCCATTCATTCATCCACTCTTCCATCCATCCATTTTTCCACCCGTTTGTTTATCCATTCACCTATTCATCCATCCATTAATTCTTTGATCTATCCACCCATCCATTCACCCATCCTTCCATTCATTTGTGAAAGGAAAAGAAAAACTTGGGAACCCAATTCACTATGCCAAAAGAAAAAAATTAAGCTGAAAGTTGAGTAACACAAGAAACTGTCTTTTCTTTGATTCCTAAGCAGGTAGCTACAAATAAAAGGTTAAATATCTCCACAGGTAGCTACTCTATGTTTGCCTTATCTTATACAAAGTGCCAATTTACTGAGCAAGGGAGGAATACATAATTGATTATTCCCCACCTGCTCCTTTTCTCTTGCAACATGTGGATTACCATACCCTCCTTCTTTCCCCTCCAGCCCACTTTCCCCTTTAAATATTGAAGCCTTCAAAATTATCTCTGGAGAAAGGAACGGATCTTTCTCCCAGGTACATCATTAACCTTGGCAAAATAACCTTCTAAATTGATTGAGACCTGTCTCAGATACTTTTCAGTTTACATATTTATCCTTCCATTCATCCAAGATTAGTTTGTCAAACGGTGACTGAACCTATAAATTGTTACTGTCTATTAATTACTCGGCACTATGTAAGATTCTGGCAATACTATGACAACAAATAAGTCATATCCCCTGCTCTCAGTTGCTTGCAGGAGAGACACAAGCAGATAATGACAGTGCATAGTAAAGAGGAACAGAGTTGGGTGAACAACAGCATGGGCTTCAGGACCGGGTCCTCTTAGAGAAGGCGATGTGTGAGCTGCATCCCAGAGTGAGGCTGAGCCAGGGCCAGAGGTGGGGCCACTTCACAGCCCAGCTGAGTGACAGCAGAGGAGCAGGCAGCAGCCTGGCCTGGGTGGGAGCAAGGTGAGGCTTGTTGTCGTTGGCACCTAAAGGTGGAGGCAGATGATGGCAAGAGCTGCATGGAGAGGTGGGTGGAAGACAGACCCAAGGGCCTTGGATGGATGCCACACTTAGAAGCCAGGGCTCTGTCTTCTGGGCAGTGCACAGAAGGAGCAGATCTGAGTGGCAGGACCTGGCCGTCCTCGGACGTAGGGTGTGCAAGACAGAAACTGGCACAACCCCCAGGTTCTTACAGAGGATGTTTGAGGGACAGTGGGCCTACCAACAGAGAGAACACCATATGATGAGACGCTGACGTCTGACATGACCCCTGCCCTCAGACAGCTTCCAGTCTTGAAGAGGAGACAGTTGAACAAATGATGGCCACCTGTGTATTCTCAGCCCCCAGCATTGGGATTTGTGTACAGGAGGGGCCCAATCAAAGTCTAGAGAGTAAGTGAACCAGCTCTAATATGTCAAGGTGGAGGTGTTTATTCATTAGGTCAGCAAATACTTATTGGGGGCTTTCCCTGTGCCAAGAATTCTTCCAGGTTCCAGGGAGGTGGTTGAGGAGTGGGGAGGAAACACACAGATATCTAGCTCTGCACAAGGCTGTGTGGGGTTGGCAGCACACATGACAGGAAGAAGGTCAGGAAGGGCTTCCCTGAGGAGGCAGTAAAGGAGCTGGGATGTACTGGGTCAGAGGGGTTTACTGGGCAAAGAGAGGTGGTGAAGGGCAAGGCAAGAGGGGGAGCAGCTTGTGCAAAGGCCCTGTGGTTGAAGCAGGCATGGCCCACTGAGGGACTGAAAGGTCGGGGAGGAAGGCAGTGAGCAGGCTGGAGATCTGCAGGCAAGGAGCTGCCTGGCTGGAGATGAGGCTGGGTAGGCCAGGCCCTCAAAGCCCCTAGCATGCCCTGCCCTACAGGGGTCCCACTCCCAGGACCGCCATCTGGCAGAGGCCCTCTCCACTGCCCATCTCCCTACCCCCGATGGAGTCTTTCTCCAGAGTACTCATCACGATCTTTGATCTTGTGCATTTTACTTGTGTGATTTGTTCTTGGTCATTTTCCCTCCACTATCACTCAAGCTGCGAGGGAGCGAGAGGCGGTCTTTTCTGTTCACTGCTGGGTGCCAAGTGCCAGAGCAGTGCCCAGCTCCCAGGAGGTGCTCTGCAGAGAAGGAGAGACTTCTTGAATGGACACAAGGGAATGGGCGGCCACAGCACTTTCAGAGGCCATGGCAGGGGTATCCCTTGAGCCTGGGAGTTCAAGACCAGCCTGGGCAACATAGAAAGACCCGAACACTATAAAAAAAAAAAAATAGCCAGCATGGTGGTGCATGCCTTTAGTCCCAGCTACTCAGGAGGTTGAGATAGAAGGATCACTTGAGCCCAGGAGGTCAAGGCTACAGATCGTGCCACTGCAGTCCAGTCTGGATGACAGGGTGAGAGCTTGTCTCACACACACACAAAAGGATTTATTTAGGGAACATTCCCATGTGCCAGGTGCTGGGGGATGTTGCCTGTGGCCAAGGCTTTCACCATGGAGGCTGCTGGGCTGGCAGAGCAGGCCCCAAAGGCCAGGCCCACCCAGACATGGCAGAAGGGTTTCCAGCAGGTAGGGGGTGAGCGGAGCCAGGTTCCAGGGAGCCAATTCTGGCAGCAGGAGGAACGAGCTGTGTCGGAAGGAAGGGCCAAGGCCTCGGCGGGGATCAGCCTAGGGCAGGGTCCAGGTCTTGCTTCACTGACCAGAAGCTCTTGGCTGCTGCTGCCCTCAGAACAGCAGAGAACCCCTGGCCCCACACGCCCTGTGTCCCTTCCTGTCCTTTCACTCAGAGCTGGGCATCAGAGCGTGCAGGCCTGCCATCAATTGGCAGGAGCTTCCCCGCAGGGATGCAGTGAGATAAGAAGGAGCTCTGAGAGGCCAGGGCGTCTGCACATGCCCCGTGTCGGGGGCACCAGGCTGGAGTCCAGAGGATGGTGGGAAAGGCCACCCCAAGCAGAGGGGCCAGGAGCAGTGAAGGCCGGAAGTGAGAGGGGCACAGCATGGCTGCGTGCACAGGGCCACACCCAGCTGTCCAGGAGGCAAAACTGGATTCTGCGGACTGAGCTGGGGGACCCAGGGCTTGTGGTCAGTTTGGACAGGGTGGTTCATGACAGCCCTATGTGCCATGTGAAAGAGTTGACTTCATCACGGAACACCAGGACCTCCAAGGATAGCGTACATAGGATTATCAAATTCCTTGGGGTTAAGAACCTGGTGGAGAGGTACTGAGGCCAGACGTGAGAGGTTGGGGCCATCCCAGAGGGAAGTCGGTGGCCGCATGGAGGACAGCAGAGGCTGCCCATTGAGGGATCCCAGAGGGTGAGCAGGCATGAGGCCATCATTTTTGATCAGCAAGCTGGACTCTGGGCCTGTGTGTGTGCGACAGTGTGTGAGCTTCATCAGATGACTCATCACACCTTCTCTGAACTTGCCAGAAGGTGCCCTGCTCCTCCTCCAGCCTGGCCTGGCCTGACGGAGCATGGGGTGGGGTCACCTGCATCCTGCAGCTGTGGGTGGCTGTGTCTGCCTCATTGGCGAAGGCCAGCCTCTGAGCCCTTCTGTTCAGCCCCAGCAGCCGTACACAAAACCCAGATCTGAAAAGAGAAGTCTGCCAGGCTCAGTAGTGTGAATGTGCTCAGCAGCCGTGCCTGGGTGTCCTGGCGGCTTATCATCCTGGCCGATGCCCCACTGTGGCCATGGGCTGTGACCTGCTCCTAAGAGGTCATACAAACCAAGTGTAGACCTTGTCCTGGGTCAACAGGGAAGGAGTCCCTGGGCTGAATTCTAACTTTCGGCCCCCAGACACTCTTGGCTGGTTCTGGGTTTCAGCAAAGCTTGTTGGAAGCCGGCTTATGAGACACACTTTCTTGGCCTCGGACCACACTCCCTGGGCCTCGGGTTGAGAAGTTCCTGGTGACTCAGAAAGTGGAGGGATTAAGTCTCAGGGAGAAGCCGCTGGCTGCCGGGCGGACAGATCTGTGCCTGCAAGTTGCTCTTCAATAACAGGGAGTGGCCCTCATTTGCATTGGCTGCTGGGAACTTCCTGAAGATGGTCCCCAAGCCCCTGGAGGCCAGCACCTGCGAGGATATGCAGCACGAGTGGAGGAGGAGAGGAATGAGGAGGGGAAGGGCGGGGGAGGCTTGCTAGGCAGATGTCAGCACGGGAAGCTCCACGATCAGGGCAGAAACGGCTCGGACCAGGGGGCTCCGGTGGCTTCCTTGGGCCCTCATACCCGGAGTCTGGGCTGGGCGAGCCGGGGGGAGATGCGCCACACCCCTGCGGGGCTGGAAACGGGGAAGGCTGCTCCTTCTGGGTGTGCCTGAGCGGGTGGACTCAGGTACCCCGATAAACCAGTTTGGTTCCCCCATCTTGCCTCCCAGGGGCAGGAACCAAGTCAGGCTACAGCGTGGCACTGCTCACCTTTCCCAATACCTGAGCGCCTACCAGGGCTGGCCCAGTGTGGTGGGAAGCAGACGAAAGCAAGGGCCCAGCATCTCCACCCAACAGCATCCTTCATCCCCCGCACGCCGCATTGCCCCCTGCCCCCTTTGTGCTCCTGGGGAGACTACTAAACTCCTTCACCCCTGGCTGCCGGGGACTGTACCGCCCAGGTGAGCTCCCCTCAGTTAGGGAGCACCCACCGCCTTGTGCCATGCATGCTCTGGGTCACTCGGTCTCCCAGCTCCCAGCACGGTGAGTCTGGCACAGGTACCAACCCCTCTCCTCCCGGGAGAGAAACTGAGGCTCAAAGAGGCTGAGGGATTTGCTCAGGGCCCCTCAGGTGGTATTCAGACTCCAGGCCATCCAGCTCCAAGCGGCTTTGGGGTCTTTTTGTAGATTCTTGGAGGTGGACACTGCAAGGGACCTCCAGCCCCATTGGTCACATTTTCCAAAGAACGTTTTGCAGTAGCTGTTACAGTTGACTCTGGGACAACGTGGGTTGGAACTGCACGAGGAAGGAGTCCCTAGGCTGAATTCTAACTTTTGGCCTCCAGACACTCCTGCGGGTCCACTTACACATAGATTTTCTTCCTGTGCCACCCCCAAAACGGTAAGACCAACCCCTCCTCTTCCTCCCCCTCCGCCTCTTCAACATGAAAATGACGAGAAGAGTGGCCTTGGTGATAATCCACTTCCGCTTAATGAAGGGTAAATGTACTTCCTCTTCCTTATGTTTTTCTTAATACTTTCTTTTCTTCAGCCTACTTTATTGTAAGAACACAGTACATAATACATATTACATACAAAATGTATGGGAATCGACTGTTTATATTATCAGTAAGCTTCTGGTCAACGGTAGGCTATGAGTAAGTAAATTCTGGAAGAGTCCAAAGTTACACATGGGTTTTCAACCGCACAGGAGGTTGGCGGCCCTAAATCTCGTGTTCTTCAAGAGTCACCTGTATATCAAAATGAATGTTTCACAGCCAGAGAGACCCTTTAAGAGATGTTGGATCCAGGGAGATTAAATAGAGCTTTAATATGCTAATGAGCTCAACAAAATATGCAAATGAGCTTAGCAGATCACCAAAAGGCATGGAGCGTTTGCAATGCTTCTCAAATCTATTTGGGGCAAGTAGTCTCTCTGGACCAAGGAGCACATCTCTCTGGACCAAGGAGAAATGTTGAGCTTGTACAATCGTTTTTCTCTACAAATGGGGAAACTGAGGCCCAGAAAAAGGATGAGACTTGCCTAAAGCTAACCTGTGGCAAAGTCAGGACCTGAGCTTCAGCCCAGGTGTGAGGGGTCGGGAACCTGGTGGTAGAGCTGCCTTCCCCATCACCACTCCCTGTGTAGGGAAGGGATTGGTGTCTATTTCTTTTCATTGCCCCAGCCCTGGTGCTTTTTGATAGGTCAGAAATGTCTGTGAAAGCTTGGCTGGGGCACTGTCTGCCCAGGGAAGGGAACGGAGGAGCCAGGGAAGGAGACTGGGCCAGGTGCTGTTCTTGGGAGTTAGCTTTGTGGCTGACCTGCTGTCCACGGCCTGGGGACAGGCAGGATTGTCAGGAAGAGCCCTGAGAGCTTGCCACCTTTGCTTGAGACCTCTTCTGTGGCTCCTGCCTGTCCCGGGGTCCGTGGTCTGTTGATCTTCCCACCTCCTACTGCAGCACAAGTGGTCCCTTCAGGGTGACCCCTTTCCAAAGCCACCTGGTAAACTGCAGGGAGAGGAGAGAGGGCAGGCTGGTTGGGCCTGACACTCCCATGGGGGAAGAGGAGCAGCTGCATCCCTCCTGACCTCATCAGGATGGGCCCGGACTGGCCAAAGGAGGACCACGCTGGCTGGAGATGCATCATCCTCCTGCCCTGTGACTTGGGCACCAAGGATTCAATAGCTGTGTGTTCTGTTCTCAGCCACCATTCACGGTCACACAGCAGCCACCATTGCGCCTAGGGAACACCTGGACTGAAGATGGGACTGAAGATGGCACTGATGCTGGGGCCATTCCTTGAAGCTCGGCTCCTCTGTCAGGGGCAGTAGGGTATGTCTGGTATGAGCACAGACTGGGGATTCAGGCAGATGCAGGCTAACCTCAGGCTGCACAACTTCATCACTTGCAGAAGTTATTTGGCCTCTCTGGGCATCAGTGTTCTCTTTCTTTGTCTTTTTTATTCCATTTATTAAAACTGGCCCAACTATGATGTTAGAAGTCAGTAGTAGTTTCTGGAAAGAGTCAGAAAGAGGCTTTTGGTTGCTGATAATTTTCTTTTTTCTTTTTTCTTTTCTTTTTTTTTTTTTTCTGGAGGTGGAGTCTTGCTCTGTTGCCCAGGCTGGAGTGCAGTGGCGTGATCTTGGCTCACTGCAGCCTCCACCTCCCACGTTCAAGTGATCCTCCTGCCTCAGCCTCCCAAGTAGGTGGAACTACAGGTGTACACTACCACGCCTGGCTAATTTTTGTATTTTTAGTAGACACAGACTTCACCTTATTGGCCAGGCTGGTCTTGAATTCCTCACCTCAGGTGATCCACCCACCTCGGCCTCCCAAAGTGCTGGGATTACAGGTGTGAGCCACTGCACCTGGCCTGGCTGCTGATAATGTTTTAATTCTACTTTCTAGTTCTGGATGCTGTTAAATGGGCACACTTTCTGAGAAATATCAAGATGAAGATTTATAATTTATGCATTTTTCTCTGTGTATGCTATAATTAAATGAAAGATTTACTTTAAGAAGATGGTGACCCTGAAAAATAAGTTATTCCTAATTTGTGCAATGATGATAAAATCACAGAAAAGTAAACATATTTAAAAATAGTGTTTAAAAGCAGAATCTTTTCACACTGGAAGCAGTTTTTCTAATACAATCTCTTTCTTTTTTTTTTTTTTTTTTTTTTGAGATGGAGTCTCACTGTGTCACCCAGGCTGGATTGCAGTGGAGCGATCTTACTCAGCTGACTGCAACCTCCGCCTCCCAGATTCAAGCGATTCTCCTGTCTCAGCTTCCCAAGTAGCTGTATTTTTAGTAGAGATGGGGGTTTTGCCATGTTGGTCAGGCTGGTCTTGAACTCCTGATCTCAGGTGATACACCCGCCTTGGCCTCCCAAACTGCCGGGATTACATGTGTTAGCCATTGCGCCTAGCCGTAATGCAATCTATTTCTATTATGCAAGACTTTTAATAAAAACCATTGCATATATTGATTCCATGGTATAAGAGACATGGGCAGCAGTGTTCTTACCTGTAAAATAGAGGCAATAAAAATCTCTACCTCGTGAGATTAGGCGACAGCATGCATATGTGGTGCTTTCCACAGTGCCTGGTACACAGTAAACACTCAATAAGTAATGCCATTGTCACCGTCATTGCCATCATCAGGCCTCTGCTGGCATTCCTACACAGCTGGTGGGCTGTGTGGGCTCCTGGACTGAACCTGGTTTGGCAGAGAATGAAGCATGGCTCTAGGACTATAACCCTGGAGACTGGATTTCTTCAATCTAATCCCTTCTTGGCGGTTGCCTGGTGATTCTACTCACCTATGGTGGGATGGGCGGGCACGGGGCCCCACCCAAAGAGTAGTGGAGGCTCTTTCTTTCCTGGTCACTCAAACAGTGAAGGGGACAGGACAGCTGGGAGTGGGCTGGGTCCCCAGTTATGGGTAGGGGAATAGGACACCACTTACTGCATAACTCAACAGGCCCTTGTGCTTTATCCTCTTTCTCCCCACTATTGTGGGTGCCTCCATGGCAAGAACCTGCTAGATGGGCCAGACTTCCCAAATCCAAATTCTCTTTTTATTACTATTACTTTATTGAATTAATTAATTTTTTAATACCACCAGGTATTCCAGGGCGGTCTCCCATCCAAGTACTAACCATGTCCGACTCTGCTTAGCTTCTAAGACTAGACAAGATAGGCATGTTCAAGGTGGTGTGGCTGTAGACCCAAGTCTAGATTCTTGTACTGAAAAGCATGTGGGTGCTTATGAGAACGACAGGGCAGATAATGGAAAATCTTCCCAGAAAGCTCTGGACATGTGGTTGCTGCCCAGTGCTAAGCTCTCAGGAAATAATACTATGACTACATTAGTGTGTTATTTTACAGTTTTAAAGCATTTACATTATCCATCAACTCATTTGGTTATCACAACCAACCTATGAAATAGGTATTTGACACCATTTAACAGATGAAGAAACTGAGGTTTAGAGCATGCATGTGGCTTGCCTACTGCTATTCAGTAGCAAAATCAGGTCTCAGTCCAGATCCTCCAACTCCAAGGAGAGTACAACACAGCCATTTTTTAGGAGTGAATGGAAGATATATGAAATATACAGCACTACAATATGTCCACTAGCATTCTTAGATTTAAATTTAATTTTTCAATTGTTGTAATATACATAACATAACACTGACCATTTTAACTACTTCCTTTCTTTTTCTTTTTGAGATGGAGTCTCGATCTGTTGCCCAGGCTAGAGTGCAGTGGTGCAATCTCGGCTCACTGCAACCTCCACCTCCCGGGCTCAAGTGATTCTCCCGCCTCAGCCTCCTGAGTAGTTGGGACTACAGGCACATGTCACCATGCCCAGCTAATTTTTTGTATTTTTAGTAGAGACAGGATTTCACCGTGTTAGCCAGGATGGTCTCAATCTCCTTATCTCGTGATCCACCTGCCTCAGCCTCCCAAAGTGCTGGGATTACAGGCGTGAGCCACTTTACCCGGCCGATTATAACTATTTTTAAGTTTATAGTCTATGGCATTAAGAACATTCACATTATTTTGCAGCCATCACTGCCATCCATCTCCAGAGCTTTCTTATCATCCCAAACTAGAACTCCATATCCATTAAACATTAACTCCCCACTCCCCCTCCTCCTGGCCCTTGGCAATCCCCATTCTACTTCCTGTCTCTATGAATTTGACTACTCTGTGTTCCTCATAGACGGACTCATACGATATTTATTCTTTTGCATCTAGATTATTTCACGTAACGTAATGTCTTCAAGGTTCCTCCGTGTCGTAGCATGGGACAGAATTGCCTTCCTTTGTAAGGCTGAATGATATTCCATTGTATGGATAGATCACATTCTGCTTATCCATTCATCCATCCATGCTCACTAGGGTGACTTCCACTTTTGGCTATTGTGAGTAATACTTCTATGAGCATGGATGTACAAACACCTCCCCAAGTCTCCACTTTCAATTCTTTTGGGTGTGTACCCAGAGAAGCCATTGTTGAATCATATGCCACTTCCATGGTTGCTTTTTTGAAGAACTGCCATATTGGTTTCCTATCCACTATGTCTTTTAAGTTTGTTTGATAAGATACAGTAGTCCACCCTTAACTGTAGCTCCAGTTTCCTTGGTTTTAGTAACCTGTGGTCAACCGTAGTCCAAAAAGATTAAGTAAAAATCTCCGGAAATAAATAGTTCATAAGTTTTAGATGTTGCACCGTTTTGAGTGGCATGATGGAATCTGGGTCATCTTGCTCCGCCCCCTGTGGGGAGTGGATCACTCCTTCCTTCAGAGGACCCCCACTCTCAATGCTAGCCTCCCATTGGTCACTTAGGAGCTATCTCCGTTATCAGATGGGCCGTCGACGTATCTCAGCGTTCATGCTCAAGTCACCCTTATTTGACTTAATGATGGCCCCAAAGGGCAACAGTGGTGATGCTGGCAATTCGGATATGCCAAACAGAAGCCACCAAGTGCTTCCTTTCAGTGAAAAGGTGAAAGTTCTCGATTTCGTAAGGAAACAAAGAAAATCATATGCTGAGGTTTCTAAGAACTACGTAAGAACAAATCTTCTATCTGTGAAATTGTGAAGAGAGAAAAATAAATTTGTGAGTAGTGGATATAGGGTGTGGTACCATCCCCTGTTTCAGGCACCCCTTGGGGTTTTGAAATATATCTCTGATGGATTAGAGGGGACTACTATAAACCAATATCCATATTAAGGGGAAAATCTACTCAAACACTAGGATTAGAAATATTTCATTGTTCTTTTAAAGACGTCTTTTTTGGTCACTTGCCTAGGGCTCAGAGGGCAAGCTCAGGACCACATGTTTTAAAGACTGTCATGGACTCTTGTCCACGCCCTTCTCTTTGTCCATAATGGTCCCCCTACCTGGTCTGCTTAGGAGACTTGGCCCCTCACTGATCCTTGCCGCCATTTCTCAAGGAGCTAGAATGATTCATGTGAAAGAGCTTTGGCAGAAGGGACAGGCTCTGCAGCCAGAAAGTCTCAAGGTTAGTACTGGTTCTTCCCTCTATTGTGTGATGATTGGCAAGTTATCAAACCTCTCTGAACTTCAGTTGAATTAGTGAAATGTGGACAGCAGTACCCATCCACCCAAGACTGCCATGGGGACTAAATGAGATGATATGGGCAGAGGGCTCAGTGTGCCATGTCTATGGCTGAGATTATGATCATCATCCCCTTCCCTGGTCCTCCTGGAAGCACGGGGCTCCTGTCCTGCTGCAGTCACCTCCTGCCTAGCATCGTGGGAGGGCCGGCTCCTTAGCACGCAGGGATTTGGGCTCACTCTGGGCTTGCTGGAGAATGGGGCAGAACAGGGGCCAGCCGGTGGAAGGCTCAAAGAGGCAGCTTTCAGTGCAACAGCAGGAAGAATTGTCCAGAAGCACCGGCCGCTCACTGGCAGAGTAGGTCTCCTCTCCAGAAGTGAGGAGGCATTCCCCATCAGTCTCACAGCTGAGGGCCTCAGATGCTCAGACACCGGAAAGACGGGATTCCTGGATGTCTGTCAGGTGGGGGTTGGATCCAGTGACCTCTGGGGCTCCTCTCAACTCTCATAAGCTGTGGGGATTTCCGTGGAGCTGACGGTCCCTGTAGCCACAGCTGGGGCACTGCCAGTGCATCTTGGCCAAGCCCTGCAGCTGACTCGAGCTTGGTGAGGGGAGCCCTGACTTGGGGTCCTGGTCATCCTCATGGTCATCATCCCCCAGAGATGAAAGCGACTAGGCAGTCCCACAGTCTCAGGGACACAGTGCCATTCCCAGCCTGAGATGTGGCTACTCCATCCTCATACCTTGTCCCCTCTGATGCTGGGGGCTCCAAGGCTGACCAGTCAGTCCAGCTGATGGAGGAAGAACCTGAGAAATCAGACGTGGGAAGGGGTCCTGAGAGAACGTGTACCATCTGCCCACACACAGATGGCACATCCAGGCCAGGACACCTTAGCCAAAGGGCACAACTCACCCTGCCAGGTAGGCCTGGGCCACGTACCATCCTGGAGCCTTCCTGCTGGGGCCAGGATCCCAGCCTCTCCTGTGAGCAGCTCTGGGTGACCCAGTTAGGAAGTCAGCAGGTGTGTGACCTGGCTCATCCAGGTGTTGCTCCGTCTGCACTCCGCAGCCCTGGCCCACTCGCCATGGGGGTCTCCTGGGCTGCCTGCTTCTCAGGCCTTCCTGCACCCCTGGATGAGTGGATAGGTCCCCGTTGTCCAAATGAAAAGTCACTCAGCTGGGTGGATGCTGACCTGGGTTCAAATCCCAACACCACTCACTCGAGGTGCGGCCTTGGGCAAGTTACCCAATCTCTCCAGACCTCAGTGTCTTCATCTTTCAAATGGCACCTGCGAAGCCAGGTTGCAGTGACAATTACAGAAGCTGTGTTAAAGGCCAAGCACATGACACACAAGGCCTCCCTCTGTGGGACGGATAGTCTCTTGCGGAAGGCAGGGGAAGGTTTCTATGGCCCCGTCTTGATTTCTGACCTACTTACTGTCACCGGCTCACCCGAGGAGTGGTGGCCTTGCTCAGTGTTACAGGCTGTACTGCTCACACCCTAGTTTACGTGTTGAGGTCCTAATCCCCAGTATGTCAGGACATACTTGGAAAGAGGGTCTTTATAGAGGCGATTAGGGTCCAATGAGATCATTAGGGCCAGCCTTCATCCAACAGGACTGCTGTCATCATAACAAGAGAAAATGTGGACACACACAGAGACGCCAGGGAACAGGTGCACAGAGGGAGACCACAAGAGGAAGTGGGGAGAAGGCGGATGTCCACAAGCCAAGGAGAGAGGCTTCGGGAGAAACGAGCCCTGCCACGGCCTTGACCTTGGGCTTCCAGCCTCCAGAACTATGAGGAAATAAATGTTTGTTGTTGAACCCACACAGTCCATGGTTCTGTGCAGCAACCCTGGTAAACTAATACTGCACGGAGGCATCTACAAAAGGAGAGCTGCTCGTTTGTCCCAAGAAATGCTCCTCTAAGATCTTAATCTAGGGCCGCTGTGGAGACTTCCACCATCCATCAATCATGAAGTCTCACTTAAAGGCCCCTCCAGGTCTCGCCTGAGGGGTGTCAGGTTCTGGTTGGGAAGGAGGGGTCCTTGGAGGCCTTTCCCAGGCTGCAGAGGCTGGCACCTTCTCTCTGCTTCAGGGGTCTTGAGAGGCTGGAGGCTCCCCGATGTGAGGGCGGGGTACTTCAGGGCTGCCGGGCAGACCGTGGGCATGGCCATGAGTGTCCCCACAAGAACTGTCATGCCAGGAGCTTGGAAGAGTCACTGCCTCCTGCCCGCCAAGGCTGCTGTGGGCAGGTGTCTGCCTTCCCATCCTAGGCTACCTGGGCAGCATTTCCTTTAGAACCAGGAGTGGCCATGGGTGGAACTGCAGATGCCAGGACCATGACGCTCTTCACCAGGCACTCACCCGGCTGCCCTGTGCCTCCACTGACCGGTCACAAGTCCCGCCTCCTGCCAGGCCTGGGATTGGCGGGCCTGGCCATATGCAAAGGTTCTTCCTGCTTCAGCTGTCTTGAAAGAGCGTCCAAGAGAGGCCGTGCCTGCCACGCGTGATGATGATGAAGGGCGGAGCAGCACAGAGGTCAGAGTGGTGGTGGGTTGGGGAGGTCCTGCAGGTGCCAGGTGGCCACAGGTGGGACACCTCCAGGCTCAGTTTCCTGCCAAGGGAAGCCTCAAGCAGGGGAGGCTGTCCCCACCTTCCCTGCCTCCTGTGCAGGCCTCCTGGGCACCCTAAATCTCTGCGGCTCCTCAAGGCCCCCACATCCCTCTCCTCTCCTGAGCCTCCCCAGGATTAGGTAAGGCTGGCAAACTGTGCCCCCTTCCTGTGGTTTTCTCCCACCAGGACGTCCCAAGCTGGAAGACTCCCGCCCCTCTGTGCCACGGCTGGTGGCTTCACCCTTGACCCGGGGGAGATGGCTGGATGTGATCTGCCCAGAGCTTCCCAGAGGCTGGCCAAGAAGGCACAAGGAAAGGACTCCTTCTTCTGGCCTGGTGTGGAGAGCAGAACGTCCTGGAGAGGCGTTTGCCAGGCCAGAGCCAGCTGAAGCTTTTGAAGAAAGGGCCACCTTCCCTCCCTGCGCCAAGGCCTGATCGGACTGGGAGATAAACTGCACTGGCAGCTGTCCTGGCAGAGCTCTGAATCACTGCTGTGCAAACATGACCCTCCTTCACTGCGACTGCCAGCTTTGTTATCTAGAATGCAAACACAATGCAACCATCCTTAGCTCCAGATTAACAACAACAAAAACATCCCTGGAGAAGCCGCTTTCCAAGATGACTGAAAGCCCAGTGTGGATTTTAGCCAAAACAGACAGAGGACCCCCGCTCCTGCCCGGGCTGCCTGCACCCACATTCTGAGATGGGGACAATGCCAGGAGGCGGACAGGGTGGGATGCAAGGTGGAAAAGAGCTGGAATGTGCCAGGGACCTGACTTGCCACCTACGCCAGCTCTTTCTGCCCCTGGCCGCCTGGGCCCCCTCCTGAGGACAGCAAACAGCTTCCTGCTCTCTCGGTCTGGTAGGCAGCAAGGCTGGCACCCTTGTGTGCTCAGGGCCAAGCATGAGTGTGGGCAGCTGGTTAGAGTCCAGGTCAGAGGTGGTCTGGGCCTCCCTTCTGCTGGCCCATGCCTTGAAACTATCTGCAGGATGAAGGCAAGACAAGAAAGGGTGTAGACAGTGAGCACCCTGATGGCCTGCGTGCAGCTCCTTCTTGCCCTGAACCATGGCTGCAGAGGGTGGCACCTTCTGTCTGTTTGATGAGTCTTGGACATAGGTGGATGTGGATATGGGACCATCCTGTGTCCCCTCCAGCCCTATGGTAGCGAACATTGATTAAGCACTTACTATGTGCTGGTCATCCTGCTGTGAGTGCTGCATGTCTGATTCATTTGCTCCTTCCTATAAGTAGGAACTGTTACTGCCCCCATTTGACAGAGGTGGAAACGGAGGCACAGAGAGGAAACTATCGTTCTCAAGGCTATGCAGTGTCGTGACCGCAGTGGGATTTGAACTGAGACTTCTTGACTGCAGAGTTTGCTGTTTGCTGCCTCTCACATTGGCGGTGCTTGCAGTGTGGAAGGAGCGTCACTGGGGCAAGACCAGCCCCTCGCCGCCTCTGCGCATCTTGAACTCTCTGTCTCCATGGGCATCGGGAATTGACTCATTTATTAGTTTATTCATTCACTGGTTTCTTCCTTCAACTCCTATTCTGTGCCATATGCATCGCTCAGCACTGGGGGGTCGGAGGGGACAAAGATGTACAGGGCGCAGACCCCTCTCCGGCAGCTCCAGCCTCTCCAGGCCAGGCCTTCCTCACTCTCCAGCTGAGGACTCCAGGGAGGCCTGTGGTCTGAGTGGAGAGAGAAAGGGGACGGCCTGGTGAAGCAGGGCATGAGAAGGACGGACAAGGCAGTCATCACAGGGAAGGAGCCGGGCCAGGCACGCCTGCAGGGCCCAGAGAGGACGCAGTCATCACAGGGAAGGGGCCGGGCCAGGCACGCCTGCAGGGCCCAGAGAGGACGCAGCTGCAGAAACGCAGGTGGGAGGCAGCCAGGCCGTGGCTGTGGCCTGGAGAGAGAAGCTAAGCCCATGAGGCCCAACGCGGAGGGGCCAAGATCAGCTCTGGGTGATGCGATCCAAGGACGGGGAGAGGCTTAGTCAGGAGGGGAGTTTACCCAGGGCTGGAGGGCACAGGAGAGAATGGAGGATAGATAACGGCTGGTGACTCAGAGCCTATGGTCCAAACCTGCACAGTGCCACTTGGATGTCACCAGAGAAGATCAAGGTTAGGGCTGGGGTTGGGCAGAACTGGAGCAGAAACAACTGAGCAAAGCCGAGGGAGGAAAGGCTGTGATTTCCACGAGCGATACTGCAGGACTTCCTAGGCCGCTGCTGTCCGGGCGGGGCATGCAGGAGACCTAAAGTTCCAGGTGGACAGTGGAGCCCAGGAGGGTGCCTGAGACCCCTGCAAGCGGGTGTAACATAAAGGCCGACTCCAGTGCACACTTTCAGGGCTTCCTCTATGCTGACCACCGTTCCAGGGCCATAAATGAACTCAACAAGCCTGTGAAGTGGATGCTGTTCTTGCCCCACATTTACAGACGAGTGACCTGAAGCACAGAGAGGCTGAGGGAATGGCCAAGGTCCCACAGCTAGGAAATGGCAAAACCGGGTCCCCAGAAACATGTAGGGCTCAGCCTGGGCCTGGAGGTGACGGCAGCGTTTGTCAGTGAGGAGAACCCGGGAAGGAGGTGCAGCTGGAATTCTACCCTCGGCATCTGGGGGACTGCAGGGCTTGTTCTCGCTCTCACGAGTGTCCCTGTGCAAGGCAGTAAGAACACAGGTGCTGACTAGGACGCCACCTGGGCCAGCCTCCTGGCTCAGGGACAGCAGGCACCATCCTGAATGGCACCGTGGTGAGCCGAGGTGCAGGAGGCCTGGCTGTCGTGGGGCTCTGCACCCTGGGGTGCTGCGGCTGCACTCCGCTGCCTACTCTCTCCCCACTGCAGCCAGCCTGGCATGGCTGTCAGGAGCCAGCTCTCCTGGTGGGTCAGTCACCCACTGGGCAGAACTGGGACAGTCTCATTTGTCTCCCATCTTGCTCCTGACTTCTGAAACAAATCTGCAGTTTGCTTTTTTTTTTTTTTTTTTTAAATTACTTCCTGGTCCTGCCTCTGGTCCTGCCCCATCTCCTGCAGTGCAGGGTCACTGGGGCAGTGCAGGGGCTGAGGAGAAAGGGCCCTGGCACGTGTCTACTGGGCCTCGTCCTTGCTAGGGCCCGTCTGAAGCGGGTGACCCCTGACTATGCCAGGTTTCTGGATCACATCCTGCTCCCTCGAGTTCCCAGGTCCTTGTGTCTCCTAAAAATAAAGGTGCCACTCACTGGGCGCTTCCTAGGCACCGAGCACCATGCTGTGGGCTTTAAGGCGCAGCCTCATTTGATCCTTCTAACAATCCCAGGTGGAGAGTGATCCTGCATCCCCATTTTTCTAGATGTGTCCACAGAGGCTCAGAAGGATGAGACTTGCCCTAGACCACGCACCCAGTAAAGGGCCAGGTAAGACCTGAATTTTCCCTCTGGACCCCCAGCCTCCTGATGTCTATTTTCAGCCAGTTTAATTTCAGGCATGGGAAGCCCACCTAAGAGCTTGTTTCGAGTCCATGTTTGTATTAACCATGCCTCACACGCTTTCAGATGATACGAAAGTGAGAGGAGGAACTCGTAAGGTGGATGGCCCAGGATTAAGGCTGAGCAGATTTCAGGAGGAAGGAAAGGAAGGCCAGTCTGAACGAGGTGGTATCCGTGGGGGTGACTGTGAGATCCTGCAGGTGTATTCGAAATCGCCATTGCACAAGGGCAGGATGGGGAAATGGTTACGGGCTTTAGTGGACTGCCAGCCTGATGCCAATCTGTGTACCTGATGCTGATAAAGCCAGTGCACCCATCGGCTATATAAACAGGAGCATCATGACCAACACAGGGGAGGTGGTACATCCCTGACCACCTCACCGATTGCTGTGTTTGAATCCAGATGCCGTATGTTAAGAATAATACTGGCAAACACAAGGCTACCTGGATGAGGGCAGCAAGAGAGGGGGCAGAGGTTAGTTAGGAGGTGGTGGGGGCAGGGTCTATGGGAATGATGTCATATTAAAATAAAAAAAGAGGTGGTGTGGTATGGGTGGTAGTAAACACAGGCATATTTGACTCATTATATATAGCATCTGAAGACTAAAATATGGTAAATAATGAACATATGTTAAATAAATAAAATGACATATATGATTTATGGAAGCTCTAGATAAATGTATGTAGCAGAAATTTAGCTAGCATTTCAGTAAGTATTTGAGTTTTTAAAAAGAATAATGAAAGGTACTAGGATGTCTAGTCCAAATGGAAAGATGTACTTAGTCGCATTATATGAAGCCCAATAAATATGCTCAGGGCCCACACGCTGCTAAGAATCTGGAAGACAGATTTGGAGAGGGGCGGAAGGCAGCTGTAGGCTAGATACAAGAAAGGACTTCCTAATGATGAGTGTGGTCATGTAAGGAATGAAGTGCAGGAGGAGGAGGGGTTCCCTGTTCCTTAGGGGGTGTCTGTGGAAGCTGGAAGAGCTTAGTTGGCATCCAGGGGCTCCCTGCAGTCAGGGAGAGGAGTTTTCTGTGCACTCAGTTGGTGAGTCCATGAGACATAGCTGTGCTGTGTTGATAAGGCATGCTCCAACCAGAAGTGCCGAAAGCTCCAGAGCGCCCTAATCTTGGGTTGAAGTTGGGTTTGCATCATCATCGACTGTTTTCCAAGGGCTTGGCCTGTGGAGGCTCTGATGGGGACTTGAAAGAGTTCGCTTCCCACCTGCTTGCGGCTGACATTCCTCTTCCTGGTTGTCAGTGTTTGTTCTGGCCACGAGCCCCTCTAGAGCTCAGACACCGGGATTGAACTCTGGTACTCACATGTGGCTGTGAGCAGTGGGGAGGCAGGGCCTTGAGGGATACCCTGAAGGCTCCTGTCCATGGGGCTAGGGATGGCAGGAGGGGGATGAGATGTCCCGAGAATCTCTGAGTCCAGCCTGTGAGTGATGCCATGTCTCGCTCTAGCCTTTAGGCTGGGACCACTGGGTGGGAACGCAGGCTGGCAGGAGAGAATTGGAAGAGAACCTGGCAGCCGAAGAGATTAAAGAAAGGCTGACCCAGGTGTGCCTAAGGCTGGGAGCACTGGATGCCTTCAAACAGAGGTGCCGTGGGACATTCTGTGTGTCTGAAAAAGCACTCGCTGTTTGGTAAATCGATTGCAGAATGCAAGATTTGAAAGCAGTGGACCAATCAAGAGAGGGGGGTGGAAATGGTGCTGGCCCTGGGGGTGGTCAGAAGTGGTGAGGTTAGAGAAGGACATTGAGGTGTTGCCAGCAGGACTGAGTGATGAGTTCTGGGTGCCTTAAGGATGGCGCCTTGTGTGTGAGAGACACAGCCTCGTGCAGCCTGTGTGATTGGCAGCTACTGAGATTATGACCAGAAAGCCAGGGAAGACCTCTAATATACCTCACTTAAAAAAAAATTATTATACTTTTTTGGAAAATAATTTCAAAGCAAAATAAATTAAATGAAAAGTTGCAACAATAGTAGAAAGAAACTCTTCCCAGTCCACTTAAAAGAAGTGCCCCACCCTACACACCCCACCGAAGCATCCTTTCACGTGTATCTCCTAAAGCAAGAACATTCATCATCACGACCCATCCGATCCAGACCCTCACCCTGAACATGTCACTACCACCCGGTCCCCAGACCACACTCTGGTTTCCACAGTTCTCCCAATAACCTCATTCATAGCAAAAAGACCCAGACAGGTCACAGGTCACGTGTGAAGACATCCCTTCGCCTCTTTCAGTTTGGAAAGGTTTATCAGTCTTTGCTGGGCTCTTATGGCCTTCGAGTATTTGAAGCTGGCAGGAGGGCTACTTTGAGCCATGGTCCTACTTTGCTGTTTTCTCTTGATTAGATTCGGGCCATGAGTCTTTGTTGGAACCATCACAGGAGAATGCTGGCTGCTCACTGCGTCTGACCAGGCACACGGGATTCTGTGTGTGGCCTTTTACTGACAATGTCCACTTGGATCATTTGACTAAGGAGGCAGCTGTCAGCTTCTTCCCTGTAAGAGTATTCCTTTCTCTTTGTCACTACGAAGGATGTTGTGGGAGAGGTTCTTAGAAAGCATGGAAGTATCCCATTTCTCATCAAGCATCCGCCCACCACTTTCAGCACCCATGGATGGTTCTCCGTGGAATGAAGTATCACTGTGAGGGCAGCCCCAGAGAGCCTGCCCCATGTATTTGCTTAATGAATGAATCTGCACTTCATTGCCCAAGAGGTGGGTGGAGTGACCACAGCTCCTCATGCCACCAGGTCCTTTTCTCATGCAAGCCCTGCACAGGGCCAGGGAGTGGGCAATGCTGCTTCCATGCACCCACCTGACTGCATCCCCCATCTTTGCGTGAGCAAGCTCCAGGACTCCCCCGGCACCTGCAGCAAAGCCAGATCTCCTACCAGGAACAACGTGCAGCCCTTCAGGTCCATGAAGGGTTTTAAGTCAGGGAAGGTGACACATTTGATTTATGTTAAGCAAAACCAAACGAAAACAAAACAAAAGCAAACACCTGTTGTGCAAACAGCTTGGAGTGGTTCAGATTTGCAGTCAGGCAGACCAATGAAGACTCAGTGAGGATGTTTGGGAAGGCTGAGTAGAGACCTTATTTTTAAGCATGTGAGGAGGCCCAATGCCAGGGAAGGGCAGGAAGGGGCCCTGGCTCCTCCAAGGCTGCTGGGGCTGTGGACGGCAGGGGAGTTCTATGTGCACCCACCCCATCCCGCCAGCCTCTGCTGACTCCTGCCCTGGACACGCCATACCTTTGGTTTCCCTTAGCAGCTCTTCTGTGAACTTGACCACCTGGGCCACCTCCACCCATGGGAAGCCTTTGCCCACTGCAAAGATGATGCTCTCGTAGAGGGTGTCCAGCAGGATGCTCCTCCGGGAGTCTCTCTGTTCGTCAAACTCCTCCCAGTTCAGAAGCCTCCGCAGGCGCTCCCGACCTTGTGGTCTCTGCAGGGAATGACATGGGAACTGCAGGGTATGATGTGGGGGTTGCAGGGCATGATATAGGGGCTACGGGGTGTGATATGGGGGCTATAGGGTGTGATATGGGGGCTGTGGGGTGTGATATGGGGGTTGCAGGGCATGATATGGGGGCTACTGGGTGTGATATGGGGGCTGCATGGTGTGATATGGGGGTTGCAGGGCATGATATGGGGGCTACAGGGTGTGCTATGGGGGTTGCAGGATATGATATGGGGGCTACAGGGTGTGATATGGGGGCTGCGGGGTGTGATATGGGGGCTGCAGGGTATGATATGAGGGTTGTGGGGTATGATATGGGGTTGTGGGGCATGATATGAGGGCTACAGGGTGTGATATGGGGGCTGCAGGCTGTGATATGTGGGCTGCAGGGTGTGATGTGTGGTCTGTGGGATGTGATATGGGGGCTGCAGGGTATGATATGGGGGTTGCAGGGTATGACATGATGGTTGTGGGGTATGATATGGGGGTTGCGGGGTATGATATGAAGGTTGTGGGGTATGATATGGGGGTTGCGGGGTATGATGTGAAGGTTGTGGGGTATGATATGGGGGTTGTGGGATATGATATGGGGGTCGGAGGGTATGATATGGGGCTGCAGGGTATGATATCGAGGTTGCAGGGTATGATATGGAGGCTGGAGAGTGTGATATGGGGGTTGCAGGGTATAATATGGGGTTGAGGAGTTGAGAAGCCATCTCTACTGGGTAAGACACTTTTGGGGTCCCCACAGTGGTGCTCCAGAGCCCTGAAGAGTAACTAGGTATGTGGGTACCCCTGGGAAGAGCTGTGCTTTGGTTTCTGGGCAGCACTCCCTCCTCCTGGGACTTGCTCTTCTTCTAGGACTTTCTTTCCTCTGAGAGTTCTCATGCTGGCCACTGCAGCCCAGGTTTTGTGTACCTCCAGCAGGCCTCAGGTTCTGAAATACGATCCCTATCCCCCTGCCTAAAATAAAATTTGACTTTCCTGAGTCTACTCTTAACTGACTGCAGTAGAGGCATTGATCTGACAATGAAATTTATACTACAGTGTAAGTGACTGACCAAGAAGGGGCTTGGTGAGGTAATGCTTTAGCAGAAGGAATGAGTCTTGCTTGGTGAAAATTCAGACACACGGGCAGGCCAAGAGGAAAAGGTAAACTTTTTTCCCTGCCTAGAAGTAAAAACCCATTTTACTTGAGAGTTCAGCTGGCCCTTCTGGAAAGTTCTTATAGGCTCCCAGCAGATGTAGGAGAAGCAAGTGCCACTTAAAGGAAGTGGCAAAAAAATGTTTGGGGTGCAGCAGAGACTCACCCACCACACGCAAGAGTGTTGCTTTCCTGAGGCAAGGGATCCTCTGGCTGGGAGGACCCCAAGGGACCCTGGAGGACCAATGGTGGCCTTAGTGACAGAGGGAGGCCTAGAGTCCTGTCCTCGGCCCCCAGAGACTCCTCTTCCACTGCCACCACTCTTCTGCCTAATCTAGACAGCACCCCCTAGAAAGCAGCAGAGCCTCCCCCAACACACTCCCTGCACACAGTGGCTCGCAGGACCCTCAGGGTCCCAGAGGAGGCAGGCACAGTCCCTCACTTCCCTTCAGGCAGGATCTGCTCCTTCTGGGCCTGCATGTGGCTTGAAAAACAGCCCACAAGGTCCAGGGGCTGGTAAGCCCTGGCCTGAAGTTTGGGCCCCACATCTCGTCACAGCCTCAGAGGTGCTGTGCTGAGCCGGGGTGGCTGCCCCGGGGTCTCCTGAAGAGGCGCTTCCAGTGCCCACCTCCCTATGTGCCCAGGATGAGCCAGTTTCTGTTTAAAAGCCACATTTTCTCTTCCTTCACCTGAAATTGGAAGACTTCTTTCACTCCCTGGGGTGTTAAGAGTGCCATGGCCCCTGCATCTGGTTGCCAGGAGACGGAGCCAGACTGACTCAGAGTTTCCGGAACCCTGGGGGTGGCCAGTGCCAGCTTTGTTAGGTCACGAATGGCTTCTCCCAGGCTTCTCTCCTCCCGGCCCCTCCTGCGATGTGCTGGGCCTGGTCACCTGCACCTGCTCAGGGACAGGAACCCCCCCTTGCATCTCCCTCATAACCTGTTCTCCTTTAGGAAGTGAGCATTCTGAGGCTTCCCATAAACACACACACACACACACACACACACACACTTGCACACACATAGACACATGCACACACGGAGGCACACACATGTACACACACGTGCACACACACATGCATGCGCGCGCACACGCATGCACACATGCTGCCCGTCATCCTCATGTTCTTCTGACTGTAGCCTCATGCCTCCTGCCTGCCGACAGGTCGGGGTGTTTGTCTCCACGGAAAGGACTGCCCGGGCTTGCTGCCTCCACGTCCTCCCTGACTCCTCCTATTAGGGTCTGGCCTCCCCGACCTCCTCCACTGGCCAGTAGCATCCATGGCTCTGTTTCTGGTGTCATGACTTTGCTTTGGGGTAGAGCAAACAGTTCTTCAGGGGTGTCCCCAAGTGCAGTGCCCAAGCCCCTGAAGGCGGCGATTGGGAGGGGTTCGCTCCTTCTCCGGGCCAGCCTTGCTCTTCTCTGTCCTGGAAGTCACTGGCACCCACCGGTTGCCTGGGAGGCAAGTCCTTCCTTCCTCTGCCTCACTGCCCAGAGTCCCAGTGAGGAAAGCCTGGTCCTACTCGCCAGGGTTGGTGGGCAGCTGCCCAGGACCCCTGGCTCCCCAGGTCACCCCATTTCCCCAGGGGGTTGTCTTGGAAGAGGCTCTGGCCATCCTGAACCGTCATCCTCCTTCAGCCACGTGACTGCGTCAAGGACCCGCCCACCTTCCTCCCGTCGTGATGGTGATATTTCAGGGCCCTCACTGCCCTTCCTGGCCACCTAGTCTTCAATGACTTTATCCAACCACGTGACTTCAATGTCCATCCACAGAAAATGACTCACACATTTACGCAGTGGCGGTGTTCACCCCTCTCTGTCTTGGAGTGTGCGACTCACCACACCTCTCCCCAAAGAACGGATACCTGCGGACCTGCGCCGCCTGTGGGGTGTCCAGGGGTCCTCGGGGGCTTCTGAGTGTTTGGGGTGTGTCGCTGGCAGGAGTCCTGATCCGGGGTCAGAAGGGGGTCTCCATGTCCAGGCTCCTCTGGCAGGGGCTGTCCTGAATGCAGTGCTAGGTGTGTCCCCCAGGCTGACACCATGCCTTGGCCCTCAGGTGGAGCCCCTCACTCGAGTCCTTCCCAAGTCTGTGGCCCCGGGACCTCCCCAGGATGCAGCTGGGATGGGGCTCCATACCCCAAGGCTAGAGCCCCTTCTCATCCCGTGTCCTATCCTGCTCCATTTTCTCAGAGTCAGTATTAGTACAGCGCTTTTTGCTGCAATTGTCAGAGACTCAGCCTGACCTTAGGCCAAATGCGAATGTGCTGTCTCACATGACTGAGAAATCTCACGTCTGCTTAAGGTAGGCGGGGGCCAGGTGCTGGCACGGCGCTGTCAGGAACGCCTCCCTGACCCCTGGTTCTGCTTGCCTGTTGTTCATCCATTCTCAGGGTCCTCCCTAAATGCACTTCTAAATCCCCCCACCTGGCCGACTCTTAACTGACACCACCAAACTCAGCCTCTACGAAAATTAGTTCTTCTGGAAAACCCTCCAGATCCCTCTTCAACCCTGGCTGATCAGGTGCCCTCCACTGCTCAAGCCATGCAGTGGCATGATCATGGCTCACTGCAGCCTCCAACTCTTGGCCTCAAGTGATCCTCCTGCCTCAGCCTCCCGAGTGTCTGGGACTACCGGTGAACACCCACCACGCCTGGATAATTATTCTTAATATTTTTTTTGTAGAGATGGGGTCTCACTATGTTGCCCAGGCTGGTCCCAAACTCCTAGCCTCAAGCCATCCCCCTGCCTTGGCCTCCTGAAGCTCTTGGATTACAGGCGTGAGCCACCACACCTGATGGACTGGACCTCATTCTTGACTCCTCACCCTCACTCCTTTCCAGCTGCCTTGAAGCTCTGGGAACTCTGCCTCCTAAACATTTATTGAGCCCATTCTCTTCTCTGAATCCCATTGCTACCCCAAGTAGAGTTCATTCCCATTTCTTGCCACCCCCCCCAACCCCCACACCTACACCATCCATTCTCCACACTGTTGCCAGAGGTAACTAAAAAAATAAATCTAATTATGGACTGGCATTGTCAAGAGCACTTGCTAGGGTGCTGTTGTGTAGCATCGTTTTTCAGGAGGTGGTTACACTGGTGTATATATATGTCTCACTTAAGATCTCTGAATTTTATGTATATTACACCTTCTCCCCTTTCTCTACACACACAAATACATGCGTATATGAAATTAGACTATGTCAATTTCTTGCATCCAAATCTTCCATGGCTGCTCATTCATAAGCCCCAAGGCCTTCATGTGGCTGTCCAGCCTCATGTGACCTTTTCTTCTCCGGCCCACACTGGCCTTGGCTTCACCCACACTCCCTCCAGGACTTTGCCTGCTGCCCTCTCTCCCTGGAATGCTCTTTCTTCCTCTGCTCTTCTAGATAACTCTTTCTGGCTTTTCATGTCTCAAGTTAATCATCCCTTTCTCAAGGAAACCTTTCCTGAGTCCCTGTCACATGCTCTTGTAGCATTAAATGCACCCCCAGTAGCACTTTGCAGGTTGTAATTTTTTCATTTCATGTAGATGATTGTTCTAATGCTGCTTTCTCCTAGATTGTAAGACAAAGAGGGCATTTTGTTTTATTTATGAATGTGTTATTTACCACTGTACATACCTGGCACATAGTAGGCACAACTGTGTGTTGCATGGCTGTGTTCATTTCTATCATGGCTCTTATGACATTGCACCTTGTGTATTGATTGAATGGTGGCTTCCCCCTTTAGCCTGCTGGTCCTGCGAGGGCATGGACAGTGTCTTAGTCACCTCTGGAGCCCTGGTGCCCACTGCAGGCCTGGATGGTGGCTGGGACTCAGTACAAGTTTACTGGTGAATAATCAAAAGAATCACAAAGTGACATTGATGGCAAAAACTGGTTACGGACAGAGCCCACCTATGTTCTTGACTCATTTTGGCCACATCCAATGTTCTCTTGCTAAAGAAACATGGACATTCTCAAATCTCTTCTGAGAGCCATGCAAAAGCCACATGGCATGGCAGGCTTGAGCTTAATGGCATTTGTGGTGTCTTTTCCCATTTATTGTGTGTGGGATGAATATTTGGATCTCAGTTTACCTATCCTAAAGGCCTGTTTGGTAATAAAAATGAAATAAAAGCCTCACAGAGTTACCAAACAGCAGTGAAGAGTGTTTTTCATTAGTAGATAGTTCTATTTCAAGAGCTTCAAATTCATTATGTCTTTTAATCCTTGCAACAGTTCTATAAGATGGATATAATTATTAACATTGCCATTTGATATAAGATGAAATTGAGCATAGATGCATTAAATATCTTGTGCAAAAATCACATAACTTAAGAATTGGCCATGCTATCAACACTGCTGCAGGATTCAGGAGTTTTCCAGGTAGGGCCTGACATTTAGGCTTCTAGTTAGTACAAAAGCAGAGTTTACTTCACCACTTGCTTCAAGCTACAAGAATCACCTCTACAATAGAGTTTTTGACTATTCTTGGTTGCATGCAAGATTTGACCATTATTTTTCCCTTTTTATTCTCTATCATCATTATCATCATCAGTATGGTTTTTATCATCTTCATTGTCATCATCATTGACCCCCTGCTAAGACATGAGCTTGGATGCTGGAAATATAAGAAGGTATATTGGTATGGTCACATTATCTAAAAGTAGTCCATCTGGAAGGGAGCACATAGATCCTTTCGCCGAAGCCCTCGACTTTTCTAGATAACAGAATGAGGTTCAGAGAAGAAAAGAGGGCATCAGTAGTCAGATATCAAGGTCAGGATTGGAACTGAAGCCTCTGATCTGATATTAGTGCTCCTTCATCTGCATCATGTTACCTGCCTGTGATGGTCAGTTGTATGTGTCAGTTTGGCTAGGCTGTAGTACCCGGGAATTTAATTAAACATGAGTCAAGATGTTGCTGTGAAGGTATTTTACAGATGTGGTAAACATCTATAATGAGTTGACTTTAAATTAAGGAAATTGCTCACAGTATTGTGAGTAAGGCTGAAGTCTTGAGGCAGAAATGTTTCCTTTTCAGGAAACCTCAATTTTTGCCAGCCCTTCAACAGATTGGAGGCCTTACAAAAATTGAGGTTTCCTGAAAAACAAATTTCTGCCTCAAAGGAGGCCTTAAAAAATTGAGGTTTCCTGAAAAAGAAACATTTCTGCCTCAAGATTGTTGCATCGACTACTCCCTGATCTTCCAGCCTGGAAGCCTGCCCTACAGATTTTGGACTTGCCAGCTAACGTGATCATATGAGCCAGTTCAATTCCTTAAAATAAATCTCCTAATTATCTGTTATCTATCTATCTACCTACCTATCATTTATCATCTATCTACCTATCCATCATCTATCATCCATCTATATATCTGTTATCTACTCATCATCTATTATCTATCTACAGCCTATCTATCTACCTATCTATCCATCAATTATCTATTATCTATTAATCATCTATCTATCATCTATCTTTCACCTATGTATATCATCTATCTAGCATCTAATATTCAATTAACTATTATCTATCAATTATCCATCTATCTATCAATTATCTATCCCTCAATTAACTACTATCTATCAATCGTCTATCTTTCTACAATCTATCAATCTATCCATCCCACTGGGCTTTCTTCTCTGGAGAACCCTAGTTGATATACTGCCCTAAGTGACTTATATGGCATAAGTAACTTTTTGTTTACAAGTAACATTTTGTTTACAAATACAACATATTTAAATTTAAAGGAAATACATAAAATAATAAAAAAAATCCAAAAAACTATTTCTACCTACTAAGAATGACCAAGGAAAAGGTGAAAGCAGTCTAATAGGACAGTGGACAGATCAGCTGGGAGATGTCAGCTTATGGTATCAAGAGAACCTGAGTTTCTTTAGTGAAGATACAAAGAATGCTTATGTTCTCAAATATTTATTCTCTACTTTTGTCTTCCTAATGGACCCTGATATTTTGTGGAGGAGGGGCAGGTACAGCAATAGGGTCAGCCAAAAGCTATCTTCCTCAGCCTCTATTTTGGCTAGGAGTGGTCCAATGATAAAATTTCTCCCAATATAAGCAGAACTTCTTAGGTGGAACATCAGGAGAGATTTTTAGGAAGAGTATTTCCAGCTGGGACACACAGTTTTGCCTTTTTTTCTCCTTCTCTTCCTACCTAGGACATGGGCACTATGACTGAGGCCTCAGCAAACATTTAGGATCATAAGGGAAAAGACCAATCTAATGAGAGAAGACTTGCCCCTGACACCATGGGACACTGAGCCAATACCAGCAGTTACTATGCCTGGACTTCTCATCAGATGACAAAAACAAACCCTTTCATGTTTAAGCCACCACACTTAAGTCATGGTACTCACAGCTCTAACATCTCCTAACTTATGACTATGGTACCAGGAGTGGGGTGCCATAAGTAAAAGAAGCTAATACTTGACAGGGACTGAATGAAGAAGGTAGGTAAAGAAAAATTAATATATCAAACATTACAGACTAAAAGCTAGTGACCTTGTGATGCATTTGAAAACGTTCTTAAAAACTGTGTCTCCTGCTGTACCTTGGATCATGTACCACACACTAACCAAGGCTGTAGCATTGCAGAATATGGCAGGAAGAATCGAGATTGCTAGCAGTGAAGTTCAGAGACAGAGAAATAAATCTGAACTAGGGTGGGACAGTCTGCAAGCAGAAATAGATGCAAATACAGCCTTTCTTTCTTTCTTTCTTTCTTTCTTTCTCTCTTTCTTTCTCTTTCTCTCTTCTTTCTTTCTACAGGGTCTTGCTCTGTTGTCCAGGCTAGAGTGCAGTAGTGCAATTATGGCTTACTGCAGCCTGAACCTCCTGGGCTCAAGCAATCCTCCTGCCTCAGCCTTCCATGTACCTGGAACCACACAAGAATAACACCAAACCTTGCTGATATTTTTTAATTTTCTGTTTTTTGTAGAGATGAGGTCTCACTTTGTTGCTTAGGCTGGTCTGGAGCTCCTGGGCTCAAGTGATCCTCCCACCTCAGCCTCCCAAAGTGTTGAAATTACAAGCATGAGCTACCACGCCTGGCCAAATACCGCTTTTCTAGAAGACACATCCTCTACCTGTGATCTGTAATCTATATTGAATGAGATCACTGCAATTTTTGTTGTTCATATGTTTATTTAAGATGATTTTTTAAAATTGTGACAAAATAAACATAGCATAAAATGTACCATTTAAACCATTTTACATGTACAGTATTATAGCATTAAATACATTCACATTGTTGTGCAACCATCACCATCACCCATCTTCAGAACTCTTTATTTTCCCAAACTGAAACTCTGTATGCATTGAACACTAACTCCCAGTTCTCTGGCAATCCCCATTTTACTTTCTGTCCGTATGAATTTGACTACACCAGGGACCTCATATAAGTGAGCGCTTGCAGTACTCACACATCATGCAGCATTTGTCCTTTTGTGACTGGCTTATTTCACTTAGTATAATGTCTTCAAGGTTCATCCATGCTGTGGCGTGTGTCAGAATTGTCTACTTTTTAAAGGTTGAATGATATTCCATTGTATGTATTTACCACATTATCCACCTCTCCATCAATGGACACTTGGGTTGCTTCCACCTTTTAGCTATTGTGCATAAGCTGCTATGAACCTAAGTGTACAGACGAGAACACTACAATATGGAGTCCTGCAGGATCGATGCAACCCAAGTGCTTCTATACCCCAAATTAAAGAATTTATAAGTAGTGATTTCAAAATGGCAGCCACAGTGGGATAAACGGCCTATCTCATCAGACAAAGCAATGGTCTCCTGGCAAAGACAGGCTTTAACCTTCTAGCTGGAGCTTATAGGTTTAGAAATTACCTCAAGTTGGTAGCTATATTTTAAGTGCTAGGGAATGGGGGATTGCACAGTGGCTATGTCCAATAAGTAAAAGACAAGTAGCTTCAGCCCTAAAAATTATGCCTGGATAAGATCTTTGGTTCCATGTGTTACTTGCATGAAATCAACTGGAAGCAATTACAACTAAAGTGAACTAAGTTTTGAGAAAACCATTTCACTATAGAAAACCCAACTTGACCTGCAACATCCTTTAACTCTTAAATCTCTGAAACTATTTGAGAACCTCGAAACCCAAATGAATAACAGGTAAGCTTTAAAAGCTGTGCATTTATGAAGAAGGTTATCCTCCCAAACACTCTTCTGAGACAAAGCTAGGCAGACCAAGCTAGCTTAATAATAGACCAAGAGGAACCTTCCAGAGAAAAAGCAATGGAGGACTAATGCTTAAGGGAGATTCACCCGGAAGCTGGAGCAAAATCGGCCAGGTTGGTTTTAACCAAAGAATGTAATCCATTGCCAAGACAGAGATCCCTCATTATTTTTGTTCAAGAGAATTTGATAATTGTCATGGCCCAGTGACTGCTGAGTGTTTCCCATTATTCTCTGTTGTTGTTGTTGTTTTGTTGTGTTTTGTTTTTTTGAAATGGAGTCTGGCTCTGTCACTCAGGCTAGAGTGCAGTGGTGCGATCTCCACTCACTGCAACTTCTGCCTCTCGGGTTTAAGCGATTCTCCTGCCTCAGCCTCCCAAGTAGCTGGGATTACAGGCACCTGCCACAACGCCCATCTAATTTTTGTAGTTTTAGTAGAGATGGGGTTTTTGCCAGGCTGGTTTCAAACTCCTGACCTCACTTGATCCACCTGCCTTGGCCTCCCAAAGTGCTGGGATTACAGGTGTGAGCCACCACGCCTGGCCAGTTCTCTTTTCTTGAAGGAAGTTTTTACTGCAGTTCCCTTCCTTTTCTGCCATTATGTATGGGATGTGCTAGGGGCAAACTCTTCGAGTTTGACTGTTTATAACTTACAAGGACCACATCTAGACTTGATAGAGAGGACAGCCTTCCCAGAGACCCTGTCTATCCCTTAGTGGAAGGGCCAATTGTAGGTGAATATGAAAAAGATGTTTATGGCTGAAGGGTCACTCCAGGGGGTGGATTGTGGCGGACATTGCTTGTGATCTGTCCAGTATTATTCTCTCCTAGTACTTTTACAAGAGAATTCCTATTTTTGGGGGGTGCCAACAGCAATGTACACTGTTAAAAAAAATGACATTTTGGTGCCTCCCTTGCAGATTGGATCAGTCATGTGACATGATCCTTGACAGCTTTTCTGGGCTTTGGGAAGCCCATTTACCCTTTATGCCTTTCTTTCCTCCAGCAGGGAATGTTTATCCATCCAGCAGGGATGATTGCTGGAGCTCTGGCAGTCATGTTGCAAGCACATGAATGGGCATCCCATCCCGGGGTCCCTGGAGAGAGCCAACGCTTGCTGCACCAGTCACTGATTCCTAACTCTTGGACTTTCTGTGATGTATGAGAAGGAAACACCCATATTTGAGTTAAGCTGCTGTCGCTTGCGCTTAGAGTTCCACATAGCTGCACTAGGTGCTATAGGCTTGAATTGCTGAGGCTCAGGTTGGGTCAAATGAGGTTGTGAGGTGGACCAGGCAGCGAGGGGCTGCCGTTCACAGAAGTAAAGTGATTTGCCAGAGCCAGGAAGTGGGGGTGTTGAGGCCTCAGGATGTCTCCTTTTGTCACCCATGTGAGCTGCACCTCCTACTTCCTCTCAGGTCCCTGAGAAAGGGACAGTCAGGCCGTCATCTTGTGAGACTTTTCCAGGACGGGGGGTGGGTGGGAGCATGGGGGTGGGGGCTGGGAAGCTTTCTCATCCACATAAAAGGAACTCCATCAAGGACAAATCATCGTGATGAAACTCGAGTCTACCCCATGGTGGACAGTTTCTCAGAACATCAGTTTGGGCTTGTGAGCTCGCAGCCTGTTAGACAGATCGGCAACCTTCATTTCCCTGGGGAAGTAGCAGCCAGAACATAGGCCTTGCTCCCAGGTTACCATAAGCGCAGGCCCCTGGAGATGGCAAGGGGAAGATAAACCGTCCAGAAAGGCCCTTTTCAAGACACGGTCAACCTAAGCATGCTTCAAAGCAGTCGTTCATTCATTCATTCACTCAACAAATGTTTACTGACCCCTTAACAGTAGCCACACTGCTAAGAGCATGAGCTACAGAGATGGCCTGTGAGGGCTTATATGATGCTGCCGTGACTTCCGGCACCATCTGGCGAGATCTGCTCTGCTGAATCCCCACTGCTGGGCTTTCCATGCCTCGGGCATGCTCCTCCTCACGCATTTGTGCCTTTTTCTTCTGTCCAGAATGCTGGTGCCTGCTTGGCCAGCTCACTTTGGCCAGGCCTTCATCTAATGTCACATCCTCGGATTGCATCCTCTGAGCATGCCTCTGCAACAGCTCCCCCTCCTCTCACCTCCCTACCCAGCTTCATCCTCCTCCCCGGCAGGTTACCCCTTACCTTGGACTGGTTTACTATGTGTCTGTCTTCCCCACTAGGATGTTACTTAGGACAGCAGGGGCCTGGCTTTCTCCCTGTGGGGACCTGTGCCCAGAGCAGTGCCTGGCATGGAGTTGACCCTTCCAATGTATTTGTTGAATGAAAGCACCCAGGTGGGGTGTCCAGAGCTCCCAGGACAGGGGAGGAGTACACCATGTCACCAGCCTGCACCTGGAATGTGAAGACAGAACCCTCAGGGGACTGGGATGGAGGAAAGGCGGGCCCTGACCCAGATGTGACCACTGGCTGCAAAAGGTGACTGCACCGGAGATAGAGCACGACTAACTGGGGATTGAGGGTCTGGCAGAGAGAGAGGAGATGAGCTGCCTGGGGCCAGCTGGGGATCTCTCTGCCCCGAGTCAGGGGAAGCGGGAGGGTGATGGGACCAACCATGAGGTGGGCAAAGAGGTGGGCGGTGGGGGGAGGTTGAGAAGAGCCATCCCTAGCACCACCCTAACTTTAGTGTGGGAAAGTGCAATGTGGAAGTGAGCTTTAGCTCTGGGGCATGCCCCCTGGGGAGAGTCTTTTGTTTTTAATAGTTTCTTTTTAATAGCTTGTTTTAATAGCTTTGGTTTTTAGTTTGTTTTTAATAGCTTCTTTGGTTGTGGAAGGATGGCTGTGGGCGATTCCTGGAGTCAGTGCTGGCTCAGGGCTCTATGTAAGAAGGGGCGAGCCTTCAATATCTGGACAAAAGTAGCTTCTCCAGCCAGGAAGGAGGTAGAGAAGTCACGTGGACAGCCAACACCGTCTGCCACAGTGGCATCGACCTTCTGCCCGGGGATAAGGAAATGTTGGCTGGAAAAGAGATGTGGCAGGACACTAGATGGGTAGGAAAGGTGGAGGATTAGGGCTCTTCGTGAAGAGGTTGGAGGCAAGAGTGAAGTGGGGGCAGTAGGGAGTTCCAGGGGAGATGCCACCAGGACACTCCTTCATGCAAGGAGGGTTGAGCCCGAAGGCTTGGTGTGCAGGGCTGCATACTGGTCACCCTCAAAAGTCCTCCCTTGCAGGCCTGTGAGCTAACCCCTGCTGCCTTTCCTAACCCCAACAGATGATAGATGAGAAATTGGCCGCAGTAAACCAGACTTGGGTCTCACTAGGTGTAAGCATTAACCCCCAAATGCCCTCATGGATCTGCGGAGAGATGCCAAGTTCCCTATCCAGTAAGACGGGGCTGGAGCCTGTTTACCTGAATCTCTGAAAAGAGAGAGACCTCAGTCTGATTTTCACTTTACGAGAGAGCAGAGATGATGTCATTGTGGAGGTGGGGGCAGGGGTGGATCTGCAGAGGTTTGGAAGTGCATCTGTAGAGAACAGGACACCCGTGATTCCAAGAGTGGTCCTGCAGTACTCAGACCCATGTGGAAACTTAATTTCATCAAAGCCTGTCCTCTGTCTGCCTGGGAGGGCTGGCACACTGGCTGGAGGAGTTCCGGTCAAGGCCTCTCCTGGAGGGGAGGCTGTGGCTGGGAGGTCAGAGGCTGGGGAGGGTTGGTCTGAAGCAGCCTTTGGAAAGGAGGGAGCGATCTTGGGAGCCTGAGAGGTGAAAGGAAGAATTGGAGACCCCAGAACTTCAGCCCGTGAGAGCACTGCGTGTTTATTTGGTATCTCCTGTGCCTAGAACAGTGTCAGACACATAACGAAAAACCAGATCCATATTTGTTGAATTAATGAAAGAAAGAAGCCCCTGATGGTAGTAATTTGGCCAGCAACAGCCCTGGGGGTTTACCAGTTTACAACCGGTCGGGCACTTTGGAAATGAGCCCAGGTTCTCGAGTCCTTCCTTATCTGTGGTTCTGTTGAAAGGGGAGAGCTGAGCTGCTGGGGACTGTGGGAGTCGCACAAAAGCTGGGAGGACGGGGCCCTGAGTATGTGAATTCATGGTGTGAAGGGGGAATCAGGTCCTCCCAAACTTACAAGTTGGAGTCCTAACCCCCCGTTCCTCGGAATGTGACTGTATTTGGAGATAGAGTCTTTAACGAAGTAAATAAGGTAAAATCAGGTCGTATGAGAAGGGCCCTAATCCCATAGGACTGATGTCCTTACAGAGAGAGGAGATTAGGAAACAGACACTCACAGGACAGCCATGTGAGTACACAGGGTGAAGACGGCCATCTACAGGCCAGGAGCGGGGTCCCCAGAGAAACCAGCGTTGCCAACACCCTCCACTCGGACTTCCAGACTCCAGAACTGTGAGGAAATATGTTTGTGCAATCTAAGCCCCCGGTCTGTGGTCCTGTGTTATGGAAGCTGAAGCCGACTACAGTGTGGGTGCCAGCCTTGCATCGTTATGAGCCAGGTCGGTGGCTCCCTCTAAAGAAAGGGGAAAGACATGATGGCTCCCAGGGGAGAGAAGTGCTTCTCCAACAACGCCTGGGAAGGAAGAACCTATTTGTTTGGTTTAAAAAGTTTGAACCTATTGTCGGTCAGTACTTAAAAGAATACAATAAAAGGAATTATTAAAAAACGTATTAGACACACAAAATACGAGCCAAGCGTTCTTGCACCTGGATATCACCACAAAGTCAAATCGCTCTAAGTTTCTAAATGCATACCCACCATGTCTGCCCTTACCCCACTTTGTGTAAGTAACAAACTGCCCACAACTCACTGCTGGCTGCAATTCCTTTTGGAAGCACTGCTCTGAGGCCCTACCACTCATTCCAGGATTGCTCTGGCCTTAGAGATCAGACACATGGGGAGCCGTGTCCAGCGGGGAGCACCGAGGGGTCCTGCGAGCCACAACCCCAGTGATGGCGCCCTGTAAAGACCACGCATGCATGGACTGGCTGCCTGCAGCTGAGAGCCTTCTCAACAGTAAGGAGAAAAAACATGAGCATCTTTCCCACCCAGGAGTAAAGAGGCGTGCAGAGGGGAAGGAAAGAGAAGAATCCAGAGGGTAACGAGAAGACAAAACTCCTAATCCAACCACAGCAGCCACCTCAGCCCTGCAGTAAGGACTTGGTAGATTTCCTGCTGAAGTCCATTTGAGCTCATGTGACTGTAGAATGTCGCTTACTGTGGTGTCTGGGTAAAGACAATCATAGAGACAGAACTATAACAGGACACAGAGCAACTTCTTTCAGGGAGATTTGCTATTCCTCTGCAACGAGCAGAGGAACAATCTTAAGAATAGCTCATCTCCTATTATCCTGCCCAAAGGTCCGTGGAGATGGTGACTCAGGGAAGCTGGTGAAGATTTGGAGTAGCAACTGTGAGGGCTGGACCTGACCAGGGGATGAGAGAAACCTTGAAAAGAGCATCAAAGACTGGACCAGGGAATGAGAAAAATATTGAGGAAATGAATCAAAGTCTCAGTTAATGCTGAGACTGTGAATTTGAAGTAACCTAAATCCACAGAAGTGAGCAAATTCTTCCGGAAGCTTCCAGTTGGTGCAGTGGAGGAGAGGAAGGTAGGTCGTTGCGTTGATCTGCAAGAGAGTGTATGAAGTGTGTCCCATGAGAATGGGGCTAGGCAGACAGCCACTGTAGAACCAGGAAGCAGGAGAAGGCATGGGAGCAAAATGGCTGAAAGGCTACCGGGCAGTCCTGTGGTGAAAGCAGGAGAGGAGAGAGCTGTAGGCATAGGAGAGTGTGGCCTGAGACTGAATTCTTTGAGTTTAGGTTTCTAGAGCTGATCACATCTGGGTGATAAAGCCTGGGGAACAGATGGGGAGTGAATTGGTGAGTTGGAGTGTGGATGAAGGGTGTTGAGTTGAGGGGATCTGAGGCCAGGTTGTGGGATGGGTGCCACACAGACATAGGGCCATCAGGGAACAGTGGCATTTCTCAAGTGGACAGGGAGATTCTGCATGGCCAGGTGCCAAACTCCTCATGAACGAGGGAGCGAGTCCATGAGGTCCAAGGACGACAGCAGCAAGGAGCTGCCAATGGTGGTGGAAGCTGACAGTGGGCATGCCCTTTGAAGGAAGGAGGGGCTGTGCCCACGTGTAAGAATGATGGCCCGGCAGCGGCAGCTTGTGGAAAACCAGCCCATCCCTAGGAAGGCCTGCGGTGGCAGAATTCCCTTGAGAACAGCTAAGGAAGTGACGGTCCAGAGGCTGCACTGTCCTGGGCTGTGTCCAGGTGATGTGGAGCCCGCTGTAGTTCTTACTCAGTGCATAAATGCCCCGTGGCTGGGTTTACATACCGGTCCCAGGAACCAGGCCCCAGCAACAAGCTGTGGTTCCTCCTCTCACCTTTTTAGGACCTGCGTTGTCCCCTCCCTCCTGCATCCTCAGTCTCTCCCCATCACCGGCCACTTCCTGCTGCCTGCTCTGGCTACCATCTTGTTTCTTTCCTGCCTTGCACTGGCAAACTTCCCAAACAAAAGGTTTGTCATTCCTGCCTCTATTTCCCCACCACCTTCTCACCTATAGTCTCTCTCTCTTCTGCCCTCTCCTCTCGACTGAACAGCTCTCTTGAAGGCCACCAGGGCTCCCTGCACTGCCAAGAACTGGTGCCATTTCCCTTTTATTCTCCTGGGTGTCTCAGCAGCCATGGCTGGATTACCATTCCTGCACCCTGCGAACACAATTAGCCTGTTTTCACACTGCTTTGCTTGACTCTTCTCTCTCCATTCCCTTTTTGATGCTTCATTCTCTTTCTTATATCTTTAATAAAATCCCTTCTTGGGGCTATGCTGTTCTCTCTACCCAAAGCACAGTGTATTGATGAGATGCATGGAGGCCAATGCCAAACTGCCTAGACCCAAATTCTGGCTCTGCCACATACCAGCCAAATGACCCTGGGAAATTAGTTCTCATTTCCATGACTCGGTTTCCTCATATCGGAAGTGGTATAATAATACCTACCTCCTAGGGTTTTTGAAACTCTAGACAGTGGCTGCTATATGGTAATTATGAAGCCTCTCTCCTTCCGAGCTCTCCCGTGTACCCCTCTAGCTCCAGCTAAGGCACATTTTAAGTCTTTATCAGACCATCCCATGAAATTAATTTCATTTGGAGTGAATTCATGTTCTCATTGCTGACTTTGTTGACTGTCTTTCTGTACATCATATTTGTCATGTGATTTTAAATGTTGGTTTCAGGCTCACCTAGAGTAGCGGGTTTGCTTTTGTTCTGTTTTCTCTCCCTCTCTATCTGCTACCCTCCCTGGGTAGTAGTTTTGTGGTGGCCCTCATGCAGTTTCCTAGTCAGAACCGAATCTCCTAGTGACATTTTTGGAGTTCTT
Source organism: Homo sapiens (assembly GCF_000001405.40). Classification (NCBI taxonomy): domain Eukaryota; kingdom Metazoa; phylum Chordata; class Mammalia; order Primates; family Hominidae; genus Homo; species Homo sapiens. Next base: position 2,689,308 of record NW_018654717.1, read on the forward strand.
CTTCTGCAAATATTTTGGGGGATATTCTAGACCCAGTCACCAGCCATGCGGCTGAATCTTTTTGTTCCCTCTTACTTATTATACCAATGTCTTCTTATAAACCAAATAATTTTTATAAGTTAGAATAAAGGTTATCAAACCCAGCAGTTATCAGCTGAAGTCCTGTTTCTTCATGCAGAGCCCAGAATATGAGTAGCACAAATGTATTTCAGATACTTTGTGTGTATTACACCAATGGCTTCCTATAAACCAGGGTTTCTCAATCTCATCACTGCTGACATTTGGGGCTGGGTAATTCTTTGTCATGGAGAGGGCTGTCCTGTGTATTGCAGGGTATTTAGCAGTGTCCCTGGCCTCTATCCACTGGATGTTAGTAGCACTCCCCCCTCCAGCTGACACAACCAAAAATGTCTTCAACCATTGCCACGTGATCCTTGGGCAACCCCTGCTCCACCAGCAGAGATCTAGTATCATAAAGCCATGCCCCCACACAGGGGTCAGCATTCCCTTTTACAGCTTCTGTGTCTTAAAGGTGTGGAGGAGCCCAGCCAGCCTGTGGTCTCAGTCCTACTCACTGCTTTGTGTTTTTCTTCTAATTTTGGGCAATAGAGATGTTTGCCTTTTGGGGAGTGTAGGGGGAAACCCTAGTTATATCTTTTTATTGTTCCTTTGTTTCATTTGGTCCCTCATGGCTATGAAATCGGAGCAGAGGGTATAAATTCATGCACAGATATTCTGCTTCATCTGGATCAAAATGCCCTCTCCTTTTCATCCTTCAGGAGTGATGTCCTCCTTCCCATCATGATAGTCTTTCTAGCTTTGGAATATTTATAGCACTTACTGTCAATAATAGTCACTTTGCATATTCTGCTTTCAGCCACTTGGAAGGGTTGTCAAAGTCTAGGATTGGTATTTTACTTTAACTGGCTTATCTTTTGTGGCTACAATTTGATGTTGGCTTCTCTGAGGTTTCTTTGCATATTCAGTAGTGGCTAAGAGGGCAGGTGGAACATAGTAGGTATTTGGGAAACATTGAGCCATGAATCTCTTGTTGGTTGGTACAAAGACCTCTGAGGCTCAGGTTCAAAAGTTCTAGCTACCGTCTTGCAGCTTTGAATCATTGAAGTAGGTTTTCTGTAGTACAAAGGCTATTTGACTATGCAACTCACAAAATCAGAGATGTTACACTTGGTCATTCTTCGAGGTAAGGGAGCCCTGGGTGCTGATTGCCTGGGGACAGTTGCGGTTTACTCCTGTCTTCCAGATGAAATTGATAATGTCTTGTTTCACTCCCCAAAGTGCCTTGGTTTAGCTGATAAAATATGCGGTAACCCCACTTTGAGGCCACTAAGTATACTCTCCTTTATAAGTGTGGACATTGAACAAATTATATTTTCCCTTTACTTACAATGTTTCCCCACATTCCCCTGGGGAAAAGAAGCTAGTGAAATGTTTTATTGCAACTCTGTGCTTATTCATGGATTTGGATGAACTGGCATTTACTGAATAGCAATGACTGCTGTACACTTTGCAGGTAGGTGCTCACTACATGTGAACCAAACGTACATCATCTGAAATGCCTTTGCGCTACTCGTATTCTGTGCTCTGCATGAAGCATCTGGACTTTGGCTGATCACTACTGTGTTTGACGATGCTTATGCTAACTTATTAAAATTACCTGGGCAAGCCTATCTTTCACCTACAGTGTGATCTGCACCCCAGAGCCAACATCCACACACATCTGATCACTGGGACTGACCTGCTGTGTCTGTCAGCCAGAAGCAAGGCTTAAGTGATTTCATTTGTGGAACTGATCAGTTCAATGCGGACTACACATACACTAAATCTTCGCCTCTTGATGGCAACACACCCTGAGTCCCCATGACTTCCACAGGCTGCCCTTCCACCTAGTTAATTTCCAGGGAGGAAACTGCCAGGCTGGAGGTCACAGTTTGTCCCCTGCCTCCAGGCAGCCCTGCACTTAAACAAGTGTATTCTAAACAAACAAAAAACAAATTTCCAGCCCTCCGAGAGAGTTGATTTGAACATTCCAGGCTCCTGTGGCTCCCCATAGGCACTGCCAACCTAAAACCAAAATGATCCATTTTGTCTGAAATGAAGAAGGAGGACCCTTCGAGGGGAAGCTGCTGTTCGGCTTTGGTGGAGAAAATGGCTGAGGACGGGTTGACTTCTCAGCTGCTTCTTTCGGGCCTCCACGTGCTGCCTCCTGCCCGATGCAATACCATCATGTTTCCTTCTCTGCTTTCTTCCGGGAGATGGAAAACAGTTCCCCACCTTTCCCCTGGTGTCCCCCACTCAGGACCTGGTGTTCCTGCCCAGTACCACGGTGGGCGGGGCGCTCCCCCAATCCTGCAGGCCTGTCATGGCCCACCCAGACAACTGGAACAGGGTGGGAGCTGCTGGTGCTCAGAGGGCTCCCCTGCAAGCCCCCAGGCTGTGTTTAACAGTCTTGACAAGTGTACCCTTGGGCAGAGGGCCAGGAACAATCCGTGTAACCCCATTAAGCTAATTATCCTCTCTGCAGATGGCCTCCCGCACTAATCCTCTTGGGTTTGCCATAATCCAGCTCCCTCTGGGGAGAGTGGCCAGGGTGGCAGGTCTCTGTGCAAATGGACCATCTGTTGGAGCTCAGGAGGCTGGGCTCCTGCCCAAGGGACTGGGGCCTCAGGCTCTCAGGCCAAGGAGAGTGGCCCCGAGGACTGTCCGGAGGAGGGTGGCCAGCCCTGCTGCCCAGAGGGACTGAGCCAGTGGCAGGGAAGGAGGCGGTGTTCCCCCTGGCCTGACTTTCCTCCAAAGGACGTCCCCCTGAGGCTTAGGGGCTGAGCCATGCCCTTGTGCTCCCTGGAGGACGGTGAGTCAGCAGCTGCCTATGTCCCGCAGGGTCAGCCAGCCACCTGAGGGGCAGAGAGTCTTGGCTCTGGGAAGTCACAGCAAGTGGGGAGGCGTTTCAGCCTGAGAGCCTGGGAGGGATGTCTTGAACAGGATGCTTGCGGTGACGCAGGATCGGTTCTCTTCTGCAAGGCCTGCTGGGCTGTTTGGGAGCAGATCATGTTTAAACACGACACAGTGGAGTTTCAGGTTTCTGCTCGTTGATTTACAGGATGTTAGTATCACAGCCTGTCTGTTTCTCCCACCTGGACCTGGAGGGTGAGCAATGCAGTCGCTGGAGTCAGAGAGGGAGAAATCCCTCCTGAGGATTTCTTGGGGCTCTTGGAGAGGAGGGAGAGGTGGGCAGCTGCCCCTTGATTCCTGCAGGGTGAGGTCAGCTGGGGTGGGAGCAGATTCTGGGGAGGTGTCCAATTTGCTTCTTAGAGGACCGAGACTTCAAGAATCTCTGAAGACCCAGGGCAAATAGAGAGAGTGGTAAGGAAGGGGCATAGAAGGTCCCTATCAATGAGGTCATTGAATTTTCTCTACCCAGCTTCAAGGCTGGCATCCTGGGCCCATTTGTGCAGAAGAGACTGAGGCCCGGACAGATGAAGTCATGGAAGGGCCACAAAATCAAACTGGGGTCTGCTCTCTTTATGGTAATGACATCCCCCCAGCGGCCAATCAAGTGCCAGTCTCCCGTCCCAGTTTTCTGGTGGAGAAAACGAGGCTTAGGGGAGATCAGTGGTTCCAACGGCAAGTGAGCAGAGATCCATGGCCCAGACCTCAGACGAGGTCCAGCGCGGCTGCAGCTAACTGTCCCTGTGCCTCAGATCTGTACTTCCCCATGGGACCATGCCCCACAGCCAGCTCATCCCCCTGCCCCAGGCTCCCTCCCCAGCTGCTGCACAGTGAAGGGAAAAGGAGCAAAGACACTGCCTCAGGGTGGAAGCTTGGAGGAGGTCGCGGGAAGGCACCAGGACTCCTTCCCTGGGGGAGGTGCACAGCCCAGAAATGCATCTCAGACAGTGAGAACACACCTTCAAGATGTGCACTCCACATCGTTCTTTATTTACCCTCTCGGTTATATAAACATCTTCCAGAAATCCTCTTACAAATTATAGTGACCTCAGACAGGCCTGCTGCTCTCTTCTAACAGGAGGGGACGAGGAGAGCTGGTTGCCGTTTTCTGAACCTCTGTGTTTAATGTGTGTGTGTGTGTATGCGTGTGTGGGTGTGCACATGAGTGTGTATGTTTGTACAGGTGTGTGTGCGCACATGTGATGTGGGTGTGGGTGTGTGCACATGAGTGTGCATGTGTATACAGGTGGGTGTGCATGTGACGTGTGTGTGCATGTGATGCATGTGTTAGTTTACGAGTGCACGTGTGTGTGTGTGTGTGTGTGTGTGTGTGTGTGTGTGTTGGAGGGAGACACCTGGTGTTTTGGAGGGATCCCTGGACCTGCAGTCACGAAGTGTAGACTGTGGCTGGCAACATAGTTCTCTGCTCCTCTGCTCCTGGGTTTTGGTCTCTTAGGTGGAAATCAAGGGGTCTGGACTAAACAAGCCTTCGGTTCTTTCCAGCTCGATGGCCTGTGCATGCAGTGTTCAACAGCTTTCTCAGCTCCAAGTTAAATAACCCGTCCCTGTAACCTTTCCCTGTAAAACGCATTTTCCAATCCTTTAATCATCTTGGTTACTTTCCTGTGAACTCCCTCCAAGAGACCTGTGTCATTGAATAAGTATGTCATATAAATTAGTCAGTAAATCAATCTGTCAACAATATCTCTTGAGCAACCACTCTGTGGCTTGCTGGAGGTGCTGGGCTGATACAACCCAGCCACACAGGGACAGAAAGAGTTTTCACCCTGCCTCAGACCCGGAGTTGATTTGTCTAACAGTGGCCTGAGGCACTGGGCACCCACTGGGATGTCATCGATCCCCAAAGACCGAGCCTTCCTCCAACATTAATGTCTGAAAATACTTTAGGTAACATTAGCTAGGCACCTGCTCTGTTCAGAGCTCCACTAGGCACTGTGATAGTTACAAAAGTGAGCATGATGACCTCCAGGAAGGGCAGGTACGCACAGAGGACGGGAGGAGATAGGGAATCAGGGGGGACGTGGGCTCAGAGTGGAGAGCCGGCCAGCCTCAGGCTGCAGATGGAATCTTGGTGTTCAGATGTGGGCTACTTTGAAAGGTTTTTTTTTTTCTTCAATACAGAAGGATCAATTGTAAAATGAAGTAGCCAAAAGCATTGAATTTGGAGGAAACAAGACTTTCGTTCAAAGAGTGATTTCACCACTCACTAGCTACGTGAACCTTGGGCGAGTCATTGAAGCTTTCCAAGCCCCAGATTCTTTAAGATACTGCGGGGCTGGTTATACCCAGCAGGAAGGAATATTAGAGTTAGATGACATCGCATTCGTCAAGTGTCTGGTGCATAGCAGGAGATCTACATGTATAATCTGCTTTCTCTCCACCACTCATGATGGATCAGTTTCTGAGGAGGCCCCCAACCCTTCTGGATGGATATCTATATTGTCAGCCTTACTGTTAGCTGGGGCCCTAAGTTCTATGAGTCCACTCTGTGACGTGTATCATATTACAGTCCCTGCTTCTTGATCCTAAAATCATTTCCTTCAACCCTGAAGGGCAGTCTTTTATTTATAGTGGAGTCATGCGTGGCTTCATGATGGGAATGCATTTTGAGAAGTGTGTTGTTAGACAGCTGTGTCATCATGCGATCATAGAGTATACTTGCACGAAACTAGATGGTGTTGTCTACTACACACTCAGGTCTTATACTGTAGCCTATTGCTCCAAGGTTACAAACCTGTACAGCATGGTACTATACTGAGTACTATAGGCAATTGCAGCACAATGTGAAATATCTGTGTTTCTAAACATGGAAAAGAAACAGTACAGATACAGTATAAAAGATTTTTTTAAATGGCACACCTGTATATGCAGCGCCATGATCATCTCATGGGGCACTGTCATTGATGAGGTCTGTCATTGACAGAAATGCCATTGTGTGCTGCGTGACTGTGTACTGTATGCTTTGGGATTTTACAGTCATGGAGCAACAGCTCTGAGCATAACTTTTTTTTTTTTTTTTTTTTTTTTTAAGACGGAGTCTCGCTCTGTTGCCAGGCTGGAGTGCAGAGGCGTGATCTCGGCTCACTGCAGCCTCCGCCTCCTGAGTTCAAGGGATTCTCCTGCCTCAGCCTCCTGAGTTCGAGGGATTCTCCTGCCTCAGCCTCCTGTAGCTGGGACTACAGGCACGTGACACCACACCCAGCTAATTTTTGTATTTTTAGTAGAGATGGGGTTTCACCATGTTGGCCAGGATGGTCTCAATCTCTTGACCCCGTGATCTGCCCACCTCAGCCTCCCAAAGTGCTGGGATTACAGACGTTAGCCACTGCGCCCGGCCCGAGCATAGCTTTTATTTCTATTTTTTAGTTTAGCATCAATTTGCTGTACTAGAAAGAGCACTTGGTCCTTGACCAAGGCCCCAGATTCACCTGGCAAGGTCATTTCAGACAAATCAGAGAGAGAGCGCTGCAGCACTCCTCAAATGTGTGAGCAGAATCACCTGGAGGTTTTGGTAAAACACAGATTGCTGGGCTCCACCCCCAGGTAATTTGCATTTGTAAGACGTTCCCAGGCCAGGCTCAGACTGCAGGCCCAAGACCTACACTGTGAGAACCTCTGGTATGGGAAGAACAGCCTTGGAGTTTAGTGGAGCTTGGCAGAGTCAGTTGCCCCTTCTGAGCCTGCTTCCTGATTTATCAACCTTTACCTTACAGACTAGATCTCAAGGTAATAATCAGACAAATTATCCCAGAGCACTTTGCAAACCATAAAACACTACAGCTATTAGCAGCTTAGTGTTCCCTTTTAGCTTTCACTTGCTCACTTATCAAACGGGGATAATAATGGCAATTTTAACAAAGATTAAGTAAGATGTTCTACATAAAAACACTTTGCGAAGTGTAAAGAACTACAGAGTCAGCTGAGTGTGGTGGCTCATGCCTGTAATCCCAGCACTTTGGGAGGCCGAGGCAGGTGGATCACCTGAGGTCAGGAGTTCGAGAATAGCCTGGCCAACATGGCAAAACCATGTCTCCACTAAAAATACAAAAAAAAAATTAGCCAGTTGCGGTGGCACACACCTGTAGTTGCAGCTACTCGGGAGGCTGAGGCAGAAGAAGAATCACTTGAACCCTGGGTGGCAGAGGTTAGCAGTGAGCTGAGATCGCACCACTGCACTCCAGCCTGGACGACAGAGCGAGACTCCCTCTCAATTAAAAAAAAAAAAAAAAAGAACTACGGAGTCTTGCTCTTATGACTTCCCTGAGCCTCAGTTTCTGCATCCCGAATGTGACAGGATGGCCAGTGTACCAGCCTTGGTCACGTGACAGCTCATTATCATAGATGTGGATAACGCAAGTTTGCATTTAACACCCTGGCTGATGCCGCTCTGTGTCTTGTTGGCCCCTTTGGTCGAAGCTGTATTTTGGGAGACTATTAGCAGCTAGGATGCTTCTGCCTATGGGAAACAAAATTCCCAGCTAAAAGTGGCTTGAAGAATGTGGGGTTTGTTTTCCTGTCTAGTAAGAAGTCCAGAGGCAGGGAAATTTGGGGTTGATTAACTCACTGGCTTCATGAGTAGAGACTCTGGGATTCTCTTGGCTTTCTCCTCATGATCACGTGGTGGTTGCAGCAGCACCCAGCTTTCCATACACACGTGACAATCCCCAGAAGCAAGAAGAGATGAGTCTCAAATTCGTGTTTCTCTTGGATGAAAACACTTTCTCAGAATCCTCTCATTGGCCAGGGTTGGATCACGTGCCCTACAACCAGGGAAATGGAACTGCATAATTGACTTAGGCCAGCTCATATTCAACTCCTGTGGCTGGGAGAGGCCCAGCAACTGCAGGCCGCCCAAACAGACCTGTGACAGCAAGCAAGAGGTGGGGCAGGGGCGGCTGAAGGGGAGGCAGCCAACAGTATCGGCCGCATCCACTATCTCTTTCCAGGAAGACTCATGGGCTTCAGGGAATTGCTTGCACATCTGTAATCCCGTGTGTTGTCCTGGAGCCGGAAGCACAGCCAGAAAGGGGCCCCAGCAGAATTTCCAGCTAATTCTTTTGTGTTTTTAGTAGAGATGGGGTTTCACCATGTTGTCCAGGCTGGTCTCGTACTCCTGCTCTCAAGTGATCCAGCTGCCTTGGCCTCCCAAAGTGCTGGAATTACAGGCATGAGCCACCGCACCTGGCCAGAAGCTTCTTAAATAGGTATTTGTGAGCCTTCCCAAGAGAACACTGAGCTCTCTGGGAGCCAGGGACAGCAACCCACCATCGAGCAGCCTCCTGTCCTGGCTGGGGCAGGCTGTGGTCTACTGGGTCAGAGTGAGACCACAGCGGGTGGGACTCAGCTAGCCATGGGTATTTCTCAGGCAAAGCCCTTGATCCTGAGGATTCACAAATGAAGGTTGAAGGCTTGCTATCGTGTGCTGTGTTTCCTCCTAAATTGAACATAGTCCTAGTCCCTAGAGTAGGCTCCCGACACATGCCTGAGTGCCTAAGAAACTGTAATGGCCATGAGTACAAGAGTTTGGTCAGCAAGTGGATGAGGAGAATGAAGAAGGACTTGAGAGTAGAATCGGTTTTGCTGGAAGAAAGTTGTGTCTGTGGGTTGTTTGAATCTCACGCTTCCTCCTCTGTGAAAGCTTTGCGAATCCACTGGAGTGGTGAATCCGGGAATTTTCTAAGGAAGGGAAAACCCCTACAAGGCTTTTATTCCACAGAGAAGTCTCCCATCTGGGCTCAGGCATGGCGCTGCAGCTCCGCATGAAAGTAGGGCTGGGAGGCGAGGGCCTACACCCTCACTGCCCTGGCCCCTCCTGCCTGGGCAGTGGATGTCCCTGGCCCTGAAGCGTCCTCGCAGCTCCTGTGAAGCATCATGGGAAAGCCGTGAGGATGAGACCATCAGGGCTTCTCTAGCCATGGTATGTGCAGGATAGAGGAAGATAAATGCTGGGAACGGGGAACGTTATGTCTGATTCCCCTGGGTGTGTGGTGTCTGTCAATCCAAGAGATTTCCCAGCCAAAGCGATTACTGTAAGTTCTCTGTCAGGGTCTTAAGCCCATATAAAAGTCAGAGAATGGCAAGGCCAAATGGATCTCATTGCCTTTCGGTTGGAAGCTCCCATTTTACTGGCAAAGACGTGGGGGTGACTTCGAAGGAGACAGGGAACCTAGGGCCTTGGATAGCACATTCCCAGACCTGCCCCATTGTTCCTCGTGATGTTTATTTTAAAAGCTTGGAAACGCATAACAGATCCGTGCTGGAACACACACTGCAACTACTGGGTTTCAGAGCTGTGGGTCTCAAGCCTACTTGTGTGTCAGACTTGCCTAGGACACTTTATAAACAGAGCAGCTCTAGGGGGACGCTGGGAATCTAAACTGAAAAACAATAGCAGCCATTAGAATAGGTACTATTAAAAAAACAAACAAACAAACAAAAAAACCCAGAAAATTGGCCAGGTGCGGTGGCTCACACCTGTAATCCCAGTACTTTGGGGGGCCGAGGCAGGTGGATGACCTGAGGTCAGGAGTTCGAGACCAGCCTGGCCTATGTAGTGAAATCCCATCTTTACTAAAAATATAAAAAATAGCCAGGCATGGTGGCACATGCCTATAGTCCCAGCTACTCAGGAGGCCAAGGCAGGAGAATCGCTTGAACCCAAGAGGTGGAGGTTGCAGTGAGCCGAGATGGCGCCACTGCACTCCAGCCTGGACAACGGAGTGAGACTCTGTCTAAAAAAAAAAAAGAAAAGAGAGAGAGAGAGAAACCAGAAAATAACAACAAATGCTAGTGAGGATGTGGAGAATCTGGATTCCTTGTGCACCATGGTGGGAATATAAAATGGTGCAGCCGCTGTGGACAGCAGAATGGAGTTTCCTCCAAGAAATTAAATGTACAATTGTCATAGGATCCAGCAATTCCTCTTCTAGGTATATGCCCAGAAGAATTGAAAACAGGGTCTTGAAAAGCTGTTTGTACATCTTGTTCATGGCAGCATTATTCACAATAGCCAAAAGGTAGAAATAATCCATGGATTCATCAATAAGTGAATGGATAAACACAAACACTGGCATATACATGAGGTGGAATATTATTCAGCCCTAAAAAGGAGGGAAATGCTGACTCATGCTGCAACACGTTGAAATGTTGGAGACATGATGCTAAGTGAAATAAGCCAGTCACGAAAGGACAAATACTGCACGATTCTGCTTCTGTAAAGTTCCTAGAGGTGTCAGATTTATAGAGACGGAAAGCAAAATGGTGGCTGTCAGGGGCTGGGGAGAGGAGAAATGAGGATCGAGTGTGCAAAGGGTCCAGGGCTTCAACCCAGGATGATAGAGTTTTGGAGACAGATGGGGGTGATGGTTGCATAACAAGAAATGTGCTTGATGCCACTGGGCTGTACACCTAAAAATGGCTGAGATGGTCAATGTTATGAGTACTTTACCACAATTAAAAAAATAAAAACACAAACAGTAGAGCGACAACCATAGCAGGCTCAGCTGTCACAGATATGTCCCCTGGGAAGGAGGTCAGAGGGCGGACATTCGTTAGGATTTGTACTTGGTTGCCTTGTAACCAGTCTCCGTTATAGGGAGGCCCTGGAGCAGGCTGGACGGGCTAGAAGCTGGGCTGCCGTGGCGCCTCAGTGGAAACGCAGCCACTTTTACAGGGAGTTCTGAAGGCGGGACAGCTCTTTCCTGCTGCCCCAGCCTGGGGCCCGGATGAGGATGCGTGGCCTTTATAGCCCCTCGTGGATCTCTGCTGGTCAGGCACTGCCTTGCCAGGGGTTCCGCCTCGGGCGAGGCTTTCTTCCACTGGAGCGACCCCCAAGGAAGCTGACAACTGAGGGGGGGAGGTTGGCATTTGAGAAAAGTGACTGCAAGTGCCTAAGAGCTGGGGACACACAATAGGCCTTTAATACCCATCTTTGTTTAATCTTCACTGTGATCTTCATAGCCTCTCCGCGGAAAGCAGTATTATCCTTGTTTTGTAAGGAGGGCGTGGAGCAGATAAGTCAGTGGCCTAAAGTCACGTAGCTAGTAGGTGGTTGAGCTGGTTTACAGCTGTCCTCGGTGCTTGTGTGCCACCCGTGGGTGTGGGCAGGAGAGGCCCTTCCTAGGCCCTGGACTTTAGAGGGGCTGGCTCGGTCCCCTCCGTCCACACCACTTCCTAGGGGACAGGGAGTCCAGAGGGCCAAGCGGAAGTGTTATCCTCTGCTCTGTCTGGAGCCCACACTGGGGACCTGGAATTCCCTGGGTGTTTCTAGGGCCTGCGTCACCTTTTCTCTGGCTCCATCCTCTCGTGGGCTCCAATAACGGGCAAAATCCTAAAGACCCATTAGCATTTAGGATGCCTAAACGGCTCCTAAATGAAAGGCGAGGTCTTAGGAGAGCATACAAGGCTCCCAGCGATTCAGAAAACCAGCCCTGGTGTCTGCTTCTGGGTTGAAACTCCAGCTCCCTCCCTAGAGCTGCATGACTCTAGGTAGTTTAAACCTCTGAGCCTCCACGTCCTCCACCATAAAATGGAGATAGAATAGCGTCTTCTTCAGGAGTGTGTGGTGACAAAGTTGGCATGGGGATGCCAGGTCCTCGGCACAGCAGGCTCTCTCGGCAGCCCCGTGGGGGATGCCCTCCTGCAGGTCCTGCAGCACCTTCTGCCCTTCCCAGTGCAGCCTGGTTCTTGCCTGTCCCCCCAGCTTAGACTCTAAGTTTGGAAGTGCAGGGACGGCTTCTATCTTGTTCTCTTGGTGACCAGCGGGAGGCTCAGTCTGCCCGTCCTGAGGGAAGGAATGGAGAGGGCAGGGCTGCCTGCAGGGGGTTGAAGGGATGAGGCTTTCTGTGTAGGGCCCAGACAAGAGGGAAGAGGAGAAAGGCCAGGTGCAGCAAGTGCTCCCAGCCGCCAGGCCATGCTTGTCATGCCATGTGGAGCCTGGTGCAGGGTTCAGAGGTCCCTGGTGGCCAATAGGTGAGCGTGTCCTTCTGCCTGGTCTAATTGACTCTGGGGGGCTGGACTCGCTTGCACTGGTGCCATCACTCGCAGGTGTCCGTTTGCTTGGTTGAGGACCTGAAGGCCCAGGGAAGCCCAATGCTCGCAGCCTCGCGACTCCTTCCCTTCCCAGAGGGCTTTGCTCCTGGCAGGACGTGCCCATGGCAGTGATTCCGCAGCCTGGCTGTGCTTCCGAGTTACCTGGGGTTCTTGCTGACAGACTTCCCATCCTCCCTCCGAGGGCTGGACTCTGCTCTACAAAGTGATATTGGACATCTGTGATGTGGACCAAAGCCCCTGGTGAGTAGGATCTATTTGGTGTTGAAGACTGACGTCTGGACACCACTAATTTAGAAGGGAGTCATTAAAATTAATTTAAATTTTTACCTTTTCCTTATGTGTCCCTCATTCTTTCCAAAATTTGAAGCATTATAGACATTTTTGTTTGTTCATTTGTTTGTTTTTGTTACGGGGTCTCACTCTGTAGCCCAGTCTGGAGTGCAGTGGGGCGATCATAGCTCACTGAAGCCTCAACCTTCTGGGTTCAGGCGATCCTCCTGCCTCAGCCTCCCCAGTAGCTGGGACTACAGGTGTGCACCACCACGCCCAGCTAATGTTTTTATTTTTTGTAGAGATGGGATCTGGCTATGTTGCTTGAACTTGTCTCGAACTCCTGGCCTTAAGTGACCCTCCTGCCTTAGCCCCCCAAAGTTCTGAAATTACAGGCATGAGCCACCATGCCCAATCCTACATTACAGAAACTTAAGAGGTCATTGAGTGGGGTCACTGAAGTTGTGTCAAACAATGTTAAAATAAATGGTCATTAGTGCTAAAAATCAGTCAAACTGGTTGTTACTGTTGTATAAAGTAAATCACGTGACTGAATTTTTCACCGTTATTGGTAATAACAGCCCCTGTACTTGTGCAGAGTTGTAAAATGTGGTTCTCATCCCTGGGTGTACATTAGAGCCCCATAGGAAGCACCAGAAATATATTATAAAGGAGTTAAATAGGCCTCTCTGCAGGGCGAGCCCTGGCTGCGTTCCTGGGGTGGCTGGTGTGAGAGCTGTGGGTGTGGCTTCAGGGCTCCTCCTGGTGCCAGCTTCACAGCATCGTCAGGGAAAGCCTGTGAGAGGGGCAGGGTTTTTGTTCTGGTTTTGTTGATGGAAAAGGACTAAAGAGCTGAGGTCCAGGGAGGTGAATGAATTAGCCAAAACTAGAGAGGGGAAGGACTGGTTCCTGGGTCTCTGTCCAGCGTCACCTTGTGATGGCATCAATTCTCAGCCATCACAATTCTCTGCACAGCTAAGGGCTGGGGGACTTACACCCATGTGGCCTGGTGTGACCCTTCAACAGTCAGGGCCAGGCATGGATAGACCAGCCCAGCCCAGAAGGTCAGCTGGGGCTGCTGTGTCGTGGAAGCCTTCCTGTAGGGTCACAGAATTTCAGCATGGGCAGATTCTCTAGAGACTGCCTTGTCTAGCCTCCCCATTTTTTTTTTTTTTTGAGAAGAAGGTCTGGAGGTGTGATGTGACATCCCTGAGTCCTTACTGCCTAGTGAGACCAGCATGCTGGTCACTCGGCCCCAGTACTGAGTGAGTAACCCTGTGATATCAGTTGCCCTGTCCCCGAACGGAGCTTGGGGCCCAGTTGCTTAAGATGGCAGGGGGCAGAGCTCAAGCTTTCAAAAGAGGTAGAATTGAGCCAGATGCTCTTGGAACCCAACATAGCCTTCTTCACCTCCCAAACCACTCCCGGGCAATACAATCCCTTGTTGACAGGTGCGGGAAGGTTCTACTTCCCCCTTGAGCACCTCCCAACTTCCTTCCACCAACCTGGCCATGTCTACCTGCTTGATAGAGACCACAGCCAATTTTGTTGCCCTGGTCTTGCAGATCAGTTTCTGGTAACACTCTGGTTGCTTCCATTCCCTGAATTTCCATGGCACTATCGACATGTTCCTGGAACTGGATGCTCTGCCCCGCACCACCACCTGCCCAGGTGAGAGGTAGCCAGCGAGGCCCCAGGCAAGGCTGCAGTGTTTTTCCAGCACCCACATTAGGTTTTTGGCAGCACCAGGATCTTCTCTTTCCTGGTGCATGGATTGGCTTTCATCTCCCAGGCAGGAAAGACCACATTCCAGCTTTTCCCAGACTCTTTGCTACTTGGCAAAAGAGCCAGGTGGAAAGACAGCTATTTTTTTTTCTTTTCCAGTACATTACCTTAAATGCTTTTCTCTCCTTTCTGAGAAGCTGAGAGTGTATCTCTTATCTCTGATCCCTGAATCTTGAGGTAATTTATGGCAGATTGGCCATGCCATGGCAGATGTTGTATTAGGAGAGGTCCCAGAAGGGGAAGAACTAACACTGAGACCGACTGTGTACCAGGTACGTCTCAGCCTGCAGTCAGAATCAGAGAGACACCATTCTGATACTAAAACAATTTTTTTTTCTAGGCAAGGTCTCACTCTGTCACCCAGGCTGTAGTGCAGTAGTGTGATCATGGCTCACCACAGCCTCCACCTCCCAGGCTCAAACCTTCCTCCCACCTCAGCCTCCTGAGTAGCTGGGACTACAGGTACATGCCACCACACCCACCTAACTTTTGTGTTTTTTTTGTAGAGACAGCGTCTTGCCATGCTTTCCCAGGCTGGTCTTGAACTCCTGGGATCAAGCAATCCTCCTGCCTTGGCCTCCCAAAGTGCTGGGATTACAGGTGTGAGTCAGCATGCCCTGCCTGAAAAAATTTTTTAACCCAAATCTTTACTGAAACCTTCCTAAGAGGCCTCAAGGAGATAATTCCATAGGAAAACATCCACAGCTATTCTTCACTTGTCTTCTGTCTCCAAAATTTTTCAAAACACTTAAAATCATCTTATGATCTTAGCTGGTACTATGCATTGTTCTCTCCTCTCTTCCTTCTCTTTCAACTTCCTAATCATTATTATTTTTTAAGTTTCTCCAGAGCTTTCTAATGTGAAAAAATCCACACATTCTCTGCTCTTTTGATTGTGCAGACTTACTTATTACCCTTAACCACAACCAAAACCCAGGCCAACAAATTTCCTTTGCTCTGTAAGGAGTGGGACTGGGCATGGGGAAATGAAGCAGAGAGCAATGTGGTGAATTATATGGTATACTAATTAGGATTAGATTTGATTGTATTTAATGGAAAATCAAATATGAGTGGCTTAAACAAGAAATTCAGAGGCAGTCCAGGGCTGCTATGATGTCTCTGTGATCATTGGCATCTGAGTGCCTTTTGTCTTTTGTGTTTAGTACTAGGTTTCACTATGGTAACAAAATGGCATCTGTAGCCCCAACCATCGCATACGCGTTCCAGGCATCTGGAAGAAGCAAGGAGCAAGGGGGGAAGGGTTTTAGCAACCTTTCAAGAGGTTTCCTAGAAGCTCTTCAAAATGACGTCCGGTTAATAATTATTGGCCGTCCTCATCTGGAAAGGAATTTGGGACAGTAGTTTTATTAACTGCATCTATTGCAGTCCCCCAAAATAGGAACTCAGTGAGTAAGAAAAAAAGAAGAGTAGATATGAACAGTCTTTACCATACATCCCTGTCACTCTTTGGACTTTTTAAAAACCTCTTTGAAAAAAACTAAACCTTTCATTTTGAGATAATTAATTATAGATTTATACGCAGGTGTAGGAAATAATACAGAGGGATCACCTGTATAGTCTTCACCCAGTTTCCCCCAGTGGTAACATCTTGTAAAACTATAGTACAATATCACCACCAAGACATTGACCATTGATCCGGTCAAGAGACAGGGCACGTCCATCATCACAGGGGTGCCTCCTGCTGCCTCTTATAGCCACATCCACTTCCCTCCCAGCTTCATTCCTCCTCAACCCTGGCAAATGTTAATCTATTCTCCATTTCTATAATGTTGTCATTTTCAGAATATTTGGGTTCAATTTTTTGTGTGTACCAACAGTTCATTCCTTTTCAATGCTGAATGGTAGCATTCCATGATATGAATGTACCAGTTTGCTTAAGTCTTCATTCTTTGAAGGACATCTGAGTATTTCCAGTGTTTGGCATAAAAGCTGCTATGAATACTTTTTTACAAGTTTTTGTGTGAACTTAAGTTTTCATTTCTCTGGATAAATGTCCAAGATTGCAAGTGCTCAATCACATGGTCCATTTTACATTACGATAACATTGAAAATATGCAAAAAGGTTAAAAGCTCTTTCTTTAACCTATAGGTGCCATCATCTAAAAATAGCACTGTAAAAATTCTGGTGTGTTTTCTCCTCACATCTTTTTAAAATGTGTATTTCGTTTTTGTTCTCATGTTTGTGTGTGCATTTGTGTGGATAGGCAAGGTTATGCTGCTGTGACAAATGATTCCCAAATCTCAGTGGCTTAGTCCAACACATTTATTTCTCATTGATACAAGGTCACTGTCAGTCCAGAGAACCCCCAGGGGTCGCTGTCTTGTAGATGGTGACTCCAGGATCCAAGCTGCTCTAGGATTTGGGCTCTCCTATTCTGACTGCAGCAACATGGTAGTGACACACATGTCATGTCTGTTCACATTTCATTGGCTAGTACTTCTCATATGGCTCCATCTAACTGCGAGGGACAAGAAAACATGCAAAGAACATGGAAGAACATGGCCCATGATGGGATGAGCTGTGGCACTGCATCTGCCATGTAATGTATGAAAAACGTATTTTATTTTATGAGTTAATGTTATTTAGTCAGTTGTGGTGACATATGCCTGTAGTCCCAGCTACTTGGGAGGCTGAGGCGAGAGGATTGCTTGAACTTAAGAGTTTGCAACCTGCCTGTGCAACACGGAAAAACCTCCTCTCTACAAAAAATACAAAAATTAGCCAGGCATGGTGGCGTGCACCTATAGTCCCAGTTATTCAGCAGGCTGAGGTGAGAGGATCGCTTCAGCCTGGGAGGTCAAGGCTGCAGTGAGCTGTGTTTACGCCATTGTACTCCAGCTTGGGCGACAGACCCTGTTTCAAAGGCCCTGTCTCAAAAAAATATATAGCACAATCTTGGAATATTATAGCACAAAATATTACAATACAATCTCTTTCCTACACCTTATAGATGATGATAATAATAATAAAATATTAATAATAATAATAATTATTATTATTTTGAGATGGAGTCTCACTCTGTCACCTAGGCTGGAGTGCAGTGGCGTGATCTTGGGTCACAGCAATCTCCACCTGCTGGGTTCAAGTGATTCTCCTGCTTCAGCCTCCCGAGCAACTGAGATTACAGGCACCCACCACCATGCCCGGCTAATTTTTGTATTTTTAGTAGAGACCACCGTGTTGGCCAGGCTTGTCTTAAACTCTTGGCCTCAAGTGATCTGCCTTCCTCAGCCTCCCAGAGGGCTGGGATTACAGGAATGAGCCATCACGCCTAGCCACAAAGTATTAAAAAACAAAATTAGAATGATTTTCAGCATATAAAATAATCTTGATCTTTTCTTTGAAAAATTCTGTTACCTGCCTGGGAAATTCACTTATGTAAAATGGTTCATTCTCCAACTAAGTGAGGTAGACGAGGCCTGACTGTCAGAAGAGCATCATTGCTAAGACAAAGGAACAAACGAAGCCATTTGGATCATGCAGATTTACCCCTTGTGCCAGTGTAAGGCCATTATCAATCTCACCCTTAAGTCCTCCAGCCTGTTTTCATATTTTCTTTCCCATGATGGGTGTTATCCTGAGATAGCTTTATGTTTTAGTTTTGTTTTTAAAACAAAGTAGAACTAAAAGGCAAACAAACAAAACCCCTGACCATTTAGAACCCTGTAAATACAATAAATAGATTGCATATATCGTATTAAAATGTATTTAATAAATAAATACACCCCATGTAACATTCTACCAACACCATCCCCTGAAAAAAGGGAAATAATGGAGGAACTTTGTCCTTTCTTCTGGAAATACTTTTCATTTCATTTTTGTTGAGTTAAACGGCATTCATCTTTCAAATTTGTCGTGTGGGGATTCCTTGAAATAAAGGTAGTCTATGTACGGTTCGGTCAAACTTTCCCGGAGGTCATGAAACAGAAAGGCTTGCAATAAGATTCTCCAATAATGTGGTTTATTCAACAAATTTAAACTGGCCAGTCACAGTGGCTCACACTTGTAATCCCAGTGCTCTGGGACGCTGAGGCAAGAGGACTGCTCAGGGTCAGGTGTTGAAGACCAGCGTGGGCAACATAATGAGACCCCCATATCTACAAAAAGTTCAAAAATTAGCCGGGTATGGTGGTGCACGCCTGTAGTCCCAGCTACTTAGGAGACTGAGACATAAGGATCGCTTGAGCCCAGGAGTTTGAGGCTGCAGTGAGCTATGATTGTGTCACTGCACTCCAGCCTGAGCAAGACCCTGTCTCTAAATAAATAAATAAATTCAAACAATCAGCAAGAAGCAAAGGAAAAGAGGCAGGACAGGTTAACACACGGAGGATAGAGCCACGCGGGCAGATTCCTCGGTTGTAGGCTGCTCGTTTGTCCTGTGTCTTTCTCTCTCTGATGCATGAGCCTTTCCCACTGTTGACGGGGTTTTGAAGAGCAGAATTGAGGGCAAGCAAAGGTCTCCACAGAGGCAATGCCTGCTCTCTTTTTTTCTTTTCTTTTCTTTTTTTTTTTTGAGACAGTCTCACCCTGTCATCCAGGCTAGAGTGCAGGGTCCGATCTCGGCTCACTGCAACCCCTGCCTCCCAGGTTCAAGTGATTCCCCTGCCTCAGCCTCCCAAGTAGCTGAGATTACAGGCATGCACCACCACGCCCAGCTAATTTTTTATTTTTTAGTAGAGCCTGGGTTTCACTGTGTTGGCCAGGCTGGTCTCGAACTCATGGCCTCAAGTGATCCGCTGGCTTCAACCGCCCAAAGTGCTGGGATTACAGGTGTGAGCCACCATGCCTGGCCGTGCTTGCTTGCTCTATCAGAGAGCAGAGGCAAGAACGTGGGTCCCACTGCCCAGCTGCAGCTTCTTAATGATCCACTGGGCAGCAAATGGGTTTTATCTGTGTCCCTCCGTCTGGAGAGCCCCCTTGTTTGTCCTCAGCCCTAGTCCCAGCTACGTTAACTCTTTCTTTGCAGGAAAAATCAGCTGAGCTATACTTAACTAGAGTGTCCAGTATATATCAAGTAGATCAAGTGACTATAAATGGGGAGGTTTCTTAAATTTTTTATATATTTTATTTTTTTTTAGAGATGGGGTCTCACTGTGTTGCCCAGGCTACATTTGAACTGCCGGACTCAAGCAATCCTCCCACCTCAGCCTCCAGAGTAGCTGGGACTTCAAACAATTGAAGTAGAAATTTGTATCTAATTTCGTGGGATAAAAAATAGTCAAGGGAATTATTGCAATTCTTCCTTTGATTTTTTTTCCCCACATGAAACTGTCTCGAATTCCTCCTTGAGTCCCCAGCATTCAGGGGAAGTTTCTATTTCATGCTTCCGTTTGTACTTTTATCATCAAGGCTACCCAAACTCTTTTACTCGACCAGACCTCGGTGGGAATCACAAGTGCCTGTGGATACATGGAAATACGTTTGAATGTATGTTTCATTTGCATGGGCAAGCATATCGGTATTTTTGGGTTCACGTGTGTAATCGATGTTAAGCCCTACCTGAAACTAACAAAATACTGCATTAAGCCTGACAAAGTGTAAACAAAGCAGGTATTTCCCAGTTGTTCCCACCATGAACTGAGGGCACGCTTCCCAGGATCAGTGGCTGTGCCTCCTGAGCTGCTCTGGTCTCGCAAGCCACCAGCTTCTGGGGTGGGCACCATCGCCTATTCTTGTTGCAAAGGGGACCCAGCCCTGGGGCTGCAGGCAGGAGGGTGGGGCTGTCCCAAGAACTAGCTCCTTATCAGAAGGATACAGAGTCCTGAAAATCCCCCCACCCCTGGAGTTTGTGTTTCCTTTCAGATCTCTGAGCATCTTTTGATCTTGAAGCTGATCCATTTTTCCTCTCTCTCTTCCTACTTCCCCCGTCTCTTTCCCCTCCTGTCTCAACCAACCTAGGGAAATAAACTCCTATGCAGGAGATAAGTTACCACAGATATCAGCTACGTTAACTCTTTCTTTGCAGGAAAACTCAGCTGAGCTATACTTAACTAGAGTGTCCAGCATATATCAAGTAGATCTAGTGACTATAAATGGGGAGTTTTCTTAATTTTTTTATGTATTTTATTGTTTTTGGAGATGGGGTCTCACTCTGTTGCCCAGGCTACATTTGAACTGCTGGGCTCAAGTGATCCTCCCGCCTCAGCCTCCAGAGTAGGTGGGACTTTAGACATATGCCACCGTGGCCGGCTTTTATTTTTTATTGCTATGTTTATTCCTTCATTTAATGCCAAAAAAGGCTTAGAGGAGTTTTCTGGCCCCTACACTGACATCACACACAGGAGGTCCTCATTAAGTCTTTTTGCCTAATTGGCTTAATTGTGGTGCATTTGATAAATACTGGAGGAAATCCTGTGCTCTGCTCTGGGGTGAGAGGACCTTGCCACTCTGCGCATTCCGCGGCCAAGCCTGGGAGGTTGGGGACTGTGAAGGGGACGCCCCTTACTACGTGGGGAGAGGCAGCCTTGCTGTGAGCATTGAGTTTGAGTCCGGGAACCTGACCAGGAAGGCTCAGCTGTCTCCTTGCCTGCTCTATGGCCCTGAGCGAACCTTGCATTCTTTTTCTCTAAATCTCAGCCTGTCTCTCTCCCTCACCAGCCTACTGCAAGGCCCACCTGAGAGAGTGAGTGACGATGCTTTGTACACTGCAGAGTGGCCCCACGTAGAGCCCTGCTGTCAGGGCCTCAGGGCAGGGAAGGTTCTAAGGCTGGGCCAGGCCTGGGAGTTGTGTCAGGGAGCTGTGTGACAGACTGGCCACAGTCCTTGTCACTCCAGTTCCATCCAGGTGACCTGCAGCTTCCCAGGGCATCCGAACCCAGCAGCCCCAGGGATAGCCAGGAGGGAGTCGGTTCTGATCTGCTGCTGGGCAGGGGAGGGGTCAGGCCCGGCTGGGAGTAACCTAATCCCAGCGAAGAGCATGTCTGATTGCTTGACCGCTGCCCTCCTGCAGCTGGATTAGCAGCTGTGGCTTGGGGGAATAGGCTTGTTTATCATGCCCGAGACAAAAGGAGGAAGCTGAGAGCAGTTAAAACAACAGTTCTTCCTGTTGCCCCCACGCCTTTCATCCGAGGAGGCCGTTGTGAAGGAGAGTCCTCTTGGTGGTCAGGCCAGGGCCTGGGTTGCCATTCGAGGGGGAAGGGAAGAAGGCGGGGCCTCAACTGCACAGGCGAGGCTCAGTCAATCCCACTACAGCCCCACAGGGCAGATGCGATGTCTCCATTTTACCGAGGATGGTGACTGGCTCAGAGAGGTTGATTCATTCCTCCAAGGCTTCACAGCTGCCAAAGGCTAGCCCTGGGATGCTGACGGGTCTGGCCGCCTGCAGACCGGCTCCTTTTCCCTTTGCCTCTTGTTGACGCCTTCATGCTGGACAAAGCAAGAGTCACCGGCCCCAGATGCCCCCAGAACCCTTCTTTAAAGCCAAGATATTGGGTGTCCTGGAACTCTTGTTATAGACCCAGAAAGTCTGAGCGATGGCAAGGCCCATAAGCATTGTGGAGTCCAACTGCGTTGCAAATAAGTCATTTGACAGATGAGGGAACTGAAGTCCAGAGAGGTGAAGCAACTCATCCACACCAAAACAGCATTTTAGCATGTTGCAGAAGGCAGGTGGTCAGCAGAGCTGTTGAATGATGGAATCTGTGGCAGAGAGCCAGACTCGCGTCCCCACCCCAGCTCCCTGTGCTCTCGGGCCTGTGCCAGTCTCTTCCATGGGGATGGTTTTGTCCGCGGGTTGGTGCTATAGACTGACCCGGGGGATCTTCCAGTGTCTGCTGGCTCCAGGCATCCCACCTGGTGGCCTTCTGCTGATCCTGAGTCCCCACTCTCAGCGCTCCGTAAGTAACTAATATTTATCTTGGATTAGTTCCAAATCTACTGCAAAGTTGCAAGAATGGTACAAAAGTCTCCCACATCCTCCACTGTCTCCACAAGCACTCGCTGCTCTTACCACTTACTTTCTTGGCCATCAATAGCTCTGTGTCACGAGGGAAGGAAAGAAAAGAGCAGAGAAAATGGAGGCTCTGGGCACTGTGTAGATCAGAGACTCCTCCCTTTCTCAATTCCACGGTCCCCTGGAGAGCAACATAGTACAGAAGTTACCTGGTCTTCTTTCGTGACCATGCCCAGTCTCAGTAGGTATTCCATAGGGATTTGTAGAGTGGAGGAATGGATTGATCTCATACAACCTGAATTGCGTTGGCTACATTCCTTCAGGACACCTGGGAGAGCAGAAAGTGCATGAGGCGTTGGATCTCTGGCGTGCGCTGGGAATAACCCGGCATGGTAGGGTGAAGAAGACCAGGGATTAGCCTGGGGTGGGGGAGCATTTCTGGATGCCCAGAAGGGTCCCCTCTTAGAGAAGGTGATAGAATTATGGGCTGCTGAGGCTAACGGGTCAGTTGGAGGGCAACTGAGCCTCCATTTCCTCCCCCAGTTTCCAGAGGGGAAAGCCAGGTCCCGGGGAGGTAAAGTGACTTCCTCAAGGACATGCCGTGGCCAGTGGCAAGATCAGATGAAGACCGCGTCACCCGAGTCCCCAGCCTCTACCTGTTCCCTCCCCGGTTCCATTGCTCTGTGCGTTTATGAGGATTAGCCCATGTTAATGCGGCAAAGCTCACAAACACTGTCATACATCCCAGGTGGCACTGCAGGGAAAAAGTGACTGAGAAGCCCCAGCACTCTCCTAGGGTTGTGGTGGATGCATTTCTGGGGGAGATGGGCCTCTTATTCCTGGTGAAGAGAGTCTTGGGGAGACTGGAGGGGCAAGGACCCTTGGTGTCCCTTGAGGAGAGGGAGTCCCAGTTGGGGTTGGGTAGACTCACACCAGGTGGAAGAGCCATAATGCCTGCAGGTGGACTTGCTCTACCTGAAGGTGGACAGGGGTCCCCGGGGCTGGTGGGTTCTGTGTGGGGGCTCCTGAAATGCTAGGAATAGCAGCCACTGCAGCAGCTGTCCCTGGGCCTGTGGACTCATTCCTGGGGATGGCTCCTAATCCAGCAGGAGCCTGGGTGATTGGCACTCTTCTGCCAAACCTAGAGCCTTCTGCAGTTCCAGTAGGCAGTGCCTCAACAATGCCAGGAACGCTGGGGGTGGTCCCCGGATGGAAATGGAAACCCATTTCTCTCCACACAGCAACACCAGACCTGATCCTCGCTTTCTGTATGTCGGCTGTTTTGCATTCTTTGTGTTGATCTTCCCCACTTGTCACATCACGGAAAACCGGTCCATATGCCGGGAGGAGCCTCACAGATGCTGATGATGACCATGCGGTTGTCCTGGAGGGTGGGGCTCATCCTAGGGTCCGTGTTGCAGCCTCTTGCAGCTCTGCCCACAAGCATCGGTGCTGCTCCTTCTCGGGTCCTGGGAGAGCGCATATTCAGAACTGTTTGCAGAAGAGGGTGACAGGCACATGGTTCAGTTGATTTAGGAGGTGGATAAGTCGGGTGGTGTCAGAGATGAGCCAGGGCACTCTTTTTTCCTGTGGCAGGTGCTGTGTGGCCTGATAACTGTACCATGTTATGCTCCCATCACTTCTCTTCTTACTCAGACCGCTGTGGTATGGTCCAGCCTGGTCCTCTGAGCTCTATCTGCCTTGTTGTAGGAGCTGAGGCTGCCTCAGGCCTGCAGCTGGGGATCAGGGTGACTTGAGCCTCCTGGTCAGGCCCTCGGGCACCCTTCTCCACAGGCAGAGAGGGAGGATATTGTGTCGGCAGTCCTGAAGCCTGGGTTCCCCTCACGTCGGTCAATCGGTTTTCTCAGCTGAAAAACTTCAGGGAGGCTGAAAAGGGATATAATTCATGCATCCCTCATGGAACTATGTGGAGATTAATTGGACATATACCTTGTATTGTATACCTACAATAATTAGAATATGCCTTGCCATGAAGCAGTGGTTACTGAAGCTCGTGTAGTCTGTACTTAGGTCTGGAGAACGTTCCAGGGCAGCTTCAGTCACGCCCTGGAGGTTTGCTGTCCTCCTGGTGCTCTGGGTGGATGGTGGACTCAAATGATGACCACAGAACAGCAGTTGTTCTGCCTCCTGTGCGGGACGCTGCGCTCCTCTGAGTGGGTTTGCGATTTCCCCGGCCTCCCCTGCGCCTAGCACATAGTAGAGTCATCGAGGGTGTTTGTGGGGCGAAGCATGCTCCAGGTTGCACGGATGGGAGTGGTGTCCTTGCCCGGGGTTTTGTTTGGCTGGAAGCTGATGCAATTTGGGGTTTGGGCTTATTACATCCCTGTCTGCCCCGGTCCCCAGATCTACCCTTTGTCCTTTGAACTAAGGGTCTGGCCTTTCTGGGTTGCCTTGTCAGGCTTCTTGCCCTCTGATTTCGGGTTGGATTTGGTCAATGGGGGCACTAGTGGGAGATCAGAGAGTAGAGGGAGAGAGAGGTCAGCATCTCTGCTTCCCCATCCCTGACCTGGCTGCGGCTTTGTGAGGCCAGCATTCCTGGCTCACGGCCCTGGGGCAGCTGCTGTGCAGCTCTAGCTCCCACTGGCCAGCAGTCTTCCCTCATCCCTCCAGCCACAGATGCGGTCATCGCTGCTGCCGTCTCCTGGGAACGTCGCCGTGCTGTTGGATGCAGAGAATTGGACACTGCCCATGTCTCTTCCATAAACCCCATGGTGCAGACCCTCACTTTCAGAGTGACCCCCAAGGCACTGGTGCTCCTCTGCCCCCAGCAGTGAGTGAGGAAGCACACATCTCATTTTGCAGCCTCCGCCCAAGGAGAGGAGAGTGGACATGGATGGCGCTGAAGGATGGGCTGGGCATCCTTAAAGGGATAGCTCATTCTTGGCTCTGAGTTGTGTCAGAGCCATCAAGGGTCTTCAAAGGCTTCCAACTCCTCATCTTGACCTCGTCCATCCTATATCAAGTCAACCTCAGACTGGGAATGAGGGGACCCCTGTGTTGGATGAATGTTGATCCGTTTACTCATTCAGTCTCTCAACAAATAGTTCCCGAGCACCTACAAGGTGCTGTGCACTGTGCTGCCCACTGGGGAGCCAAAGTCAGCGGCCTCATCCTCACCCTTGGTCTAGCGGGAGAAATAAGGCGTGTAAACACACGGGGATTCTACAGGCCGTGAGTTGGCAGGAGAATGAGAGGAGCGGAGACAAGGAGCTGCAGGCATGCAGGGGGAAAGGAAAAAGTCGGGATGAGATGGGGGTCCCTCCCCAAGACTTTAGGTGGAGATATCTGTATACATCAATAAGTCAGATTGCATAGCTCAGGAG
Organism: Homo sapiens; assembly: GCF_000001405.40. Lineage (NCBI taxonomy): Eukaryota > Metazoa > Chordata > Mammalia > Primates > Hominidae > Homo > Homo sapiens. The sequence goes on from NW_018654717.1 coordinate 2,714,662, forward strand.
CTGATTGTTACCAATGAGTTAAATGAAAACATGTGAAAGGTGCTTTATAACCACCATCTCAGACATGCCGCCTCCATTTCCAGAGGAGAAAAGGCTGAGGAAAAATGTTCTAGAACGTTCTAGATGGTGCCAACTCAACTCTAGGATCACAGAGTATTGCCCAGTTATAGCTAAATCTAAGCAGGGAAAATGGGGGATTTCCCACAGTCGGACATTGGTGCCCCTGGTTGCTTCCCGTTGTTTGTTGGAAGCAGGGCAGGAGTGCAAAACCACACTCCTGCCTTCACCCGAAGCCTCTTCCGGGCCAGGGTTGCCCCATCTTTGTGCTCTTTGCTTCCTCGACAGGACCTGTCCTCTGGTGGCCCCTGAAGGCTCCCTCCCCCACTGCCCACCGTGTGAAGCACGATGACAAAATGACAAAAACATTCTCAAGGAAATGAGCTGCTCTGTTCCTGGGGCCACCGCAAGTGTCAGAGAAAGCAGGTCTGGGAGTGATTCACTCACGTCCATGGCCTGACTCCAAATCCGCCCCGTGCTGGCTTCCCCCTTCCTGTTTTTGAATCCAGACCTTGCCTGGCAGTGTCTTCCCCGCCGTGGAGAGCCCCCCAGGACCCATCGCCCTTGGTCTTCGTCTGTTCAGGGGTGGGCTGCTTCCCTTCGGCCTCCAACCAGCCCTTGTCCACAGGCTCGGGCGGCACTGGCAGAGAGAACCCAGCGCTTGCGGTCTGAGAGCCAGCTCCAGCCTTGCTGTGGTCGTCTCGGAAGTGGAGGAGGGGGGACAGGGACAAACCGTGGAACTTTGCCAAGCCTCGGATGTCTCCTTTGTTCAGTGGGATTTCCCGGCCATCTCTCTAGGTAACTGTAGGAACAGTTGAGATAATGTTTATGTGTATATATAATCCTGCTATACACGGAAAAGAGCTTCACACATGTCATTATGTATTTGAAGAAGTGCTCCCTACCCATAGTGTGTGTGTGCGTGTGTGTGCGCGCATGTGTGTGTGCGTGTGTGCGTGTGTGTGCGTGTGTGTGCATGTGTGTTTGTGTGCATGTGTGTTTGTGTGCATGTGTGTGCGTGTGTGTGCATGTGTGTGTGCGTGTGTGCGTGTGTGTGCATGCATGTTTGTGTGCGTGTGTGTGCATGCGTGTTTGTGTGCGTGTGTGTGCATGTGTGCATGTGTGTACGTGTGTGCGTTTGTGTGTGTGTGTGTGTGTGTTTTTGCAGGTGCTGTTGCCATGACAACATTCTCGCCTGGGCCGTCTAAAATATCCTGCTGGTTGATCTTGGGTGATCACCGCTTTCACAACGTTAGGCCCTGTTCCGAAGTCGACCATGGCTCCCAACTGTGGCAGCCGTAAACAAACCTCCTCCCCACAAACCCGGCAAAGCCATTCCCCCTGAGAGCCAGGCATTCACTCCACTCGAGCAAGACTCTACCTGCAAAGGGGGCTCCCTTAGCCCCACTCTGCTGGTGCACACCTCCCAGCCCCCACAAGCCCAGCTGGGAAGTCTCATCCAATTTCTCCCGCTGCGATGACCAGTCTCTTATGAATCTCTGTTGTAGACTTAACACCACGTGTTGGCAAGCAGTTGTCATTCCATCATGTCCAGTGTTTTGGCTCAGTGGATTTCAACACTGGCTGAGAATCACCTGGAGAGCTTTTTAAAATGAAAAAATTCACTTCTTTGTGCAAGACGTGAATTTAGAGGTCACTTTACTGATGGGAACCTGAGTCCCAGCAATGGAGGGCAATTTGCCTGTGGTTATCTAGGGAGGCAGAGCCCAGGCAGGAGGCTGCCTGCCGGGAGGTGCAAAGCTCCCTTCTCTGACCCCAGCTCCCCTACGGGCTGGGAAACAGAAAGTGAAAGTGAAACCCTCCACTCTGCAGAATTTGTCTTGACATTTTCTTTCAACCTGTCCTTGACAACTCTCAAACTTTACCCCTCTTTCTCTTTTCTCCACTTGAAGGCCCAGGCTGGCTGAGAGTGACATCTCTGCCATCCCTTCCTCCCAGCTCTCTGCGTGTGTAGGAACAGTCCTGGAACTCAGCTCTGCAGTGGGGCAGAGGCAGGACTTGTTAGATGGAGAGGTCAGGTCAACCTCACATGAGGCCAACTCAGTCTGTGCCTTTGCCTCTGCCCATCCTCCTGCCTGGGGTGTGGATGGGGTGGCAGAGAGAAGAAAGGTCAGGGACTGAAGATGGCAAGATGGGGTCTGCTCCCCCCTCCACTGCACTCCCAGCTGGGGGTCAAGGGAGGACCATCTAGGTATAGAGATAGATGCTCTGGGGACAGAGGGCCTTTGCCCAGCTAAGCCCTCTTGACTTGACTACGCCCTCATGACTGAGCTCTGAAGGAGACCCCCTCACCACCCTGACTCCCACTCAGGATGGGGCCTCAGCAAGGCATGTTAAAGGCAAAACAGATTGGAGAAGACTCTGACCTTTGACTCCCTGAGCCACCTTGATGCCTACGTGGTGTGGACAGGGCCATGCGGGAGTAGGGGATAAGTGGTCTTGGTGAGCACAGAGACTTGGGGACAGACCACTAATGCCAGGCAGAATGGGATCTCAGTCAAACTCCAGGGCCCACAGCAGCCTTCCTCTGACTGTGAGGCATCTTGAGGAGGGAATAAGTGGTAAGGACAGCAGGGTAGAAAGACAGGAGGAGCTGGGGACATGGGTGGCACCATGGAGCCCCCATGCCGGCGTGGGAGTGGCCATCTCTAGACTATTTCTATGTGAGAAGAAAATAAACCTCTACCTGGTTTAAGTCATTTATGGGGAGGGTCTCTGTTGCTGACAATAAAATGCAATTGTTGATTGCATTTGGTTGCACAGTAGCCCAAGCTGCCTTGGGACCACACCTGTGGTTTAAAGTTGTTTGCTAAGTTGAGCTGAGATCTGCCTCAGAATCCAAGGAAACCCTGGCCAATCCTAATTCCCAGTTCCACCAGGACCACCCCAAAGAAATCGAGTCCATTCCTCCTCTCCAGCTTCTCCCTATTCCTTCCCATTTACTTTTCGTCTTGATGTTCTTTGCTCCATCTATCTGTGACTATTCATTGGCTCCCAGGCCCCCTTAGTCACCTTCTCACTTTCTCAGGGCCATGGGTAGCCCCAGGCAGGGCCCATGCCCTGCCCATGCACTTTCCAGACCCTTGGCAGCTACCTCCAGCACCAGCAGCTGCTGGATTTGCTTGTTCCTTGGCTGTTTATATGTTTCCTCCATGCACTTGCTCCATGATTGGGCAAGAGAGCTTTCTACCTGTCCTGGGTTTTATTATCATCCTGTTCTGTGCTTACCGTACTTCTCACTCCATTCTCTTTCCTGCTCAGCTGTCTAAGCATTATTTATTCTTCAAACATTTGTCCAGCACTTGTGATGTGCCGAGCACAGGGCCAGAGGTGCACCAGACCCACTTCCTGCCTTCAAGGGAGCTCTGACGAGGCTGCACATCCCGCTTGGTGTTGTAAGCCCTGCAAATCCAGGCCATCTCATTAACCTACTTCCCTTACTGATGAGTGGCCTGGAGACTATTAGCAAGTGTGTGTTTGTGGGGGATGGACAGGAAGATACTCTAGTGCTTGTTTTTGTTTTGTTTTTTGACAGTTTCCAAGGATTCTACTTCCAGTGTCAATATCAGGTTTCTTCCAGTCCATGAGTTGTCATGGATGTGTCCCTCTTTTATTACCAGACAGAACGGGAACTATCATTGGGAAAATTTTCCCAGTGACTACAGTTTGGACAAGAAAGTCTATATTCAGGAACGTGATTTCTTTTCTTCTTTTGAAGTCATACCACCGGGGCTCCATGGCCAGCCCAGAGCTCCACTGTCACTCTCTCTGTTGTTTCTCCTCTCCTTGTTTTTTTCTCATCACCAAGGATTGGATCACAGGTTCTTAGCCTGGGCTTCCTGGATCTCTGGGGCTGGGGGTGGAGGGTGCATCTATGATGAGCTGCAGGAGCCCATGCACTTGTAATTGTGTGTAGTATTTTGTGTTTATGGGAATGTGCTTGTTTTTCAGGAGGGGCATTGGTGTTATTCATGGTTTTCACTATCATTTTGAAAGGGAGGGGGGCTATTACCTAGACAATTTTAAGAATGAACGCCTGTGGTAATTTCTCAAGAGGTCTCTCAGATTGAGGGACAGCACAGCCTCATGTGCTAACTTTTCCTACAAACTCCTAGTGTAACCTCAGTGATCCTGTGGTTTAACCTCTTTGTTTATGGCTCAGACAAGGGAAGCACAGACAATTCAAGTAGGTCACTCAAAGCCATCAGCTTGTTACTGGCAGAGCCTAGTTGGGCTCATGAACCTGGAGACCTCCAGAAGCAGCTGGGTTGCTCATCCATTAAAGAGTGAGGACCTTGGTGCTGTCTGTATTCTTTCCTGGATTATAAATGCCAGGAGGCATGAGCCTGCCTCCCCAAGCTGTGCCTCAGTCTCTGTGTCTAAGTAAAGGTCTGGCACACAGTAGGTGGTCATCGTTTGCTGCTGGATTGCTTTGTGCCTGTTCATCAGAAGTACTAACTACCCTTGTGAAGCCCTCTTTGCCTACTTGCTCTGTTACTCTCCATCTGAATTTACTGCCCAGAACCTGGGGCGCCAGAGAGTTCTGTTGTGTGGAACGCTGTGATGTTTCCCTAAACTCTTACTAGTTTAGGAATTGGCTTAGGGAAGATGTCCTCCTCTTAAGGGGTAATTACCTTCTTAAAGGGTAATTCATCCCACCCCCTCCTTTTAAATATTTTTACTTTTTTTTTATATTTCGTATTGTGATAAAATACACACCAGATAGAATTGGCCGTCTAAACTGTTTGTAAGTGTACAGTCCTGTGCCGTTGGTGTGCGACCACCATCACCACCCATCCCCAGAACTCCCCAGGGTGAAACTCTGCACCTCTGAAACATTAACTCCCCTCTCGTACCTCCTCCCAGCCCTGATGTCCCCCATCCTACTTTCTGTCTCTATAAAATTGACTGCTTTAGGGACCTCATACAAGTGGAATTATACAGCACTTGTCTTTTGTAACCGGCTCATTTCTATTCACTTAATGTCTTCAAGGTTCATCCATGTTGCAGCATGGGCCAGATTTTCCTACCTTTTTAAGGTTGAGTAAGTCTCCTTTGTTTGTCTATATCGCATTTTGTTAATCTGTTCATCCGCGGATGAATGTTTGGGTTGTTTCTACCCTTTGACTACTGTGAATAAAGCTGCAATGAACGTGGGTGTACACGTATCCCTTTGAGCCCTGCTTTCAGTTCTTTTGGGGAGATACCCACAAATGGGATTTCTGGATCATGTGGCAATTCTATGGTTCCATTTTTGAGGACCCGCCATACTGTTTTCTACAGCAGCCACATCATTTGACCTTCCCACCAGCAATGTTCCAACTTCTCCCCATCCATGCCAACACGTGTTTTCTGGTTTTTACAGTAGCCGTTCTAATGGTGTGAGGTGGCATCTCACTGTGGTCTCTCCTTTTTTTTACGAGTCACGTTCACCCACCTGGTAGGCCTGACCTATCAGGTTGGAGCACACTGGCTCCTGCCGCTCTCAGCACCCAGAATCAATCGAAATCACACTTGATGACGTGCTGTGGCTTTCTCGTGGAAATGTGAGCAATTTGTGCTTCGCTTTTTGTCATTCTGTCTTTCCCAAACTTTGATACACACAGATTTGGGGTTTTTTCCATGTGTTAATATACCTGAAATCAGGATGCATCTTTGCAATGAATGGCGTGTCTTTGTCTTCATTTGTCACTGTTTCTTTTTTTCATTCTTCCTTTCTTAAATGGTTTGTAAAATACCAGTGCTCTTATGACCTGTGGCAAGTGCGAGCCACTGGAAGGTGGTGCTGAAAACGGCTGCCTGACCCCATGCAGCCCGTGTGGACCTGTGTGATGGTGGAGAGCGTGCAAAGGACCCAGCTCCCTGCTGCATGCCTGCAGCTCTTGTTCTCTCTGGGGGCTGCATGCCCCACGTGTTTTTCTCTGGGGACATGTGAGCTTCCCATCATGCTCGGCTTCTTTCGGTGATCCGCGTGTGATATTGATCAGCCCTTCAAGGTCTCGCAGCAGCCCTGTCCCTCTCCCTGCTCAGCCCTCTGGGGCCTAGCTTGGGTTCCTGCCACTTGCATTCTCTGCTGCAAAGCCCAGCCTCCCCCATCCTCCCGCTATTCACTCTGTTCCTGAATCCACTGCCCCTGCTGCCTGCGCCCGCTGCCAGCCCCCTACCCAGCCTAGCCCACTTCTGCTCCCAGGGCTGCCAACAAAACTGTTTCCTCCCTGCAGGTCCGCCCTGCCCCTTCCTCCACAGGGGCTGTCAACTCTTGGAGCATTTCCTGTGACTTCTATTTTTTCTCCTTTTGCCCCGTAATCTGTTTTTCCTTGCTCCGTCTACCCCCTCCCACACACAGCTGGAAGGCCTCTGCTTTCCTTCCCTGCTTCCTCCCAAAATCCCCGGCACCGCCCCCTCCTCTTCCATCCCACAATGCTGCCCTCGCTGCCTGCCCCCTACCTGCACTGACTCAGCCTCCCCTGGCTCTGATCGGTACAAGTGGACCCTGGGGTTTGCTGGGGCCTAATCAGCCCCAGGGGTGGATCCCTCGGTCTCTGTGCTCACTGAGACCACCCACCACAGCTCCCCGCTTCCTGCCAGGCCCTCTGCTCCTGCGTGGTCCTGTCCACAGCCGGGGGCACCTGGATGGTTCAGAAGCAAAATGTTGGAGCCTCCTCCAATGCATTCTACCTGCCCGCACCTGATGAGGCCCTGCCCTGTGTGGGAGGTGGGTTGGGGGGCGCCTTTATCGCTCAGTCATGAGGCTTGGCTGGGCAGAAGCCCTCCGCCTATGGAGCATCTCACACCTCATCTAGATGCTTCCCCTCCCACACCCCACCCCCACCCCATGGGCTCCCCACTTGACCCCCAGCTGGGCACAGAGTGGAGAGCAGGGACCACACCCCACACGCACCCTCCAGCCTGGCCCCCTCTTCCCTGTGTCTTTCCTCCCAGCATTTCCTCGCATCCCGAAGGCCCAGGTTCCTGGACTCACGCCCCAGGTGAGTGGTACTGGAGGAAGAGCCTTCTCCCTCCTGGGAGCTTCTGTGACCCTGTAGGTGGCCTGATTCCTGAGATGGTGGAGAGTTGCTTGGTGCAGGTAGGGTGTTCTCTCTCTGGGCGCGGCCTGGTGCCCACCCAGCATGTTTTGTTAAGAGGTCAGGTCTTCCCCTGCTCCTGATTGGAGGAGAAACCTCATGATTTTGAAAGGAGGAAACCAGCAAGGGGAAAAGTGACTGATACGCGATTTTGCGTATCAGCTGATTGTTCACCCTCAGTCCGGCTTCTGAAGGCCGGTCTGGAATGTAGGAATGCAGTGATTGTCCCCTGTCATCCACTGGACAAAGTGGGGGATCTGACAGGAGCCTCGGCTCCCAACCCCACCCAGGCTTCTTCCTAATTCAGAAACCCAGCTTCAGAGTCACTGAAGGTGAGGTGCTTGCTGTTGTCACTCTCTGGGGCCCACATCTCAGTGGGGCTCTTCCTGTTCTACAAGACAGAAACCCCAACTCAAACCCACTCAGCCAAGGAGAGAATTGTCGGCTCGTGGAACTGAAAAGCCCAGTTTTCCAGGCCGGGTTTTGAACACCCCGACGCAGGGATGGCAGATGTCCCGCAGCCAGAATGGCTTTGCTCCACCCTGACTCTATGGCAGCTGATCCCAGCTTGCAAGAAGCCTCCGACCTTCTCCTCCCGGCCTTCCACCCCAGCTTGCAAAAAGCCTCCAACCTTCTCCTCCCAGCCTTCCAACACCACCCAGCTGGTCAGAGAAGACGCCAGGGCCATATCTATTTGCTGTGGTCCTAATTTCTTCCTAGAGCCAGAGAGGCTAATCCCTAAGTTGTTTTTAGGCTTCAGCTCAGGAGTCTCTGCATCACCTCCTCCAGGAGGCCTTCCTTGACCTGCAATGCCATTCCTTTTACTCTGCATTCAGTCACACCCAGTGTATATTGTGGTGTATGTGTGAGTGTGTGTGTATGTACACACATACACATCAGAACATTTGTTATTGTGTGTAGGAGCGTGTCTGTTTGTCACATTGGAATGTGAAGTTTCTGAAGATCGGTGCCATGTCCTACTAATGGTTGCATCCCAGGATGCCACCCAGAGCCTGATGCAATAGATGCTCAGAAATCTTTGTTGGCTACATGAGAGAGGGAGTGATGAGTGACAGAATGTGTGGAGAATGTGATGAGTATTCTGAGAGTGAGGACTGGAAGGTGATGCCTCTTCCAAGAAGAAAACCTTCCACGTTTGCAATTTCCTTCCCCATGGCTGCAAGATAAGGTCATACTGGGGACAAGACAGTGCTGAAGACACAGTGATGCAGGTATATGGAGGTGCTGGGGACATGGTGATGCCGGGGACATGGAGGTGCTGGGGACATGGTGATGCCAGGGATGTGGAGGTGCTGGGGACACAGTGGTTCTGGGACATGGTGATGCTGGGGACATGGAGGTGCTGGGAACATAGTGGTGCTGGGGATATACGTGGTCATTTTAGTGGCATGATGATGCTGAGGGACAGGGTGACAATGAGTCACAGCAATGTTGGGGACATGTGGTGCTGTGCTGGGGACATAGTGATGCTGGGGACATGGTGACTGTAAGTGCATATGACTCTAGGGACATGGTAATGCTGGAGACATGGAGGTCCTGGGAACATGGAGGTGCTACAGATGTGGCTTTGCTGGGGACATGGCAATGCTGGGGACATGATGACTCTGGGGACATGGAAGTGCTGGGGACATGGAAGTTCTGGGGACATTGAAGTACTGGGGACATGGAGGTGCTGGGGACATGGTTGTGCTGGGGACATTGTGGTCCTGGTTTCATGGTGACTCTGAAGGCATGTGGTGGGAACATGGTAATGCTGGGGACAGTCTCAAACTCCTGAGCTCAAGCAATTCACGGGGCTGGAGTTTGAACTCAGATCTGTCCCATGCCCAACTTTTGTCCTTCCTTCTGTTCCATCCAAATAGATTCACTTGCCTCTCCATAGTGGAGTGGAGCACATTTGGGGTGGGCAGGAAGCACCTCTAGAAAGAAGGGAAGAGACAGGAAATGCCAATCCCCCAAGCTGCTCTCTGACCCCTCTTCCTCTGCCCTGTTACAGCGGCCAGAGCCCCCACACCATGAACAGCACCCCCAGGAATGCCCAGGCCCCGAGCCACCGTGAGTGCTTCCTGCCCTCTGTGGCTCGCACCCCCTCGGTCACCAAGGTCACGCCAGCCAAGAAGATCACCTTCCTCAAGCGAGGGGATCCACGGTTTGCTGGGGTCCGCCTGGCCGTTCACCAGCGCGCCTTTAAGACCTTCAGCGCCCTCATGGACGAGCTCTCCCAGCGCGTGCCTCTCTCCTTTGGGGTGCGCTCTGTCACCACACCCCGGGGCCTGCATAGCCTCAGCGCCCTGGAGCAGCTGGAAGATGGAGGCTGCTACCTCTGCTCTGATAAGAAGCCCCCCAAGACCCCCAGTGGACCAGGCCGGCCACAGGAGAGAAACCCCACTGCTCAGCAGTTGCGGGATGTCGAAGGCCAGCGTGAAGCCCCAGGCACCTCCTCCTCCCGGAAGAGTCTTAAAACCCCCCGGAGGATACTGCTGATTAAGAACATGGACCCTCGCCTCCAGCAGACAGTGGTTCTCAGTCACAGGAATACTAGGAACCTGGCCGCCTTTCTCGGCAAAGCCTCAGATCTCCTGCGCTTTCCTGTGAAGCAGTTGTACACGACCAGCGGGAAAAAGGTAGGCTGTTGGGGTCTGACGGTTCCTTGAAAAGGTTCTTTAGACCTGAGGTCAAAATACTCACATGGAAGAGAGAGATTATTCCTTAAAAAGAGGCATTTGATTGCCCTGCTGCTAATTAAAGGTGAACAGCATGGAGACACTCAGTCAAGTCAATAAATCAACAAGCAGCTGTGATTCATGTTTTTAGGTATATTTAGAGAGCATGCGGTAAGTGGCAGGCATTGTGCCTGTGTACTCTTTTTTTTTTTTTTTTTGGCTTTGTTTTTTTCGAGATGCAGTTTAACTTTTGTCACCCAGGCTGCAGTACAATGGCATGATCTCGGCTCACTGCAACCTCTGCCTTCTGGGTTCCAATGATTCTCCTGTCTCAGCCTCTGAGTAGCTGGGATTACAGGCATGTGCTACCATGCCCAGCTAATTTTCTAGTTTTAGTAGAGACAGGGTTTCTCCACGTTGGTCAGGCTGGTCTTGAACTCCCAACCTCAGGTGATCTGCCCGATTCGGCCTCCCAAAGTGCTGGGATTACAGGCATGAGCCACCATGCCCAGCAGCCTTGTGTACTCTTATTGTTGTCTTATCCAATAACCTATTATTGCAGGGGTTCAGTGTAGGAAACAAACTACTCAAGTTACCTTAAGTAGAAAGTGATTTAATACAGGGCGTTGGAGGGCTTCATGTTTGGGAAGCCAGAGAGTGAATTGGAAGCTGGGTCTGCAGGAATGGCTCCCAGCATGTGCAGGAAGCTACTACCTCTGCTGGAAGCCACTATGATTATTGAGTTCAAGGACATGCGTGAATGTAATTTTTGCCTTTCCAGGTTCTGCCGGACATGAAATTCCACCAAAGGTCGGCAGAATGGAGGATGGAGGTTGACTGACCTAATTCACAGTCTCCTCAAGATTCAGTCCTGTTGCTCCTTAACATCTGTATGCACCATTCCACCAATACTTCATAAATATCATATCACTGGGCACAGTGGCGCACGCCTGTAATCCCAGCACTTTGGGAGGCTGAGGCAGGCGGATCACCTGAGGTCAGGAGTTCGAGATCAGCCTGGCCAATAGGGCGAAACCCTATATCTACTAAAAATACAAAAATTAGCCAGGTGTGTTGGCGCACACCTGTAATCCCAGCTACTCGGGAGGCTGAGGCAGGAGAATTGCTGGAACCTGGGAGGCAGAGGCTGCAGTGAGCCAAGATCACACACTGTACTGCAGCCTGGGTGACAGAGCCAGACTCCATCTCAAAAAAAAGTCATATGATAACATCATTACAAAAACTTTGTTATAAACATCAGCTACAGCAGCCTGCACTCATGGAGTAACAGAGCTCTCCCTCCTACAATCAAAAACACGTTCACCTTCTCCCCACAATCGCATTATCACTGGACCCTTCGTCTTCTATGCTGTGACAACCTCACCTTGATATCGTCTATCTCAAGGTCTACTTAGGTAGTCCAGCACCATCAAAGTACCCTATGTTAAGTAGTATAGGAAATAAAGAACAAAGAAAAGGGAAATTGATTAATATGTATACCTAGCAGAGCTATGACAAAAATTAGGCTATCTACTGCAAGGCCTTCGTTGGTGTTTAAAGCTTCTTTCCACTCTCCACTCCCTGTTCCTCTGTCTCCCACCAGCACCGCAGCTGATTATGCTTATGTACTCAGCAGAGTGACCGAACCATATTCCTGAGGGGTCTGAGCCCTTGGGGTTCCTCACTACATGGGCCGTGGTCTTGTGTTCATGTTTATCCCTGGACATGACAGCCAATGGGCTGCATGGGTAATAGATGACTTCCTCCCTATCCCATTGTGTAATAGTAGCCCTATTTCCCCCTTAGACAATCAGAACCAGCCACCCCAGCCAACACAGAACTTCCTTGTTGCCTATTGGCTCATTGTCATGAGAAGCCTTGTATGGCCAAGGTGACCGTCTCAGCTTTCAGCTCCATGGGGCCACTGTTGTGTCTTCCTTTTTTTTTGAGACAGAGTCTCACTCTTGTCACCCAGGCTGGAGTGCAGTGGCGCGATCTCGGCTCACTGCAACCTCTGCCTCCTGGATTCAAGCAATTTTCCTGCCTCAGCCTCCCAAGTAGTTGGGATTACAGGCATTCACCACTATGCCCAGCTAATTTTTGTATTTTTAGTAGAGATGGAGTTTCACCATGTTGGCCAGGCTGGTCTCGAACTCCTGACCTCAGGTGACTCATCTGCCTCGGCCTCCCAAAGTGCTGAGACTACAGGCGTGAGCCACCGCACCCAGCCCACTGTTGTGTCTTCTAAGGGGGAACATTCTCCCTTGGGTCCTGAGATCTCCAAACCCATGCCATAACCCATGCAGCTTACTTCTATCCAAAGAACTAATTTTATAGCAAAAGAAGTGAGACCCTGGACTAACATCCATGGAATTCGCTGTATAGCTTGCAGACACCAAAACTGCTGGGATGGAAAGCAAAATGTTTGCAGTGAGGTCACAGGTGTTGTAGACTAAGATACAGGTGTCTTAGTCGCCAGAGAAACAGCACTATGTTTCAGTTGCCATTTCAGAGCACATATCACTGTATCAGCCATACTTCAGTACAGGAAACAGAATCCTCTCTCAACATCTTTTTTTTTTTTTTTTTTTTGAGATGGAGTCTCCCTCTGTCACCCATGGTGGAGCGCAGTGGCATGATCTTGGCTCACTGCAACCTCTGCCCCCTAGGTTCAAGCGATTCTTCTGCCTCAGCCTCCCCGAGTAGCTGGGACTACAGGCGCCTGCCACCATGCCCAGCTAATGTTTTTTTGTTGTTGTTGTTTGTTTTGGGTTTTTTTTGTATTTTTAGTAGAGATGCGGTTTCACCATGTTGGCCAGGCTGGTCTTGAACTCTTGACCTCAGGTGATCTGCCCACCTTGGCATTCTAAAGTGCTGGGATTACAGGTGTGAGCCACTGTGCCCAGCCCTCTCTCGGCATCTTAAGCAGGAAAGAATTACACTCAGAGGGTTTGATGCTTAGAGATTCAGTGAAAGGCTGGAGGAGCACAGGCTGGGTTCCTGGAAAAGATTCCCAGAATGTCACAAACCAACCTGTCAGGGATGTCTAGGAAATGAGGAAGGTGAGTTTTGGGGGGTTGCCTCTGGAATGACTGTGCTCTGAATTACCCCACCATTGCTGGGATCCCAAATGGGAAGATGATGGGTACTAGAACAACGAGGGCATCTTTTGATGTCTCAGTGGCACATGCCTCTCTGCATCTTTGACTTCCTTTTGCTTGTGGCAAGAGTCAGGAACAAAAGGAAGATGGCCTGTGCTTCGCTGCCACGTTCCATGCCCTGTTCAAGTGCATCTTATTAGTGGGACTTATTTCGCATTTAGATCCCAAGCTGCAAGGGAGTTCAGGAAATGGGCTGGCAGCTTTCTAAACTCTGCAGTACTGGGCCAGTCATGGTGGCTCACACCTGTAATCCCAGCACTTTGGGAGGCCGAGGCAGGTGGATCACTTGAGGTCAGGAGTTTGAGACCAGCCTGGGCAACATGGGGAAACCCCATCTCTACTAAAAATTTAAAATTAGCCAGGCATGGTGGTGCGTGCCTGTAGTCCCAGCTACTGGGAAGGCTGAGGCAGGAGAATTGCTTGAACCTGGGAGGTGGCGGTTGAACCTGAGAGGTGGAGGTTGCGCCACTGCACTACAGCCTGGGTGACACAGCAGGACTCCATCTCAGAAAACAAACAAACAAACAAACAAAAAAACACGAAAACCAAAACAAACAAAGAAACCTCTGCAGTACTGGAAAGCATACCAGAAAGAGAGTGGGATAGAAACAGCTGGTATGGGGCATAGCATTCACTACACAAACTCACAAGGTAGCTGATATTACTATTATTAATTTATTAATTACTATTATTAATGTTTGAGACAGGGTCTGGTTCTGTTGCCCAGTTTGGAGTGCTGTGGCCCAATCTCAGCTCATTGCAGCCTCGACCTCCTGGGCTCAAGTGATCCTCCCATCTCAGCCTCCCAAGCAGCTGGGACTACAGGCACATGCCACTATGCCTGGCTAATTTTTTTGTTTGTTTGTTTGTTTGCTCTTTGTTTTTGAGATGGAGTTTCACTCTGTCACCCAGGCTGGAGTGCAGTGGCACGATCTTAGCTCACTGCATCCTCCGCTTCCAGGGTTGAAGCAATTCTCTGCCTCAGCCTCCCAAGTAGCTAGGATTACAGGCGTCTACCACCACGCTCAAGTAATTTTTTTTTCTTTGTATTTTTAGTAGAGATGGGGTTTCACCATGATGCCCAGGCTGATCTCAAACTCCTGGGCTCCAGGGATCTACCCACCTCGGCCCCCCAAAGTGCTGAGATTACAGGCATGAACCACTGCATCTGGCTGGTAGCTGATATTATTATCCCCTTGGGACAGATAAGAAAAGTGAGGCACAGAGGTTAAGTAATTTGCTCCTAGTTGCATGGCTGGCCAATGAGAGAGCCAACATCAATGCTTGGAAAATGAAAAAGAACATGCTCTGTGCTTTAAAGATGGAAATACATCCCCAAGCATTGCTAATTACAACGTAATGCAAGGATGCTTTTGAGTTAGTGGCATTACCGTGGACTAGCATGTGCCACATAAACAGACAAATGAGACGAGGTCCCTACCTTCCGTTAGCTACCGTTTAGTGGGTGCGATTTTTGATGGACCAGGAGTCCAAATCAAAGAAGAAATGGACCTCGTCATTTAAAACAAACTTCTAGGCCGGGTGCAGTGGCTCACGCCTGTAATCCCAGCACTTTGGGAGGCCGAGGCCGGCGGATCACGAGGTCAGGAGATCGAGACCATCCTGGCTAACACGGTGAAACCCTGTCTCTACTAAAAATACAAAAAATTAGCTGAGTATGGTGGCGGGCACCTGTAGTCCCAGCTACTCCGGAGGCTGAGGCAGGAGAATGGCATGAACCCGGGAGGCAGAGCTTGCAGTGAGCCCAGATCGCGCCACTGCACTCCAGCCTGGGTGACAGATCGAGACTCCGTCTCAAAAAAAAAAAAAAAAAAAAAAAAAAAGAAAAAGAAACAGAAAAAAACAAAAACAAAAACAAACTTCTAATTACCTAGGCTGAAAGATCTGGTGCACAACAGACTTCTATGACATTTTTTGGGGAAGAGAATGTAATGTTCCTTCTTTTTTCTTTTTTTTTTTTTTTTTTTTTTGTTAATGAGCATACCCTTATAATTTTAGAGAATGAGAAAGAACATGCTCTGTGCTTTAAAGATGGAAATACATTCCCCATTCCCCAGCATTGCTCATTACAATGTAATCCCATCAATAGTGCAAACCCTCAGATCTGCAGGGGCTTCTCGGTCCAGGGACCAGTTTCCTGGAAAGGAATTCTGCAGTGACATGGCCTGCCCTGAGCCCAGGAGTGCATAGGGGACATTCTGATGGGTCTGGGGAGGGTCAGGAGCCCAGAGACCATTTTAGGAGTCTGGAAGGGAAGGGGTCCCTGCAGGAAGAGTGGTGCCTAGCCCCTCTCCCCTCCACTTGGGCAGAGGCAACAGACTCAGACTGTACCAGAAAACACAGATTAGGCAGCACAGAGTCTCCTTCATTTGGGAAAAGAATGAGAGAGTGAATCGGGCCCCGCTGTGGGAGCTGGAGGGCGTGCTGCTCCAGCTGCTTCAGGGAATACATATTCTGGAGGGTGGACATGTGGGCAGAAATGCGGCCTACAGAAGTCTTTTGCAGCAGGGGCATCCAGAATGCCCTTTGATCACGGGCCTCACGCCTGGTGGAGGGAGGGGTATAGCTAGAGCGGGAGATCATGGTGGTGGGACCTCAGCCTCCAGCTAGTGATAGAGGTGTTATGGGGAGTGGATAAGACCCCTCCTTGGACCAGGAGTCTGGGGTGAGATGTGCAGAAATCAGGACAGGGCTGGTGAGACTGGATCCTTCCTCCCCCAGGCCTCAGGGTAGAGGGGTTTCTGCAGCCCAGGCCTCCTGACCCCGCCCGCTCCTCCCTCAGGTGGACTCGCTGCAGGCCCTGCTGCACAGCCCCTCTGTGCTGGTGTGTGCCGGGCATGAGGCCTTCAGAACCCCAGCCATGAAAAATGCCAGGAGAAGCGAGGCTGAAACTTTATCTGGGCTGACTTCAAGAAACAAAAACGGTGAGTTGGTTTTTGGGTTTCCCCCATCTGATTTGCACTGCATGGTGGTTCAGTAGGGCTGAGTGGAAAGCCTTCCAGGTAATTCAGGAAACTTCCCTTTGGCCCCAGATCTTGGGTATCCCAGTCATTTTGGGATCTCTCTTGCCTCTTCCTCCTTCTCAGTACTGTCAATCTTACTTGGGTTCAACATTTGACCAAGATAGGAGAGGGCAGTGCTTGGTATATAAAAGGAACAGAGGCTGGGCATGGTGGCTCATGTCTGTAATTCCAGCCGTTTGGGGGCCCAAAGCGAGAGGATAGCTTGAGTCTAGGAGTTGGACACCCGCCTGGGCAACATAATGAGACACTGTCTCTAAAAAAAAAATACAAAAAAATATGCCAGGCATAATGGCACATGCCTATAGTTTCAGCTACTTGGGAGGCTGAGGTGGGAGGATCCCTTGAGCCTAGGAGGTTGAGGCTGCAGTGAGCCGTGATCGCACCACTTCACTCCAGCCTGGGTGACAGAGCAAAATCCTGTCTCAAAATTAATAAATAAATGGAACAGGGATTAAGAGATCTTGAATTTAAAGTTTCTAGAATCTAAAATAAATTTTATTAAGAGCCACAGGCACAGAGGCTCACACCTTTATTCCTAGCAACTTGGGAGGCCAGGACAGGAGGATCACTTGAGCCCAGGAGTTCAAGACAAGCCTAGACAACAGAGCAAGACCCTGCCTCTACCACAAACATCAATAAGTAATGAACAAATTAGCCAGGCATGGTGGCGCATACCCGTGGTCCCAGCTACTCAGGAGGCTGAGGGGGGAGGATGATTTGAGCCCAGGAGTTTGAGACTTGAGTGAGTCATGATCGTGCCACTGCTCTCCAGCCTAGGCAACAGAGACCCTGCCTCAAAAAAGAAACAACTACAGTGGCCATGACATCATGGCAGCAATGGGCCGTGTGCCTGGCGTTGCATCCTTTCAGGGTCACGATGGTCTCAGGCAACAGTGGTGGCCTGCATGGGGGTCAAAGGGACTAAAACTAACCATGACCACAGATTATCCATCCATCCATACAACCAACCATATATCCAGCCAAAGAGCCACAGTCTGGACTATGTTATTTTTTTAAAACTACACACACTTATTTTTAAAAGCACAATTAACAAATGCAGTCTGATGATGGAAAAATTTGGCGAGTAAACAAAGTACTATCCTTTGTGAAAAGCTCAGAAACACCAACAAGCACAGGCTCGGTGATCACTGTAGGTCAGGTGCTGGAGGCCCAAGGGACAGGCTCGGTGATCACTGTGGGTCAGGCACTGGAGGCACAAGGACAGTTTACTCTGGGTCCCTCCCTGGAGGAGTGTCCAGTCTCATTTGGTCCCTGTGGAGGGCCAGGACTGGGCAAAGCCATCTTCTGCCCAGATGTGCACCTGGGGTTCTTTTGCTGGCCATATGCTCAGCCTCTGCTAGCCCTACCCTTTTGCCACATGTTGGCTCGGGAGATGGAATTTGTTTTTATTTATTTATTTTTATTATACTTTAAGTTTTAGGGTACATGTGCACAACATGCAGGTTTGTTACATATGTATACATGTGCCATGTTGGTGTGCTGCACCCATTAACTCGTCATTTACATTAGGTATATCTCCTAATGCTATCCCTTCCCCCTCCCCTCAGGAGATGGAATTTGAAAGCCCTTGGGGGCTTCATTCATTTGTTCTTTCTTTCTTTTTTTTTTCCTTCCTTCCTTCCTTCCCTCCTTTCTTTTTTCTTTTCTTTTTTTTTTTTTTTTTTGACGACAGAATCTTACCCTGTCACCCAGGCTGGAGTGCAGTGATGCGATCTAGGCTCACTGCAACCTCCGCCTCTCGGGTTCAAGTGATTTTTGTGCCTCAGCCTCCCGAGTGGCTGGGATTACAGTCTCCCACAACCACGCCCAGCTATTTTTTTGTGCTTTTAGTAGAGATGGGGTTTCCCCATGTTGGCCAGGCTGGTCTTGAACTCCTGACCTCAGGTGATCCGCCTGCCTCGGCCTCCCAAAGTGTTGGGATTACAGGCGTGAGCTATCACGCCTGGCTCATTCTTTCTTAGAGCCACTCCTTTGCATCCTTAGCAACCCTTTCTTCTCTTCTTCATGGCTGGGGTGCAGGCTTGACTAGCAGGACCTGAGATGGTTCGCCCAGGTCCTTCCCTGCAGCCATTTATCAACCAGGAGCTTGATGAGGCTTAGGGTGATAAATCACCACTAATAATCACAGAGAATATAACAGTTTACAGTCAGGGTCATATGCAGCAGTTTATTGATTTCACCTGCTGTGCTGGGTGTGGGCATGAGGAGGGCCAGGAGCAAGATCTGGGCACTGCCACTCTGCCTGCCAAGTCTGCCATCTCTCGAGAGCCTACTATGTGCTAGCAACTATAAAGGAAGTTTTATATGCACAGCCATGCATCAATACGAACCGAACCAATCAATATTATTATGCTTATTTTACGGTTCAGAAAGCAGGCTCTGCCAAAAACTACGCAGCTAGTAAGCAGCAGAGTTGAGATTGAATTCAGACTGAAGTTCTCCTTGTTAGACAATGCCAGTTCACAGACTGGTAGCTCTGTGGATGGTCATTCTAGAATAGCTCTGCCCTTATCATGCTTTTTTTTTTCTTTTCTTTTTTTAATGGTCTTGCTCTGTCATCCAGGCTGGAGCGCAGTGGTGCATAGCTCACTGCAGCCTCCAACTCTGGGACTCAGGGGATTCTCCTGCCTCAGCCTTCCGAGTAGCTAGGAAGCTGGGACTGTAGGGGCATACTACCATGCTTAGGTAATTATTTCTTTACTTTTTTTTTTTTTTTTTTTTTTTTGTAGAGATGGTGTCTCACTAAGTTGTCCAGGCTGGTCTTGAAACCCTGAGCTCAAGCAGTCCTCCCGCCTCGGCCTCCCAAAGTGCTTGGATTACAGGCCTGAGCCACCGCGCACAGCTGTCACCGTGCATTTTGGAGGCAGTGGTGATGCTGAGGTCGTGGGAGGCTCATGACTGTTTTATTCCTTTATCCTGACGCTGCCCCCATGGCTCACAGTCTTTTCTTCTTTTCTTTTCCTCTTCACTGCGTGCCAGGGAGCTGGGGGCCAAAGACCAAGCCGAGTGTGATCCATTCGCGGTCTCCGCCAGGCAGCACGCCACGGCTGCCAGAAAGGCCTGGTCCTAGCAACCCCCCGGTGGGCCCTGCTCCTGGCAGGCACCCTCAGGACACGCCAGCTCAGTCGGGCCCGCTGGTGGCTGGCGATGACATGAAGAAGAAGGTCCGCATGAATGAGGACGGCAGCCTGTCCGTGGAGATGAAAGTCCGCTTCCACCTGGTCGGCGAGGACACGCTCCTATGGTCCCGGAGGATGGGCAGGGCCAGCGCCCTCACGGCAGCCAGTGGGGAAGACCCCGTTCTGGGGGAGGTAGACCCCCTCTGCTGTGTGTGGGAGGGCTACCCTTGGGGCTTCTCAGAGCCTGGGGTGTGGGGACCCCGGCCCTGCAGGGTGGGATGCAGGGAAGTCTTTGGCCGAGGCGGGCAGCCAGGGCCCAAGTATGAAATCTGGACGAATCCCCTGCATGCCTCCCAGGGAGAGAGAGTGGCAGCTCGGAAGAGGTGGGGACTGGCCCAGCACGTCCGCTGCAGTGGCCTGTGGGGCCACGGGACTGCCGGGAGGGAGAGATGCAGCCAGGACAGTGCCAGCCCAGCCTCCAGCACCGGCCTCCCCGAGGGCTCGGAGCCAGAGTCCTCCTGCTGCCCCAGGACCCCGGAGGACGGGGTGGACAGTGCCAGCCCCTCTGTCCAGATAGGGGCTGAGCGGAAAGCTGGAGGGAGCCTGGGTGAGGACCCCGGCCTATGCATAGATGGAGCAGGGCTGGGCAGCCCAGAGCAAGGCGGCCGCCTGACACCGAGGGCCCGGAGTGAGGAGGGGGCTTCTTCGGACTCGTCAGCCAGCACCGGCTCTCATGAGGGATCCAGCGAATGGGGTGGGCGGCCCCAGGGCTGTCCAGGCAAGGCAAGGGCCGAGACCTCTCAGCAGGAGGCCAGCGAGGGAGGCGACCCCGCTTCTCCAGCCCTGAGTCTTTCATCTTTAAGGAGTGACGACCTGCAGGCAGAGACGCAAGGACAGGGTACCGAGCAGGCCACGGGAGCGGCTGTGACAAGGGAGCCTCTGGTTCTGGGCCTTTCCTGCTCCTGGGACTCGGAAGGAGCCTCTTCCACCCCTTCCACCTGCACTTCATCCCAGCAGGGGCAGAGAAGGCACAGAAGCCGGGCCAGTGCAATGTCCTCACCCAGCAGCCCTGGCCTTGGCCGAGTGGCCCCGAGAGGCCATCCCAGGCATTCTCACTACCGCAAGGACACCCACAGCCCACTGGACTCCTCTGTAACCAAGCAAGTGCCGAGGCCTCCTGAGCGGCGAAGGGCCTGCCAGGATGGCTCAGTGCCACGATATTCTGGAAGCTCATCGAGCACCAGGACACAGGCCTCTGGGAACCTGAGACCTCCCTCCTCGGGCTCTCTTCCTTCCCAGGACCTTCTGGGAACCAGCAGTGCCACTGTCACCCCTGCAGTCCACTCGGATTTTGTTTCTGGAGTCTCCCCGCACAACGCTCCCTCTGCCGGGTGGGCAGGGGACGCGGGGTCCAGGACATGCTCGCCGGCCCCCATACCTCCCCACACATCCGACTCCTGCTCAAAATCTGGGGCTGCCAGCCCGGGGGAAGAGGCCAGGGACACGCCTCAGCCCTCCTCACCCTTGGTTCTGCAGGTTGGACGGCCTGAGCAAGGGGCGGTGGGCCCCCACCGAAGCCACTGCTGCTCACAGCCTGGGACGCAGCCGGCCCAAGAGGCCCAGCGGGGACCCTCCCCTGAGGCTAGCTGGCTGTGTGGCAGGTACTGTCCCACCCCGCCCAGGGGGCGGCCCTGCCCCCAGAGGCGCTCTTCCAGCTGTGGGAGCACCGGCAGCAGCCACCAAAGCACTGCCCGGGGGCCAGGTGGGAGCCCGCAGGAGGGGACACGCCAGCCAGGCCCCACGCCGTCCCCAGGCCCCAATTCAGGGGCATCAAGGAGAAGCAGTGCCAGCCAGGGTGCGGGGTCTCGGGGGCTGTCCGAGGAGAAGACCTTGAGGAGTGGGGGAGGCCCCCAGGGGCAGGAGGAGGCCAGTGGTGTGTCACCCAGCTCTCTGCCCCGCTCGTCTCCAGAGGCTGTGGTCCGCGAATGGCTGGACAACATTCCAGAAGAGCCCATACTCATGACATATGAGTTGGCGGACGAGACCACAGGTGCAGCTGGGGGTGGCCTGAGAGGCCCCGAGGTGGACCCTGGGGATGACCATTCTCTGGAAGGCCTGGGGGAGCCAGCTCAGGCGGGACAGCAGTCCCTGGAAGGGGACCCCGGCCAGGACCCAGAGCCAGAGGGAGCCCTCCTGGGGAGTAGTGACACTGGTCCCCAATCAGGAGAGGGTGTCCCCCAAGGGGCAGCTCCAGAGGGAGTTTCCGAGGCCCCTGCAGAGGCCGGAGCAGACAGAGAGGCCCCAGCAGGCTGCAGGGTGAGCCTGCGGGCACTTCCTGGCCGGGTGTCTGCCTCCACGCAGATCATGAGGGCGCTGATGGGCTCCAAGCAGGGCCGGCCCAGCAGCGTGCCCGAAGTGTCTAGGCCCATGGCCAGGAGGCTCAGCTGCTCAGCCGGGGCCCTCATTACTTGTCTGGCCAGTCTGCAGTTATTTGAGGAAGACCTTGGGTCTCCTGCCAGCAAAGTGAGGTTCAAAGACTCCCCTCGGTACCAGGAGCTGCTCAGCATCTCGAAGGACCTGTGGCCAGGATGTGACGTTGGGGAAGACCAGCTGGACTCAGGCCTCTGGGAGCTCACATGGAGCCAGGCTCTGCCAGACCTTGGGTCCCATGCCATGACGGAGAACTTCACGCCCACATCCTCCTCTGGTGTGGACATCAGCAGCGGCTCTGGAGGCTCAGGGGAGAGTAGCGTACCCTGTGCCATGGACGGCACCCTGGTGACACAGGGGACAGAGCTGCCCCTGAAAACCTCCAACCAGAGGCCTGATTCAAGAACTTATGAGAGCCCAGGGGATCTGGAAAACCAACAGCAGTGTTGTTTCCCAACCTTCTTGAACGCCCGAGCCTGCGCTTGTGCCACCAATGAGGATGAAGCAGAAAGAGACAGTGAGGAGCAGAGGGCGAGCTCGAACCTGGAGCAGTTAGCTGAAAACACAGTGCAAGAAGAGGTGCAATTAGAGGAAACTAAAGAAGGAACAGAAGGAGAAGGGCTGCAAGAAGAGGGGGTGCAGTTAGAGGGGACTAAAGTAATAGAAGGGCTGCAAGAAGAGGGGGTGCAGTTAGAGGAAACTAAAGAAACAGAAGGAGAAGGACAGCAAGAAGAAGAGGCGCAGTTAGAGGAAATTGAAGAAACAGGAGGAGAAGGGCTGCAAGAAGAGGGGGTGCAGTTAGAGGAAGTTAAAGAAGGGCCAGAAGGAGGACTGCAAGGAGAGGCTCTTGAAGAGGGTCTCAAAGAGGAAGGACTTCCAGAAGAAGGAAGCGTCCACGGGCAGGAATTGTCAGAGGCCAGCTCTCCGGATGGGAAAGGCTCCCAGGAAGATGACCCAGTCCAGGAGGAGGAAGCAGGAAGAGCCTCTGCCTCTGCAGAGCCGTGCCCCGCAGAGGGCACAGAGGAACCCACAGAGCCCCCTAGTCATCTCAGCGAGACGGACCCAAGTGCCAGCGAGAGTCAGAGTGGCTCCCAGCTTGAGCCTGGTTTGGAAAAGCCGCCCGGAGCCACCATGATGGGCCAAGAGCACACGCAGGCCCAACCCACCCAGGGGGCTGCAGAGAGGAGCTCTTCGGTGGCCTGCAGCGCGGCTCTGGACTGCGACCCCATCTGGGTGTCCGTGTTACTGAAGAAGACGGAGAAGGCCTTCCTGGCCCACCTTGCCAGTGCGGTGGCTGAGCTCCGAGCACGCTGGGGCCTGCAGGACAATGATCTGCTGGACCAGATGGCGGCCGAGCTGCAGCAGGACGTGGCCCAACGCCTCCAGGACAGCACCAAGAGAGAGCTCCAGAAGCTCCAGGGCCGGGCGGGTAGGATGGTGCTGGAGCCTCCAAGGGAGGCCCTCACCGGGGAGCTGCTCCTGCAGACCCAGCAGCGCAGACACCGTCTCCGGGGCCTGCGAAACCTCTCGGCCTTCTCTGAGCGGACCCTGGGCCTGGGGCCCCTCTCCTTCACCCTGGAGGACGAGCCAGCCCTCAGCACAGCCCTGGGGAGCCAGCTGGGCGAGGAGGCGGAGGGGGAGGAGTTCTGTCCCTGCGAGGCCTGCGTGAGGAAGAAAGTGAGCCCTATGTCCCCCAAGGCCACAATGGGGGCAACCAGAGGTCCCATCAAAGAGGCCTTTGACCTGCAGCAGATTCTGCAGAGGAAGAGGGGAGAACACACTGATGGGGAGGCAGCAGAGGTGGTCCCTGGCAAGACCCACACGGACCCCACGAGCACTAGGACTGTCCAGGGAGCTGAGGGAGGGCTGGGGCCGGGGCTGAGCCAGGGGCCTGGAGTGGACGAGGGTGAGGATGGCGAGGGGAGCCAGAGACTCAACAGAGACAAAGATCCCAAACTCGGGGAGGCAGAGGGAGATGCAATGGCTCAGGAGAGAGAAGGGAAAACCCACAACAGTGAAACCAGTGCGGGCAGTGAGTTGGGGGAAGCTGAGCAGGAGGGAGAGGGCATAAGTGAAAGGGGAGAAACTGGGGGTCAAGGCTCTGGGCATGAGGACAACTTGCAGGGTGAAGCTGCGGCAGGAGGTGACCAAGATCCAGGACAGAGTGATGGGGCCGAAGGCATAGAGGCCCCGGAGGCTGAAGGGGAGGCCCAGCCAGAGTCAGAAGGTGTAGAGGCCCCAGAGGCAGAAGGGGATGCCCAGCCAGAGTCAGAAGATGTAGAGGCCCCAGAGGCAGAAGGAGAGGCCCAGCCAGAGTCAGAAGATGTAGAGACCCCAGAGGCAGAATGGGAGGTCCAGCCAGAGTCAGAAGGTGCAGAAGCCCCGGAGGCAGAAAAGGAGGCCCAGCCAGAGACAGAAAGTGTAGAGGCCCTGGAGACTGAAGGGGAGGACGAGCCAGAGTCAGAAGGTGCAGAGGCCCAAGAGGCAGAAGAGGAGGCCCAGGAGGCAGAAGGGCAGACCCAGCCAGAGTCAGAAGTTATAGAGTCCCAGGAGGCAGAAGAGGAAGCCCAGCCAGAGTCAGAAGATGTAGAGGCCCTGGAGGTTGAAGTGGAGACCCAGGAGGCAGAAGGGGAGGCCCAGCCAGAGTCAGAAGATGTAGAGGCCCCAGAGGCTGAAGGGGAGATGCAAGAGGCAGAAGAGGAGGCCCAGCCAGAGTCAGACGGTGTAGAGGCCCAGCCAAAGTCAGAAGGTGAAGAGGCCCAGGAGGTTGAAGGGGAGACCCAGAAGACAGAAGGGGATGCCCAGCCAGAGTCAGACGGTGTAGAGGCCCCGGAGGCAGAAGAGGAGGCACAGGAGGCTGAAGGGGAGGTCCAGGAGGCAGAAGGGGAGGCCCACCCAGAGTCAGAAGATGTAGATGCCCAGGAGGCAGAAGGGGAGGCCCAGCCAGAATCAGAAGGTGTAGAGGCCCCAGAGGCAGAAGGGGAGGCCCAGAAGGCAGAAGGTATAGAGGCCCCAGAGACTGAAGGGGAGGCCCAGCCAGAGTCAGAAGGTATAGAGGCCCCAGAGGCTGAAGGGGAGGCCCAGCCTGAGTCAGAAGGTGTAGAGGCCCAGGATGCAGAAGGGGAGGCCCAGCCAGAGTCAGAAGGTATAGAGGCCCAGGAGGCTGAAAAGGAGGCCCAACCAGAGTTAGAAGGTGTAGAGGCCCCAGAGGCAGAAGGGGAGGCCCAGCCAGAGTCAGAAGGTATAGAGGCCCCAGAGGCAGAAGGGGAGGCCCAACCAGAGTTAGAAGGTGTAGAGGCCCCGGAGGCTGAAGAGGAGGCCCAGCCAGAGCCAGAAGGCGTAGAGACCCCGGAGGCTGAAGGGGAGGCCCAGCCAGAGTCAGAAGGAGAAACTCAAGGTGAGAAAAAGGGGAGCCCTCAGGTCAGTCTAGGAGATGGCCAATCTGAGGAGGCTTCTGAAAGCAGCAGCCCAGTCCCTGAGGACAGGCCCACTCCACCCCCTTCCCCAGGTGGAGACACTCCCCACCAAAGGCCAGGCTCCCAAACAGGCCCTTCCTCCTCCAGAGCATCCTCTTGGGGCAACTGCTGGCAGAAAGACTCAGAAAATGACCATGTACTTGGAGACACAAGGAGCCCTGATGCCAAGTCCACGGGGACCCCTCATGCAGAGAGGAAGGCCACCAGGATGTACCCAGAAAGTTCTACTTCTGAGCAAGAAGAGGCCCCTTTGGGCTCAAGGACTCCAGAGCAGGGGGCCAGTGAAGGTTATGACCTACAAGAGGACCAGGCACTCGGAAGTCTCGCCCCCACTGAGGCAGTGGGCAGGGCAGACGGCTTTGGCCAAGATGACTTAGATTTCTAGACAAGATCAAGCTAGAAAACAATCACGAGCTTGGGAGCTCTGTTTTTATTCATATTTTTTCTACAAAACTGAGCAACGTTCAGTCCACTGGAGATGTCCATAGTACATGGACAAAGACCAAGGACTTGCCAAGGACACAGCCCATGCCATGCTGTCCTGGGACTCTTAAGTCCAGAAGTGTCAGAGAGCTCTGCGGCCCGTCCCACACGCAGTGTGAAGAAAGGGGGTGTCTGCGGATCTGCCCGGTTATCGGAGGTCAGCCCGGCTCCTATTTATTTGTCTGCAGAGCCCGAAAGATGGAACTGATTGGAAAGGCTCCAGTTTAGCTTTTGTTTGTGGGTTTGTTTTCTGCTAGCAAGTGTTGCTCTCTGTCTTTTCCCTGTTGATCTCCTGTTACTTTTCTCCTTGGCTTCTGTTGGCACTCACCTCATTTGACTTTGAGGTGCTTTTTTTCTAGTCTGGAATATATTTGATGACTCTGCAGAAATACTTGGGCAAAGCAGGTAACTTCAGAGTCATTGGATAAAGTTTGTTCTCAACTCCAAAGTCCAAGTTGTTTTTTCTTAATTCATACATTTTGTAATGAAAAAATGGAAAATGCAGAAAAAAGCAGAGAGGAAGAAATAATCCTGTCACTCGGAGACTTCTGTTTGCAATTGAATGTATTTCCTTCTCCTCCTAACCATTTTACAGTTGAGATGATTCTTTATATATATATTTACATATGTTTTAAAAACTTAACAATGTAAAGATTTCCCCTATTTATCTCAGAATCATCATAAACCTATCTCTTAACATTATTCATAAACCTGAATAATGTGCCATTAACGAGTATATTGAATACTTTCTCATTTTCCTATTTTTGACCTTTTAGATGGTTTCCTTTATTTTGCTCTTAACACTTTTTTTTTTCTTGAACTTCTGATTAATTCCTTAGGATAGACTCCCAGACATGGAATTACCAGGCCAAAGGATATCAACATTTTTAAGGCTTTTGATATCCTGCAGCCAAACTGTTTTTTCTAAAGATCTGTACTCACGGTGAGAGTATGATCAGTGTTTGGTATTGTCATTAAAATTGAAAAATCATTTGCAAATTTCATTGGCAAAAAAATAGTATCTTATTTTAATGAGGTACTATCTTAGATATAAATTTGATAACTAATGAAATTAAAATTTTTTCTAGGTTTTAAAAAACTATTTGAATATAAATGATTTGTGCATGCTTTTGACCCATTTTTCTACTGAGATCCCACCTTTTTTTTTCTTTTAATGAATTGATTTGCCTGTGCCCTTTATAAATTTTTTTAAATTCTATTTCTCATTTGCAAGATTTTAAAAATGCCCTCTCTGCACACCCTTCAAAAGCAGGGCTTAGACTGAGCCACATGCAGGTAGAGAGCTCCTGGATGGGGTAGAATGTCTTTGACTGGTTCTCACTGGCTTTCCTGCATATACCAGAGCATTCATTTTGTGGCATCCAGATGTATTAAAATGGAGTCTGTGCTACAATGGCAGGTACTGCCCCTGGTTATCTAAATGTATCCACACAAAGCAAAGGTTGGGTATCTGTTGTCTGTACATGTCTGCAGTCTTCTATCTACAAATGGAGATGTTATTTAAAAATTCTGACATGTGCCAGGCATAGTGGCTCACGGCTGTAATCCCAGCATTTTGGGAGGCCGAGGCAGGCAGATCACCTGAGGTCAGGAGTTCGAGACCAGCCTGGCCAACATGGTGAAACCCCATCTCTACTAAAAATACAAAAATTAGCAGGGCCTGGTGATGCATGCCTGTAATCCGAGCTACTCGGGAGGCTGAGGCAGGAGAATCACTTGAACCCAGGAGGCGGACGTTGCAGTGAGCCAAGATTGTGCCACTGCACTCCAGCCTGGGTGACAGAGTGATACTCTGTCTCAAAAAAAAAAGAAAATTGACATGTTTTAAAAATGTTCTGCAAAGGTGATTCCTTAAGGTGTTTACAATAAAAGCATAATTTTATATAAATGTAAACTATGATATATTTGGGGGGTAGTGTTTCTTCATATTGGATGAAGGGCTGGTGAAGAATTACACTCACAAGTCACATGTCAATCAGAACTGGCATCTTAGCTAGAAGCCCCCAGTGGAACAGATTGCACTGTGAGCTTGTTCTGGAAATGGTGACATGTAGAGGCGTGCAGCACTTGTCACCACTACTGGCTGGCATGAAGCATACACCGGGCACCTCTTCTGTGATTTGAAGTCCCCATTCTTTCTCTGAGAGATGCTCCAACCCCTTTGTTTCACTCCCTGCCCCCCCACCCCCACCCCAATGCTAGTGACAGCCAGTCCTGTCACCTACTGACCTGGCACCTCATTAAAATGGCATTGTCCATCTCTAGTTAACAGCATACAATGAAAAGAGCATGGGACCTGGAGCTGAGGGACCTGGAGCTGAAGGGCCTGGGCTGAAGTCCCAGTGACCCCCAACTCAGTTTCAGCATCTGCCAAATGGGCTAAATGATGTTTTCCTCACTGTAGTGTTGAGAAATAGATAATATGAAACTTTATTACACACATGGTGGGGATAGATGCATATTTTAATTATAACTGCTAAGTATTTAGTGCCTACAATGTGTCACGTATCATACTAGACTCTTGATATAAATGATCATTTGTGAGATTTAAACTTCTCAACATGTCTGTGAAATAGGCAAGTAGGTGTTCCATTTCACAAATGGAGAAACCGAGGCTTAGAAGAGAGACAGACTTGCCCAGACTCACACAGCTAGTTAGGAACAAAGCCAGGATTTAAACTCAGATATTTCAGACTCCAAAGTCCACATCTTCCATTGTATCATAATTTTTCTTTTTTGTTTTGATTTAGATCCTGTAAATAAACACCTTAGCTAGAGGTAGCCAACACCTTGTTGAATGACGTTACTGCAAGATAGTGACTACTTAGGGGAGTAAATTAAATGGGATTTTTGGTTCAGCTGATTCCATTCTGCCTCCAGCAATGTTCTCCTTCTGTACAGATATCAGCAGCTGCAGATAACCTGGGTTTATAAAGCCGATCATTAAACTGAAAAGTTACCTGCATTAAAATGAAGTTATCTGCCCATGGGATTCTCCTTTTAGTTTGCAAACACACCCACCCCGTATGTCTGCAGTTTATATTTAAAAAATTTGTTAATGGACAACTCTGTGTTTCCTTCTGACCTGGAGATAAAGAATTTCAGGGCCATCGGCTGAGAGGATTTTTGTGTCTTCTCCTTGATTCCTTTCTCTACAGCACTCTTTCAGCATCTCTTAAAATGCTGGCATTCCTATAGCCTCAGCCTGCCCCAAATCAAAACCCATGTCATGTGTCACTCAGATGCTGACGAAGCAAACATAGTATCAGCATAATGTGAAAGCTTTTGGCCAGGGGAGTTTCTCCTTGAAGGGGAAGGGGAGGGAACCACGCCCTTCTCTCCTGTCTATTGTCCAGCTGGTGGGGATCAGAGACTCCAGTTGAAAAGGATCACCGTTTAGGGGTTAGAACCGAAGACCCATGTCCAGCCCCACACCTAGAGATGCTGACTTTATCAGTCTAGGGCAGGGCTTCAGCACAGTGCTCTTGGAGGGGTTTGAAGTTCAGTGGAGGTAGGTGACGGCTGATTCAGTCCAAAACACCACAGCTGTATGAGTGGCTGAGCCCAGACCAGATTCCAGGCCTTTCTCCATCTCTCACTCAATATCCCCCATCCTAGAACTAGGAGAGGCCCTGCAGAGAAACGCAGGCAGGCCGCAAAGCCACTCCCTTGTCATCCAGACCAGTTGTCCCCTCACCCACATGCCCCCATTCCTCTCCATTCAAACTCCCTGCGTCATTGGGGTCTCCACGCGAGGACAGGCTGTGTCTCCAGAAGGGCCCGTCTAGCCTGGCCAGGGGAGAAGGGGACCCATCCTTAATCTTATGAAGCGTTCAACATAAGTGCATGCTTGGAACCGGGAGGTTCCTGAGGTTTTCAAAGATCTCACAGGCCCGTGCGTTTTTTTCCTTCAGTTAAATGAACATGAAAACCACCTACGGGGCTTTAAGATGAACAGTTCCACTTATGAAATTCTGATCCAGTGTGTCCGAGGCCTAGGAATGTGCATTTCACCAAGCTCCCAGAGGAAAGCGGGCACAAACCCCCGCCGCCTGCCTGCATTCTACATCCGGGCCACCCTCCCACCAGGATGTGTGGTCCTCGGAGGGGCTGAGCACCTCTCACCAGCCCCGGCCCGAAAAACGCACACACGGACACGCACACACACACGCACACACAGACAGCTGCTTCCTTGCTCTCATTATGTAGTCTCCCCAAGGGACAGTGGGGGTCAGCCAGAGTCAAGCTCCCGCTCCGTCTTCCTCTCCGGAGAGGCAATTAGGGTGGATCCGGAGCCATCTCCCTCCTCTGACCCTCCTGCCCCCGTGTCCACAGGCACAGCTGGCAGTCCAGGCCCCCATCTATGGAGACGGGACTCAGCCCGCACAGACACACGCCTGGGCTGCAAAGGCGCCGGGGCTCGCTCCCTCTCACTAACCAAGTACCCCGGGCAGAGGGACCCTGGCTTGTTTCGTGACTTCCGCTGGATCCAGCCAGGCCTGGCCTCCTGGGGTCATCGGCCTGGGGTCTGAACTGAGCCTCCAGATCCAGGCGGCGGGCGGCAGCCTCATAGCGCTCGTCTAGGGACCAGGTCTCCAACCTCCCATTGGTTCAACCCTCACCCTGAGAGGCTGACCGAGCCCACCTGTGCCCTCCTAGGTCCCACATTTTGAGACCTGGTTGGGGTGATCCTGGCCCCAGGCACTCAGATTGTGGGTGAGGCCCCTGCAGCCCTGTGAGTGAGGAGCATACTCCCCTCTGGCCCTGCCCGCCTCCTCCATCACCTCTTTCTCTCCTCCCCTCTCCGCTCACCGCCCCCACCACCCGCTGGGCCCCAAATCACTGCTGGCTATGATCCTATTTTCCAAAGGCTGGAGTGTTCTCAGTCATCATGTCCCTAGACGGTGGTGGCCAGCACTCCTAAGACACTGATCCCAACTTGGTGACCATCTCTGGCCCTCTCTAGCCCATTTCTGGCACCTCGAATGGGGAACGTCGGCGTCTCCCTATCCTCCACTCACTGCCCGCCTCTGCCCTCAGCCCCCTGGGTGAGCCCATCCGTGCTCTGCTGTTCCTGCTCCTACTTTTGAGCAGAGGACTCCCAAGTCCATGGCTCAGGCCCAGGATCTCTCTCAGCTCCCTTCACCACATTGCCTGGGAGCCACACACCCAGCAGAAGGCACCCTCTGTCCTCGTCCTCAGCCTGCTCTTGTCCCCATGGCTAGACCTGGCCCCCAGCCATCCCAGGCTTATCCATCCCCACCCCCAGCTCCCAGCCCTGAATCTACTAAAGCTGCCCCAGGCCCAGCAGTTCCTGCCTTCCCAACCCCTCCACCTGCCTCCTCAGGGTGTCCCCACATCTAGACTTGCCCACGCCACTCTGTCCTCACCACTTGCCACCACTTGCCTCTGGAAAAGAGAAAGCTCGCCATGCTGCTTCTGCCTGCAACTGCCCAAGGGCCTCTCACCACCCCCAGCCAGGGCCAGCCCCTCAGCCTGGGTTCTGCTTACCCCATTTCCCTACCTCCCTTCCTCCCCTCCTCCTCCTTCTCTCTCCTCCCGCCCCTCCCCTGTCCTAGCCTGCTGTCCCCTCCCTCTTCACCCATCTTCCTCTTGCCCCAGCATAGCAGCTCCCAGTGTCCAGGAAGCCACCACTCCAGCACCAGATGCCTGGGCCTGCAGGGCCTTTGCTCTAGGGAGTACTCCATGCCCGTCCTGGGCACAGCACCCACAGGCTCACACCAGCCTGGGCTAAAGGGCCTTTGCCCTGTGGAGCACCCAGCCCCTTCCTGGGCTCAGAGTGTGCCCACAGGCCCACACCACTGCCTTGGAGGTCAGGGCTGCCCACGGCCCCTCCTGCTGCCGGCCTGCTGACCGTGACCTGCACATCACAGATGCCTACCAAAAGCCTTATTGTTAATGACTTGGAAAAAAAAATGTATTTTTACTAAGATATTTTACTGAAGCTCAGGGACGAGGAGGAGGTTTCCTCCTGACTCCCTTTGCAAGGAGGGTGGCTCAGGTGCACCCTGCCCAGGCCCCGTCCTGGAGGCAGCACCGGGGAGGCGGAGGGCAGGCTCTGGGGTGCACCGAGGGGTTCCAGCCTGGCTGCACCAGGAGCTGCCGTTCACTGAATTGCCTACATCTGGAAAGGAGGAAATTAATAGTCCCCGCCCCACTGAGGTGTTGAGATGCCTGAGACAAGGCTGCAAAGCCATCAGCCGCCCCTGGTCACCACGGAAGCTCCTTGTTGGCAAATGTCATCACTCTGTTCCTTTTTTTCTTTCTTTCTTTTTGAGACAGAGTCTAGCTCTGTCACCCAGGCTGGAGTGCAGTGACACGATCTCAGCTCACTGCAATCTCTGCCTCCCGGGTTCAAGCGATTCTCCTGCCTCAGCC
This sequence comes from Homo sapiens, assembly GCF_000001405.40. NCBI lineage: Eukaryota > Metazoa > Chordata > Mammalia > Primates > Hominidae > Homo > Homo sapiens. The sequence goes on from NW_018654717.1 coordinate 2,746,663, forward strand.
TCCAGAGTAGCTGAGATTACAGGCATGCGCCACAACACCAGGCTAATTTTTGTATTTTTAGTAGAGACGGGGTTTCAACATGTTGGCCAGGCTGGTCTGAAACTCCGACCTCAGGTGATCCGCCCACCTCGGCCTCCCAAAGTGCTGTAATTACAGGGGTGAGCCGCTGCGCCCAGCCGTTGTGTTCCTTTTATCTAGCACAGTTGGGTATGTCAGTCCAAGAAAAGCAACTTGAGGCATTTTATTTGGGGGTGAGGGAGTTTCCCCTAAGACCAAGGCTGATATGCTCCAGTGAGAGGGGAGCAGGATGTGGGTGGATGCTGTGGATGCTACAGGCAGCAGGGGCCTCCCCGAAAGCAGTGGGACAGTGACGCTTGGCCCAAGCTTGTGGAACGAGCTTTGATGCGGGAGATAAAGGTGGGGGACGTTCCAGATGGAGGTGGCCACAGGAGTGTGGAAACAGAGAGGCCAAGCATGGTCTCAGATGGTGAAGAGGGAATAGTCAGGGGCGCAGGTTAGAGAGTGCATGGATGTGTGCAGGGCCCCACTGCTGAGGACCTTGGGACCTCCGGACCCCAGGACAGCCCTGTCCTTGGGCAGAGGTATAGACGCAGCCCTGGGATCAGCTGGGGTCTGACTGAGGTCTGCACTCCGGGAGCTGCACCACTGCCTTTTCCCCTGGGCTTGGGTCCTCACCTGGGGAACTCAGCTCTGCCTGGGAATTCCTTCCATGGGGGCTTTGCCTTGTTCTTAAAGATGCAATCTCCTCCCTCTCCCCAGTACAACTTTCCTTCACTCATTGCACTCTTAATATCTATACCACAAAGGCTTTTGTGTGCAGAGTTACTTTTAATCCTGACAACATCCCTGCAAGTTTGTCTTGGATGAAGAGACAGGTTCAGAAGAGACTCCTCCAAGGACATTCGGCGGTGGATGCCAAAGGCAGGATTTGAACCAAACCCCACTTCCTCCAAGCAGGGGCTCCCTTTTCCACACAGCCTGCCCTAACCCTATGGGCCAAGAGTCCTCTGGCCTGCACCCCCTGGGCTGGGCTTCACCCCCATCATCTCTCCTCGAAGCCCCATGGCCCCTGGCTGCTCTGGCGGAGCCTCGCTGGGCTGCACTCTGGGCCCTGCCCTCAGTCTGCAGGACAGAACCTCCCAGACTCTTCTAGGTTGTGTCTCAACCCCACCCCAGGACCCGACCTGACACCCTCCACCGGCCTGTCTTTTCTAAGGAACAGGGATTCTGCGGTTTTCCAACTGTGGGCAGTCTTGGAAAAGTGTCGAGTGTTTTTGCTCGTCCCAGGGATGGGGGACGCCGGTGCTGTTTTACCTGCAGGGGTCAGAATACCAAACATCCTGCAGTACATGGGCCTGTCCCACATGAGGAAAAATAGCCTTGCTCCCAATGCCCCAGTGACTGCTCCACTCTACAGCTGAAGAGACTGAAGTTCAGGGTCACGGTGCCTGGCCCAGAGCCCACAGCCAGGAGGGGTTGAGCATTCCCCTCCTGATTCCTCAGCCTTCCCACTGCATCCCAGAAGGAGCAAGACTGCCCCAACACTCCAGCCTGGCTCAGCACCACCCTGTCTCCAGGCAAAGCAACGGACTGGGTGACTTCCCAAAGCTCCACCAACCACAACAATTCCAAGAAAGGGCAAAGCCAGAGACAGGCACCCGCGGGGTTAAGCAGTGGAAAAGTGGGAAGGGCGAGAGCTGGAAAGTGACTCATCTCCCTGGAAAAGGCTGGGCCCCGCATTCTATTTGCCCCAGCACCGTGAGATTGTAGTTGGCTTGTGAGAGACAGGCCCCGGCAGGACAGGCAGCTTCCCAAAGTGTTGGGGACCCAGAGGTACAGAGAATGCTTTACAGCTCTTCTGTTCTGCCATCGA